>NC_000015.10:31458692-31761722 GCF_000001405.40 Homo sapiens | reverse complement strand
CTGTTATGACAATTCATATACAGATATGTTTTCATTTCTCTTTGGTATATACCTAGGAGTAGAATGTCTGGGTCATATGGGAATTCTATGCTTAACTTTTGAGTAACTGCTGAACTATTTTTTGAAGTAGCTGTATCATTTTATGTTCCTACCAGCAGAGTATAAGATTTCCAGTTTCTCCACATCTTTGTCAACACTTATTATTGTTTGTCTTTCTTATTATACCCATCCTAGTGGGTGTGAAGTTATATTTCGTTGTGATTTTGATTTGCTTTTCCTTAATGACTAGTGATGTTGAGTATCTTTTCATGTGATTATTGACTGGTTTTATGTATTCTTTTGAGAAATATCTATTCAAATCCTTTGTCCATTTTTATTGGTTATTTGTGTTTTTATTATTGAGTTGTATATATCCTGTATACAAGTCCCTTATCAGATGTACATTGTGCAAATATTTTCTCCCATTCTGTAGGTTGCCTTTCCATATTCTTGATAGTGTTCTTTGAGAAAAAACTATAAATATTTGTAATTTTGATGAAGTTCAATTTATCTGTTCTTTTGTTGATTGTACTTTTGTTATTGTACCTACAAAATTATTGCCTAACTCAAGATTACAAAGATTTACTGCTATGTTTTCTTCTAAGTGTTGTTATGCTATTGTCTCTTAGGTTTAGGAGGCTCATGATCAATCTTGTCTTAATTTTTGTGTACAGTGTGAAGTAAGGATAGAACTTTATTCATTCACTTGTGGATACTAAGTTGCCCGACCATTATTTGTTAAAAAAACAAAAAAACAAAAAAACCCAAAAAAACCTGTTCTTTCCCCACAAAATTATCTTGCTGCTCTTGTAAAGAATCAACCAGACATAAATGCAAGGGTTTATGCCAATACCATACTATCTTAATTATTGTGGATTTATCATAAATTTTAAAGTCAGAAAATGTGAGTCCTCCTTTGTTTTTCGAGATTATCCTGGCTATTCTCAATCCCTTGAATTTCCATATGAATTTTAGGGTCAGCTTGTCAATTTCTGAAAAAAAAGCCAGCTGGAATTTTGAAAGGGATTGGGTTGAATCTGTACATTAATCTAAGGAGTATTGCCATCTTAGCAACATTGCATTTTCTGGCCCATGAATATGGGATATCTTTTAACAGCAACACTGGGAACTGGAAGACAACGGAAGATAACTTCAATGTGTTCAATACAAAACCCTGCAAAACTAAAATTCTAATTCCAGTGAAAGTATCTTTATAAAATGAAGGGAGAAGAAGTGAGCATTTGGTGACAGAGAGTATAGATAAATCTTCAAAGATTGTTGCTATAAAGGACAGCATAAAAAGGATTGGTAGCTGGAGGGAGATATGAAGTTGATTTTTAAGATGAGCAACTTAAAAACATCTCATATAGAGAAGAAGGAAGTGATGAAACAGTGGAAATCAGGGCTAATTGGAAGGATGATGTCCCTTAGTAACTTTTAGCAGGTGAGGAGGGTAGCATCCAAAGGGAGGTAAGGTGAGAGAAGGATGAAGGATGAGGGTACAGAAGCTGAAGAATAATGATAGGGAAGATCAAGAGTTCTCCATTAGACCACTGTGTGGAGTAGGTAGCAAAGTTATAAGGGAGACTGAAGGGAAAGAGTTTGTTGGAAATTTGAGAAAAACAGAAAAGTATGAAATTGTCATCTTGGGGAATAACAAAGTGAAATTTCCATGAAAATAAAACAATTTAGCAGTTTTCAGTGCCTATATGATATAAATTTGAAGACAGCCTAGTCATCAGAGTTCTAAGATTTTTTTCCAGTGATGTTCAGGTTTGGTACAAGTCCAGAGTAAGTGATGCAGAGTAGAGGGAAGCATGGACAAAGCATGAATATTATGTGTAAAAGCATGACTCTGGCCGGGTGTGGTGGCTCATGCCTGTAATCCAGCACTTTGGGAGGCTGAGGCAGCAGGATCACTTGAGGTCAGGAGTTTGAGACCAGCCTGGCCAACATGGCAAAACCCTGCACTACTATACAAAAGATAGCCAGGCATGGTGGTGCACGCCTGTATCCCAGCTACTCGGGAGGCTGAGGTAGGAGAATTGCTTGAACCCGGGAGGCAGAGGTGGCAGTGAGCTGAGATCACACCACTGCACTCCATCCTGGGTGACAGAGCAAGACTCCATCTCAAAAACGAAAAGGCAAAAATGCATGCCAATGTGGTAAGCCACGATCTATTAGGTGAGGCAGTTAAAGAAGCAGGACTCAGAAGGAGGAAAGTGTGAGAAGTGACAGGATTAGCAGAATGTAGGCCCTGAGAAGGGCAGACTCATGCACACATGGCCATTGGATACCTTGCAGAAATTAGTAGTTCTCTTTGGGGTAGGTGCCAAATAAGTGGTAATTGACTCTGGCCACATATTATGGTCACCTGGGGACCTTTAAAAAATTTATCAGTGGGATTCAAGCCCATTGGTTCAGGATCTCTGAGCATTAGTGTCTTTTAAAAGATGCACAAGTGATTCTAATACAGAGACAGAGCTGATGGCTGCTACAAGAGAGCGTGGAGTGCTGGAGACCTCGAGGCCTGGAAATACAGAGCTGCTGCCTTGCATAGCTCCCAATGGCACATTGATATGGACTGCAGTGTCCCTGGGTGGAGGGTTATAGCAATCTTAGAGCATTTTAAGATTGACAACCCACGAGAGGAGGTGTAGACCCATTAAATTATTAGGGATTTAAAATATCTAGAGCAGTGATTCTAAACCCTGGAGGGGGCAGGTCAGAAAAACACTTCAATGCCTAGATAGCATCCCAGACATCAAAATCAAAATTACATCAAAATCACTGTGGTTGAAGCCCAGGCTAAATCAGGACATTAAAAAAGCTCCCCAGTTTTTTTTGTATGGTAAATACTGGGTGGGGTGCAGCGTTGAGTGGAGATTTGATGATTTCTGATGGAGTCGTGTTGAGTTTGAGGAAGTTGTGCTTCATCCAGTTGGAGATGTCAAAGAAGCCATTAGCTCCAGGTCTGGAGCTTGGCAAAGTCTTGAGCTGAAGCAAAATAATCCTCCCCACTATGGGTGAATTGTTGATTGCTATATATTTTTAGAACATATTAGTTTTGTGATGTTCCAATGCAAGTCATAGTCTTTATAAATGACCATGTCTGCTCTCTGGTTCGAGCAGTATTCCCATAGCTAGAGAGGAGAATACAGTTCTGGCACTGATGTGGGATGCTTGTAAAATGCAGTTAGAAGAGCGTCGGGGAAGGGAGGTTTCTGCAGAGTTTGTGTGATCGTACCTGCTAATTTTAGAGTCAAAGGCCCAGATTGGAGAAAGACTCAGTAGAATGAGACCAGCTGAAGCTCCTGACTTACACAGCAGGGCCGTTCTTGGCTGTGTGCCCAGAGGGCGATGACCACATGCTTAGCAGGAAGGCACTATTGTTTCCTGTTTTGCTTGTTTGTGTGTTTGATTTTGTGTGTGTGTGTGTGTGACAGACATGTTGGTATTTCCCTTTATCTAAATGATACTATCCATTTCTACAGTTTTATATGTGTTTAAGAGGAGGTAGCTATCTTGAGGCAGTTTTTGAACTTTGACTACATGACTTTTAAGGTCCCTCAGTCCATTTTGATAATTTGTCAACATTAAAAGTAAATGAAAACCTACGTTTTAGGATTCATATGAAATAAAAATCGAAGACATTTATTTTTGTGAGTTCCCTTAAAATATGTCAAACTACCTAGCATTGAATATTGTTATGCTTGTTCAAGTGAGAATCTGGCCGTTGTTTTGGGGTGACACAGATCTTGCCACATCTGTTCTAACGATCATCAGTGGGTCAACCTCATTTGTGAAAGCCTCTTCACATCCTCCTATTAATTTTTGTGGAATATTTGTTTACTCAAGGCACTGACAATGCTCAAAGAATTCTATAGAATTATTTTAAAGGGCTTCCTTATCAAATTCTAATTTACCATATAAACTGCTTTGTCCAGATGAAAGTGACCCACAATTACACTTTGAAATGTAATTGACATTTCATTAGTGACTGTGGGTTTGTGTCTTGGAAGAGAGATTTTGTCTCCTTAGGGCCAGGGTTGCCCATGGTACAATTCATGGGAATACAATACATGGGAATACGTTGCGGCTGGCTGGTAATGTCCAGGGGCTGGCTCCCAAATCTCCTTGTTACATTGATTTATGTATTTATGTATTTCTGGGGTTATTGGAAATAATATTGCAGTTGTCCTCTTGACCATTGTGTTTAAGTGGTAGCAGTAGCAGTGGTACTAGGAGTGGTATAGTGAGATCTAACCTCTAGCAAGTCCTTTCTCTGTGCCAAGAACCCTTTATATATATAAACGTATATATATATATAATATATATATTATTTCATTTCATCCCTGCAGTAACCCTATGAGGAAGGCGCCATTTCCATCCACATTGTATAAAAGAAGAGATGAAGTAACTTCCCCAAACTTTGGGGTTAGAATTAGATCCCTGGCTGTCTGGGCTCCAACTTAAGATCCCTGGAGATTCAGCACCAGGAGGTGCAGGATTAATGAGATCTGCCTCTGCCTTAGAGAAAAGCAGGAGCTGGGGTATGGGAGTGGATATGACAGCACAGTGAAGTTGGGTTCATCTGGACAGGGACAGAGGTTAAAGAGCCTCCATGTGATGTGTGCCTGTGCCATCTAACCCTGCTCAGTCCAGTGGCATTCCAGTGGCTCCGAGGAGACAGGAGAGATCTCCTGCTTTGAGGAAGAGGATGGTTTCCTGCCATCATTTCTATGTCATGGAGCAACTTCGGTGGCCCCCACATACCCAGTATACAATCTTTACTGCTTTCTTGTGCGTACTGTTCCTTAGAAGCAAGAGGGATGCTGAGTAGTTGTTAGGTCCGCAGTAGCTGGTGTGAGGCCAGAAGTTTTGTCAAAATTCCAAATAATGGTAAATTGTAAGCTGATTTCATCTAATTTATTTATCTTGCATAGGCTATCCCCATATTCTTATTTAACTTGAGCTGGTTCAGAGTTACTAAAAGCAGTGTGTGTGTGTGTGTGTGTGTGTGTGTGTGTGTGTGTGTGTGTGTGTGTGTGTGTGTTGGGTACACTGGGTTTTTATGCATTCCTGTCCTCAGAAAGGACCCAGTGAATGGATGAGAGGGCAGCCCTGTCTCTGTCACCCTGGCCATGTTAGCTTTGGGGGATGGAGCATTGAGGCCATAGTTGATTACATCACGAGGACAGTGACTTTGTGCGTCAGCACTGACTTTATGGCCTTCTCTGGGACCACAGTGGCAAGACTGTCTTATAGACATTTCCAGGGCCCTGAAAAGTACCTTGAGAGGAGAAACAAAAAGGTTTTCTTTAATGTCTACATTATTCTCACAATTATTGTTTGCAGGAGAAATCCCTGTTCCAATTTAATAAGTAAAGAGAAGTTAAAATAATGATGAATGGTAATAATGTAAAACTCAAACTACAAAATAAAAAGAAAGATACACTGTAAAAGAGTTATTCTGTGTTTAGAAAGAAAAAGCAACAGAGGACCCACAGGCCCTTAGTCAGAGGTGTGGAAGTTGAAAGCAGGTGTCCACAGGCGCTGAAGTGTTACTGGGCACAGCTAACTCCATGGCCAGTGGGGCAAGACTGGGCAAGGGGCAGCAGCTGGGCTCATCTTCAGCGGAGTCCCCACTGGAGGTGAGGCTGGAGTCCTCAGCTCTGCTCCCTTGCTCTGTGACTCATGATACGCCTTTGCAGAAGGCTTAAGCCCATAACCCCTTTCTAGCGGACACCAGGTAGACAACACCAGCCACTGCACACCCCCTGTTTGCCTTGCTGCCTGCCTGGCTGCCAGTCTGTTAACAGACCTAGGCCGCCACTGGGTGGAAAACAAGCAAACAGGCAAGGCCAAAGCTCGAAGGTAGATTGAGAAGCATTTCAGTGAAAACACCATTCTTACTTGAAAATTTCTTTGACGTTGAAGACCAGTACTTTTTTTTTTTTTTGAGACAGAGTCTCGCTCTGTCTCCCAGGCTGAAGTGCAGTGGCGCAATCTCTGCTCACTGCAAGCTCCACCTCCTGGGTTCACACCATTCTCCTGCCTCAGCCTCCCAAGTAGCTGGGACTACAGGCGCCCGCCAGCACGCCTGGCTAATTTTTTTGTATTTTTAGTAGAGACGGGGTTTCACCGTGTTAGCCAGAATGGTCTCGATCTCCTGACCTCGTGATCCACCCACCTCGGCCTCCCAAAGTGCTGGTATTACAGGCGTGAGCTGCCGTGCCCAGCCAAAGACTAGCACTTTTGTTTAAGGACTGCACAGTTTAGGTTTTCCTTACATGATGCTTCCTATCTGATACTAATGGACAGGAAAGGCCCCATTGAGAGTTCTCACCCTGTAGCATTCTAGCTCGCCCTCAGATATATGAAGAAGTTCTCTTGTGTTTTCAAATGCTTCTGGCACCATCAGGCTAAAAAACCATGTATGCCACATATTATTAATACTTCCTCACTTTCCCCCTCCTTCCATTCCTCCTCCTTCCCTCTCTCCTATCTTCCCTTATTCTCTCTCCCACCTTCACTTCCCCTCTTCCCACCTTCCCTTCATCTCTCTCCTCCTTAAATAGAATTATCTCTCTTCTCTCTTTCACACACACACACACACACACGAACACAGAGGAACACACACATAATCACACACACACACCATCTCTCTCTCTCTCTCTGTCTCTCTCACTCTCTTCGTCTTCCTTCTGTGCCAGCCAACTAGACTAATAAGGAGACCAACCAGTTATTCCAGGAGAACCTCCTTCATACCCCTACTCCAGCAGTTCTCAAACTGTGGTCTGTGGACCCCTGGGGTCCCTGAGAAGCTTTCAGGAGGTTCACAATGTCAAAATGATTTTCATAATAATATTAAAAGTGCAAATCTGGAAGCATCACATTACATGATTCAAACTATACTATAAGCCCATAGTCACCAAAACAGCATGGTACTGTTATAAAAACAGGCACATAGACCAATGGAACAGAATAGAGAACCCAGAAATAAACCGAAATACTTACAGCCAACTGATCTTCAACAAAGCAAACAAAAACGAAGTGGGGAAAGTACACCCTTTTCAACAATGGTGCTGGGATAATTGGCTGGCCACATGTAGGAGAATGAAAATGGATTCTTGTCTGTCACCTTATACAAAAATCAACTTAAGATGGATTAAAGACTTAAATCTAAGACATGAAACTATAAAAATTCTAAAAGATAACATTGGAAAAACCCTTCTAGACCTTGGCTTAGGCAAGGATTTCATGACCAAGAGCCCAAAAGCAAATGCAATAAAAACAAAGATAAATTGCTGGGACTTAATTAAACCAAAGAGCTTTTGCATGGCAAAAGGAACAGCCAGCAGAGTAAACAGACAACCCACAGAGTGGGAGAAAATCTTCACAATCTATATGTCTGACAAAGGACTAATATCCAAAATCTACAATGAACTCAAATCAACAAGAAAAAAAAATCCCATTAAAAAGTAGGCTAAGGACATGTATAGACAATTCTCAAAAGAAGATATACAAATGGCCAACAATCATATGAAAAAATGCTCAACATCACTAATGAGCAGAAAAATGCAAATCAAAACCATAATGCAATACCACCTTACTCCTGCAAGAATGGCCATAATCAAAAAAATCAAAAAATAGTAGATGTTGGCATGGATGCAGTGAACAGGGAACACTTCTACACTGCTGGTGGGAATGTAAACTAATACAACCACTATGGAAAACAGTGTGGAGATTCCTTAAAGAACTAAAAGTAGAACTACCACTTGATCCAGCAATCCCACTGCTTGGTATCTACCCAGAGAAAAGTCATTATACAAAAAAAGATAACTGCACATGTGTGTTTATAGCAGCACAATTCTCAATTGCAAAAATGTGGAACTGATCCAAATGCCTATCAATCAAGGAATGGATAAAGAAACTGTGAGATATATATATATATATATAATATATATATATATATATAATATATATATATATATCTCACAGGTTATATATATATATATGATGGAATACTACTCAGTCATAAAAAGGAATGAATTAATGGCATTTGCAGCAACCTGGATGAGATTGGAGACCATTATTCTAAGTGAAGTAACTCAGGAATGGACAACCAAACATTGTATGTTATCATGCATAAGTGGGAGCTAAGCTATGAGGATGCAAAGGCATAAGAATGACACAGTGGACTTTGGGGACTTGGGGAAAGAGTGGGAAGGGGGTGAAGGATAAAAGACTAGAAATAGGGTACAGTGTATACTGCCTGGGTGATGGGTGCACCAAAATCTCACACGTCACCACTAAGGAACTTACTCGTGTAACCAAACACCACCTGTCTCCCAATAACCTATGGAAATATAAATAAATATTTGGTAGAATTCTTCAGTGACACTGCCTGGATCTGGAGATTTCTTTTTTTGGGAGTTTGCTTAAAAAAAAAAAGTCATTTGCCTTTTTCACTATGTGAACATTTGGGCCATGGTACAAGAAGTAATGGTGGTAAAACTGCTGGCACCTTAGCTTGAATCAAGCTTGTGGCATCAAACTGCGCCATTAGTCATTGTATTCCTCACTGTTTTGCACAATGTAAAAGTAAATGCTAATTTCCCTTAGTAATGTCCCTGATGAAACAGTAAAAATGATTCATTTTATTAAATATTGACCCTTGACTACAAGTCGTTTTAATATTCTGAGCACTTCTGCTGCATATGATGATGGTGGTCTTAAAACGAAATCACCATCTGTGCAGTTGTTTCAGTTGCAAGCTGAACTGGCCCCCTTTTCCATGAAACACCACTTTTACCTGAAAGAATGACTGACAAACTATGTTTACTCAGACTTTGTTATATGGCAAAGATTTTTTTTTTCAAAAATGATGAGGGTAAGTCTCTCAGTTAAAACAATTAATACCATTTGTTGCTTTCCAGTCAACATTCATATTCTTTAAAACATGACCTAAATAGCTTACCAGCACTTAAATTCTGCATTAATATTGGCGGTAATATTAGTGAATGTGATTTTTGATATTGCATAATATATAGTATGTCAACATTTGAAAAAGTTTCATAACTCAGCAAGCTAATGTTTTCCAGATGACTAATGCATGATGTAGCAAAATTATGCATGAATAAAAGATTCATTTGAAGTGTAAGCTAGACCAATGGATTTTAGAGTAACAGAGTACAAAATGTTCATTGATGTCATGTTAGATTCCACAGTGCCACTAGCTTTTAAGCAACTATCACTTGTCAAGTTTCAGAGTGATATCAAAGAATATCCTACAATTATTTGAAAAACCTACTAAAATACTCCTCACTTTTACAACTACATTTCTCTATGAGGATAGATTTTCCTCATATACGTCATCCAAAACAACATAGTTTTGCTTTGTAGTTGTACTGTATTTGTATGTATCCATACACATCATACTTTAGCATTGCATGTTTTCAACTTTACATAAATGGAATCATACTGTATACATTTTGTGTTTTTCTTTCTTGTTTGATTCAACATATACATTGAATCAAAGCATCACTGTAGGTACCTGGAGTTCTTTCATATTCAGTGTTTTATTTGTATATGAATATGCCACATTCATTTATAAATTATTTTAAAATTTTAATTTTAGATTCAGTAGCTATGTGTGCAGGTTTGTTACAAGGGTATATTGTGTGATGCTGGGGTTTGGGCTTCTGTTGATCCCATCATGTACATAGTGAACATAGTACCCAACAGGTAGTTTTTCAGCCCTTGCCCCCCTCTCTCCTTCTCTTCCTTTGGAGTTTCTGGCATCTGTTATTCCTGTCTTTATGTCTGTGCATACCCAATATTTAGCTCTCACATACAATATTTGGTTTTCTGTGTTAATTGCACTAGGATAATGGCCTCCAGCTCCACTTATGTTGTTTGAAAAGGACATTATTTCATCCTTTTTTTGGCTGCAGAGTATTCCATGGTGTATATGAAACACATTTTCTTTTTTCAGTCCATCACTGATGGGCATCTAGGTTGATTCCATGTCTTTGTTGCTGTGAATAGTGCTACAATGAATATACGTATGCTTGTATCTTTTGGGTAGTACAATTTATTTTCTTTTGGGTAGATACCCAGTAATGGGATTGTTGGATTGAATGGTAGTTCTCTTTTTAGTTCTTTGAGACATCTCCAAACTGCTTTCTGCAGTGGCTGAACTAATCTACTTTCCCACATGCAGTGTGTAAGTGTTCCCTTTTCTCTGTAGCCTCACTGTCTGTTATTGTTTGGATTTTTAATAATGGCCATTCTGACTGGTATGAGATGGTGTCTTTTTGTGGTTTCGGCATGCATTTCTCTGATGATTAGTGATGTTGAGCAGTTTTTCATATGTTTGTTGGCCACTCATATGTCTCTTTTTGAGAAGTGTCTCTTTATGTCCTTTACCCACTGTTTAATGAGGTTGTTCCTTGCTTATTGATTTGTTTGCATTCCTTATAGATTATGGATATTAGTCCTTTGTCAGAGGCATAGTTTGTGAATATTTTCTGCCATTTCTCTAGGTGGTATATTTACTCTGTTATTTTGCTGTGCAGAAGCTCTGTAGTTTAATTTTGTCCCACTTGTCAATTTTAGTTTTTGTCGCAATTGCTTTTGAGGACTTAGTCGTAAGTTCTTTGCCTAGGCTGATGTCCAGAAGGGTATTTTCTAGGTTTTCTTCTAGGATTTTTATAGTTTGAGGTCTTACATTTAAGATTTTAATCCATCTTGAGTTAATTTTTTATATGGCGATAGGGAGGGGTCCAGTTTCATTCTTCTGCATATGGCTAACCAGTTTTCCCAGCACCATTTGTTGAATAAGGGAGTCCTTTCCCCATTGCCTATTTTTGTCAACTTTGTTTCTATTCAACAATGACTAGTTCAACTTATCCTGACACAAATAATAATTATACATAGTATTAAAGGGTGGGAAGATTAGTTGGTTGTAGATGTGTGGCTTTACTTCTGGGCTCTCTGTTTTGTTCCATTGATCTATGTGTCCACTTTTGTGTCAGTACCATACTGTTTTGGTTACTGTGGTCTTGTAGTATAGTTTGAAGTTGGGTAATGAGATGCCTCCAGCTTTGTTCTTTTTGCTCAGGATTTCTTTGGCTATTCAGGCTCTTTTTGATGTCATGTAAATTTTGGATTTTTTTTTCTAATTCTGCAAAAAATGACATTAGTGATTTGATAGCAATAGTGTTAAATCTGTAAATTGCTTTGGGCACTATGACTTTTTTTTTTTTTTTTTTTGAGTCAGATTCTCTGTTGCCCGGGCTAGAAAGCAGTGGCATGATCTTGGCACACTGCAACCTCTGCATCCCAAGTTCAGGCTATTCTCAAGCCTCAGTCTCCTGAGTAGCTGGGATTATAGGTGCCTGCCACCACACCCAGCTAATTTTTGTATTTTTTGTAGAGACAGGCTTTCACCATGTTGGCCAGGCTGGTCTCGAACTCCTGACCTCAAGTGATCCACCCGCCTCAGCCTCCCAAAGTGCTGGGATTACAGGCGTGAGCCACCATGCCCGGTCGAACATTTTAACAATATTGATTCATCCAATTCATGAGCATGGAATGCATTTCCATTTGTGTCATCCGTAATTTCTTTTATCAGCGTTTTTGAGTTCTGCTTTAGAGATGTTTCACCCTCTTGGTTAAGTATTCCTAAGTATTGTATTTTTTTGTGTGGCCATTGTAAATGGCATTGTGTTCTTGATTTGACTCCCAGCTTGAATGTTATTGGTGTATAGAAATGCTACTGATTTTTGCACGTTGATTTTGTATCCTGAAACTTTACTTACTATGTTTATCAGATCTAGTGCCCTTTTCATGGCATCTTTAGGGTTTTACAAGGTATGGAATTATGTCATTCACGAAGAGAGATAGTTCGACTTCCTTTTTTTAAAAAAAAAAATTGTACACCTTTTATTTCTTCCTCTTGCCTGATCGTTCTGGTTAGGACTTCCAGCACTATGTTGAATACGAGTGGTGAAAGTGGGCATCCTCATGTTGTTCTAGTTTTTAAGGGGAATGCTTCCAGCTTTTGCCCATTCAGTGTGATGTTTGAATATGCCACTTTTAAAATGCACTCTACTGGGTAAGCATTTGGATTCTTTGCAGTTTGGAACTATTATAACACTGCCATTAGCCTTCTCAGACTTGTACTCTGGTGTCTATGTGCGTAGGTTAGTCTAGGGGTATATAATGATGTGGCGTTGTTGGCTCATGGGGGATATCTGTCTCAAATTCACACACTGAATACCAAACTGTTTTCCAAAGTGGATGTGCCAATGTATACTTCTACCAGCAGTGTACGAGAGCTCACTTTACTCCACATCCTCACCAAAATTTGTTTTTTGTTTTATTTTTTATTATACTTTAAGTTTTAGGGTACATGTGCACAACGTGCAGGTTAGTTACATATGTATACATGTGCCATGTTGGTGTGCTGCACCCATTAACTCGTCATTTAACGTTAGGTATATCTCCTAATGCTATCCTTTCCCCCTCCCCCCACCCCACAACAGGCCCCGGTGTGATGTTCCCCTTCCTGTGTCCATGTGTTCTCATTGTTCAATTCCCACCTATGAGTGAGAACATGCGGTATTTGGTTTTTTGTCCTTGCGATAGTTTGCGGAGAATGATGGTTTCCAGCTTCATCCATGTTCCTACAAAGGACAGACTTTAAAATGTGTGCTCACATGGTGAATGTTTGAGTATCTTTTTTTCACTGGTAACTAATAAAGTTCAGCACCTTTCCATGCTGTTTGTAAGAGCCCTACACTGGAAGCAACCTAAATGTCTATTAAGGGTATAATGCAAAAATAAATTGTGATATATTGACGCAAAGGAATGCTATGCTATTATAACATTGCTATGAATATTCTTGTGCATGTTTTTAATGGCCATATCTATGTATTTCCATTGAGTAATACCTAGGAATGAAATTGCTGGTTCATAGGGTATTTGTACGTTTAGCTTTGGTAGATACTGCCTAATGGTTTTCAATGGGTAGTTGTCCCAATTTACAGTCCCATCATTATAATAAACCTTCTCATGTATTTTATTTTGATCTACTTCCACATGTATAGAAAAGTTGCAAAAATGACACAAAGGACCCCATATATATTTTACTCAAATCAACCAATTGCAACTGTATACCTTTTAACTCATTTGCTCTATCTATATATATTTTATATATATGGTATGTCATATTTTATATATATGGTGTGTCATATATATAAAATATATATAATAGTTATGTGTGTTTGTGTATATATAGGCACATGTGCATATTTATGAATATATATTTATATGTGTGTGTGTGTATATCATCGTGGAGTTTTTTTTCTGAACCATTTGAGACTGGTAGAGACATCATGCCCCTTTACCACAGAAAATTTCAGTGCATATTTTCTTTTATAAAAAGGACACTCTCTTTCATAACTATAGTGCAATTATTAAAATCAGAAAATTTAACACATACAATTCTAGTATCTAATCTACACTCCATATTCAATTTTATCAATTCTCTCAATAATGTCTTTTATAGCCATTATTTTCCTGGTCCAGGGTTCAATCCAGGATCTTAGGTTGCACTTAATTGTCATGTCTTCTTAGTCTCTTTTAATCTGGAGCAGATCCTAAGCCTTTCTCTTTCTTGATTTGGTGTTTTCCAAGAGCATGGACAAGTTAATTTGTAGGATGTCTGCCAATTTGATTTTTCCGAGGTTTCTTAAAGTCCTGTTATGGATTTTTGCCAGCAGTGCCACGGAAGTGATGTTATGTCCCTCAGTGCATTGCATCAAAAAGGCGTATGGTGTTGATTTGTCCCATTACTGGTTATGTTAATTTTGGTCACTTGGTTAAGGTAGTGGAAGTTTCTCCCCTGTAAAATTATTTCCCTTTGTAATTAATAGGATTTTGCTCATTAAACTTTTATCTAGTGGTTATCTACTAGCTTTAGCACTCATTGATGAATTTCTAACTATTATTCCTCCTACACTGGCATTCTTCTGTATGTAAGAGGTTTTTCTTCTCCATTTACTTAATCATCTATTTATATGGACTTATGGATCTTATTTTACCCAGTAGATTATATTCTGTTACTACCATTATTTATTGTGATGCTCAGGTTGCCCCAGATTTGATGGGTGGGGAATCCCTTCAAACTAGCTCTCTGTCCTTTGGATTTGTGTCCACTGTTCTCTCAACACCTCCTTCCTTTCTGGTGCAAGGAGGTTGTCTAGGATTTCCTTTTACAGTCTTTGCTCCAGCACTGAAATCAGCCTTTTCCTAGGAAGTTCTGCTTTCTTTTATTTAGGGAATGTTATTTAGAAATAAAAATTTGGGTGCTGGATGTGCTCATTGCTTCTAGGCGTTGTCATAATTAAGAAATGTGGGTATGTATCAAAAATGAGAACTTATATTGATACTTTCAGCCCCGATCTGCACAACCCTTCCCATCTTGGTAACTCCTTTTACCAGTAGTAAGACACTTTGCTTTCAATAATCTTAATATATTTACTCATTTGTTCAAATCTAGAATACACAGAAAGTGGTATCAGAATTGCCATCAAATACTAAAGAAAAAAAATCAACCAAGTATAGTTCAACATTTGTGTGGTAGTATTTTTAGGTATAATTTACATCAGTAAAAAGCACACTTTAAGTGTGCAATTGAACAGATTCTGACAAACGCATCTACCAATATAAATGACACCCCTACCAAGATACAGAAATTTTCTCTCACCCCAGAAAGCTTCACTGTGCCCTGTTCCAGTTAATACCCTCCAAAAGCAACAAGTTTTCTAAAAATTATTTAGACTGTATTTGTTTTGCCAATTTTAAAACTTCAGGTAGGCCGGGCCTGGTGGCTCATGCCTGTAATCCCAGCACTTTGGGAGGCAGAGGCAGGTGAATCACCTGAGGTCAGGAGTTCGAGACAAGCCTGACTAACATGGAGAAACCCTGTCTCTACTAAAAATACAAAATTAGCCTGGTGTGGTGGCGCATGCTTGTAATCCCAGCTACTCAGGAGGCTGAGGCAGGAGAATCACTTGAACCTGGGAGGTGGAGGTTGCAGGGAGCCGAGATCGCACTCCAGCCTGGATGAGAGTGAAACTCTGTCTCAAAAAAAAAAAAAAAAATATGTAAAAACTACTATGGAGTTTGATTTACCTTGTTTCCAGCTTCTATGAGATTTACCCATATGGCCGAGTATATCCATATGTCGTTCTTTTTTTATCATTGAATAGTAAGTATTCTATTGTAAAGAACATATGTATACATATGTGTGTGTATGTGGTGTGTGTATGTACATAAATACACACCACAGTCATTACCCATTCTCTTCTTGATGGACATTTGGGTTGTTTTCAGTGTTGTGTCACTATTAATAAAGCTGTTTTAATCATTCTTGTACAAGTCTTTGTGTGTGTAGACACATGTTTTCATTTCTCTTGCATAAATACCTAGTGGGGAAACCCCAGGATAATAGGGTTGATGTTTGCTTAGTTTTATAGAAAGCTATCATATCTTTTTCCAAATGAGTGGCATCATTTCTATGTTCCCTCCAGTAATGTAAGCAAGTTCCAGATGCTCCCCATCCTTGTCAACACTTGATGTTGTAAGATGTTAATTTTAGCCATTCTAGTGGGTATCAAGTGGTATCTGTTTGAGGTCTAAATTTTCATTTTCCTGATAACTAATGATGTTGAGCACTTTTTCATCTACTGTTGACCATTTGTATATCTTCCTTTTAAGTTCCTCTTCCAAATTTTTGGCAATTTTTTTAAAAAAATTGGATAATCTGCCTTTTCATTGTTGCCATAGGACTTTTATCATAGAGGTTAGAATTAAATCATTTGTCAAGTCTGTCTTGTGAATATTTTTTTCTCATTTGGGGATTTGTCTATTTTCTAAATGATGCTTTTCAGTGAGTTGAAGTTTTTATGTTTTGATAAAGTCTAACATGTTCATTTTTTTCTTTTATGATCACTGCTTTCTGTGTTCTGAGAAATCTGTAGCTACCCCCAATTGTGAAGATAGAAGACTGTGTTTACTTCTGAAAAAGGTTATAGTTGTAGGTTTAATGTTTAGTTTTGTGACCCATCTTGAATTAATCTTTGTTTGTGGCATTAGGTAGGAATTGAAGTACATTATTTTCCCACATGAAAATGCAGCTATTCCCAGCAACCTCTGCTGAGGCCTTCTACCTCTGAATTACCTTGTCATGGTTGTGGGTTTCTTTCTAGCTCTCCTGTATTTTGTACTATTGAGCTATATCTTCATCTTTGTCCCATTGATTTATATATTTGCCTTCATGCCCATATCATATTGTCTTGATTACTGTAGCTTTATAGTAACTCTTTAAGTTCTGGAATGCTTCCAGCTTTATATTTTTCTAGATAATTTTGGCTCTTCTAGATCAATTGTATTTTTATTTAAAATTTTGAATAATTTTGTCAGTTTCTACAAAAAGGCCTACTGGGATTTTTAGAAATAGAATTGTCTTGAATCTGTAGATTAATTTTGGGAGAACTGACCCTAATATTGATGTTTTGAATCTATGAATGTAATATATTTTTCTATTTTGTAAGGTCTTCTTTAATGTCTCTCAACAGAGGTTTTTGTTTTAGTGTAGAAAGCCATGGCACCTTTTGCTAAATTTATTCTGGATTATTTTATGTTTTTTCAAAGCCATTATAAATTGATTTCTTTTAATTTCATTTTCCAACTTTTTGCTACTAGTATATAATCATTTTCCAACTTTTTGCTACTAGTATATAAAAATATAATTGATGTTTTTGGCATATTGACCTTGTAACTTGCAGCCTTACTAAATGCATTTATTAATTATAGAGCTTTTAGAATTTGCTACACTGACATTCATATCATCTACAAATAGCAAAACTTTTCATTTTTCCTTTTTAACCTTTATCCCTCTTTTCTACTTTATTGCACTGGCTACAATCTTTTGTACAAGTATTAAGACTAAATATGCCTAACTTCTTTTTAATCATAAGGGAAAATAATTCAACGTTTCATCATAAAGTAAGATTCAAGGATAGAATTTTTAAAAATGCCCTGTATTGCAGGAGGAATTCTTTCTTATTTCAAGGTTGCAGGATTTTTTTTAAATGAATAGGTATTAAATTTAGCAAATGTTTTACTCTTTTTTAGTTAATATAGTAAATAATTTTTATTGGTTTTTGAATGTTTGCCCTATCTTATGTTCTTGGGATACACTCTACTTGGTCTTGATTATTTTTCATTTATTACAGGACTCAACTAATACAGTATGAGTGATTATGGCAATGTTCATGTTGGTTGTTGATCTGTTCTTTTCTTTTCACATTCTTCTTTTAGTGTCAGAGGTATGCTAGCCTCATGCCAAACTTGGGAAATGAGTTTTTCTTTCTCTTATCTTCTTAAAGTTGTATAAAATTACTATTATTTCTTCCTTAAATATTTGATAGAATTCACCAGTGAAGTCATCTATGTCTTTTTTAAGGGAAGAATTTTCATAATAAATACGATTTTCTTAGCAGATACAGATTCAGAATAAAATATGCAGTTCAGATTTTCTGTTTCCTTTTATGTCACATTTAGTAAGTTGTGTTTTAAAAGAAATTTGTCTAATTAATCTAAATGTCTAATTTATGAACATATTTCTTCACAGTATTTTCTTATTCTTTTTATATGTGTAGAATCTGAGGTGCTGTTCCCTCCTTCATCTGTGATGCTGATGATATAAGCGAGCTCCTGCTTTCCCTCTTTCCCTCCCTCACCTTCTCATTTCTCTCTTTCATCAGTCTTGCTAGGTGTTTGTTTACCGGTCTTATGAATCTTTCAATGAATCAAATTTTAGATTGTTTAATTTTCTCTTCTTTTCTTTTCTTTTCTTTTTTTTTTGAGATGGGGTTTCAACATGTTGGCCAGGCTGGTCTCAAACTCCTGGCCTCAAGTGATGTGCCTGCCTTGGCCTCCCAAAGTGCTGGGATTACAGGCATGAGCTACCATCCCCAGCTGTTGATTTTATTTATTTTCTATTTCGCTGATTTCACCTTTCTTTTTTCCTTCTTTCTACTTACTTTGGTCTTGATTTGCTTATCTTTCATATATACTTAAGGTGAAAACTTAGATCACTAATTTTAAGCCATTCCTCATTTATGTGTTTAGTACTATAACTTTCACTGGAAGCACAGTTTAGCTGCATTACCAAAATTATATGTTTTTATTATCTTCAAGTTTAAAATTATTTTCTAACCTCCCTTGTGTTTTTCCTTTCTCTCATGAGTTATTTACATGCATGTTATTTAGTATCCAAATATTTGGGACTTTTTTACATATCTCATTTTTCATGATTGCCAGATTAATTCCTTTTTTGTCTTAGGACATATTCTGTGTTATCTCAGCATTTTGAATTTTATTGAGACATGTTTGGTGGATCAGCATATGGCTTTTTCACCAAGATATGAAGGCTCTTTTTGCACTTGAAAAAAATTATATTTTACAGTTTTGAATTAGAGTATTCTGTAAATGACAATTAGGTTATATTTGTTGATGATGTTCTGGTCTTCTATATCCGTGCCTTTTCTGTCTAGTTGTTCTAGCAGTTCCTTTAGAAATAGACATCAAAATCATCCACTATGGTTATGGATTTGTCTATATTTCCTTTTAGTCTTGTCATATTTTGCTTTATATATTTTGAAGTCGTGTATTTATATATATTTATTGTCTTCCTGGTGAATTAATATTTTCATTATAGTGAGGTGTTTATCTCTGGTAATACTTTTTTCTTGAAGTCTCTTTTGTTTGATTTTAATACATCCATTCCAACTTTCTTATGCTCACAGTTTGCATGTCATATATATTTTTAACCCCTTTTCATTCGCGCTACCTATGTCTTTATATTTAAAGTGAGTATCTGTAAATAAAGTCTATTCGGGTTTTGCTTTTCTATCTCTGACTTAATTAAAATAAATGCTCTGTATGCAACTTGGAAATAATATTCTGCAGTTTGTCCATTAGCATTTAATTCAATTATGTATATGTTTAGGTTTAGTTCTATTTTTCTGTGGTAGGAAAAGCTTTTGACATGTTACAAATATGAACAATGTTGTGCCAGATTTTTTCTAAGGAGCCGTATATCAGATAGAAGAAATTTCCTTCCATTTCTAGCTTAGATTTATAAAATCTCAGTGGTTCAGTTTTTAAAAAGCCTTATCTACATGCATGTGTTGTAACACAATTTTTTTTCCCTTAATCTGTTGATGTGGCAAATATTGTAGTGTTAAACCATCCTTGCATTCCTGTAATAAACAGAAGTTTGCCATGATTGTAATAAATGTATATAACCAATCGTTGTGGATGAGATTGCCCTGTTATTTTTTTTCTTTTTTCTTACTACTTCTTGTCACATTTCCATTCCAAGATTATGTGCTAGTCTCATAACCTGAGTTTAGGATTGTACCCTCTTGTTCTTTATTGTGGATTAGATTGTAAGACTGAATTATTTCTTTATTTGTTGAGAAAACCATCTGCACCTAGAGATCCTTTTATAAAGAAAAACAAAAGTATGTATCTGTTGATTTAACTTGTTTAGTGGTTATAGGGCTATCCAAGTTTTCTGTTATTTTAATCAGCCTTGGTAAGTTTTATTTTTCTAGGACTGTGTCCGTTATGTTCATATTTGCCAATTTATTTGCATAGAATTATTTTTAGAGGTTCTCAATATTATTATTCTTTTCATAAGCCTAATGGTTGATTTTCTTGGTCCTGTCTACCATATATTTGTTTTCTGGGGTTTTTAAAAAATTTCTGATCTTCATCATTGTCTTTCTTCTAATTTTTTTTGTGTTTATTTTGCTATTTTTCCTATCTTATTGAAATGGACATTTGGCTCCTAAATTTTTGGTATTTTTTATTTTCTTGTATATGCATCTAAAGCAATAAAACTTTCTCTGTCTATGGCTTTTATTGTCTCTTACTACGTTTTTGTGAAATATTTTATGATTTAGTTCAAAATATTTTATTATTTCAGTTGTGATTCTTCTTTCATTGTTGGGTTATTGTATTTTTATAATTTTTCATGCAGATTGTATTCATTTTACTTACGTTTCTAACATTTAACTCTTGAAAATATTAAATATCTATGTGTATATGGAACAATAAAGTGAATATCCATGTATTCATCACCCAACTTTTATAATTATGAAGTTCTGGGGTGCAGCAAACCAACATGGCACATGTATGCCTATGTATCAAACCTGCACATTGTGCACATGTACGCTAGAACTTAAAGTGTAATAAAAAATTTTTTTAAAAAATTATGAAGTTGTGGCCAATCTTACTTTTTCTATATCCTTGTTCCCACCACAACCTCCTATATTATTTTGAAGCAAATCCTATGGGTTATTTGGAAGTATGTGTTAAATCTCCTAACCATATGGGGATTTGCTAGTTATCTTTTTAAGTTAATTGTAGTATGGTCAGAAAACTTGGTCTGTATGATCTCTTCTTTTTAAATTTTTTATGATGCATTTTATGGCTCAGAGTATGATAAATATTTTGTAAATGTTTCATTTGTACTAAGAGCATTTTGTATTCTGCAGCTCTTGAGAGTATAATTCTATATGACCCTTAAGTAAAGTTTGTCAATAGTACATTCACATCTGTGTCCTACTTTTGTCATTCTGAAGTAATTCTTTTTATCACTAGCAAATGCTTTTTACCTAAAAGTCTATTCTGTCTGTTATTAATGTCGCTACACCAGTTTTCTGTTGGTTACAATTCACATGATGTATTTCTTACCCATCCTTTTAATTTTGTCCTTTCTGTGTATGCTTTAGATGTCTTCTATAAACAGCATATAGTTGAATCTTGCGTTCAGTCTGCCAATTTATTACTTTGAACTGGAGCATCTGGTCTCTTTACATTTAATTTAATTAGTGGCACATTTGGGTTCACCTCTACCCAGCTCCTCTTGTACTTTCTATTTGTTTCACATCTTCTGTTTTTTTTCCCCCTCTCACTTATGCCTTCTTTTGGATTCTTTTTTAAACCAATTTTTCAAAATACATTGAGAATTCACCACTTTGTCTCACCCCCACGGCAGCCGTCCTCGCCAGACCATTCTCCTCCTTCCTCTGGGAAGGCAGTGGCCTCCTGACTCATCTCCTCCTTGCTTCTCTCCTTCCTCCCACCTCCCACCCTCCCCCCACCATCTGCTCACTGAGCAGCAGCCAGAGTGAGCCCCATCACATGTGAGCTCTAGCATGAGGCAGCTGGGCTCCAAAGCCTGCAGCGACTCCTGGTTTCACACAGAGGGAAAGCGGAGAGTCTCCTGGGGCTTC
This sequence comes from Homo sapiens, assembly GCF_000001405.40. Classification (NCBI taxonomy): domain Eukaryota; kingdom Metazoa; phylum Chordata; class Mammalia; order Primates; family Hominidae; genus Homo; species Homo sapiens. Next base: position 31,740,297 of record NC_000015.10, on the reverse strand, counting down.
CGGCAACCCGAGAGGCCTCAGCTGCGACCCCACCTCTGCTCCAGGCACTCAGACGCACCTGCCCACCAGAAGCTGTTCCAGCCTCTGGGGCTGTTGCCCTGCCAGGCACTCAAGTCACCAGCTCACCTCCTCCACATCCTTGTTCCAGAATCACCTTCTCAGTGAGGCCTGCTCCGGCCACCCCACTCATGTCCTCACACTCCGCTAGGCCTTCCTCTCGCCTGCCCTTTTCTGTTGTCTTTTCACCGTGGTAGTAGTCTGTCACCTGTAAAATCCTGTTTGGAGCACCAAGTGTAGCATCATTCAAAGACGGGTCTGCCCCTTTTAGAAAAGAAGCCACATGAGGGATTTCTGCCTCTTCTGTTCACTGATACATTGCAGTGCCTCAGAAGGGCCTGGCCCAGTGTAGGCATTCAAGACATGGTGAGGCCAGGCGCAGTGGTTCAGCCTTTAATCCCAGCACTTTGGGAAGCTGAGGTGGGTGGATCACTTGTGGCCAGGAGTTCAAGACCAGCCTGTCCAACATGGCAAAAACCCATCTCTACTACATGGTGGTGCATGCCTGTAATCCCAGCTACTCTGGTGGCTGAGGCACAAGAATCACTTGATTCTGGGTGGTGGAGGTTGCAGTAAGCTGAGATGGTGCCACTGCACTCCAGCCTGGGCAACAGAGTGACACTCTGTCTCCAAAAAAAAAAGATATGGTGAGCAAATGTGGGCATTGCATTTTAAAAACCTTAGTAGTTATTTGAAAGTTTTATGTCTCTTTTGTCTATTATGTTAACATTACCATAGAAATGGCAACGTGCATATTTATCTAATTAAGTCTAAAGTTAGCCAAACTGTTATTTTCCTCCTGGATTTTGCAATGACTTGTGACTACTTTTAAGATATTATTTCATTTCATTTTATTTCATTAATTTTTTGAGAAAGGGTACAACCAAGAGTGAATATCCAGTTGTTTTTGATATACTGAATCCAATACTTTTAGCATTGGACTGGATGACATCAGGCGACTAGTAGACATGGAACCTCAAATTGCATTCATTATAGAAAGCCAATCCACAGGTGTTTGTTGGGTCCCTACACTGGCTCCAAGCACTCAGTACTATGAGAGTTTTGAGTGGTTTCCAAAGTCTTTTGATCCAAGATGAGTGGCATAACAATACCTGGGGTGTTTGTAAATCAGTCCCAGACCCACATCCAGAAATTTCTCTGTGACAAGTCTGGGCTGCTCCCCAGAAATGTGTGCTTTCATAAGACCGTGGCCTTTCTGAAGCCCCCAGCGAGTGGACAGCCCCTTCCCCAGCAGGTCCAGTGTCCTCAGAGACCTCTGTACTTGGTATCTGATCTGATGCCATGTGGCATTTACAGGAATCCTGGCATGGTGTGGGAATCCCTTGCTTTAAGGATACTTAATAGGTGTAAATGAAAGTTTAAAATCGTCCGCTGAAGAGTAATTTGAGTCATCTTAAAATCAGGAAGGCTGCTTCTAAGCTTTTTGGCATCCACGCTGTCAGATCAGCAGTGTGCCTTTGCGTACTATCCCAAGAAACAATCATTTTGGGGCCACTGTGATTGTAAGGCTGGATTTCAGGAGTCAACAGGCTGCACTTGCGGAGAGAGCTGCAGAGGAGCAGCGTGTGCATGTACAGGGGGTAACAGCCCTATCAGCGGAGGCAGCATAGGTGCTGGTCCTTTCCTCCACAGAAAACTGTCATGGCAGATAATCCTCCTGGGTTGTCAAATTAGGGATCACTGTCATGCTCTATCAGAATGCCTCTGGGACCCTTGGAAACTATGGGATTGCTCCAAGGAGGATGCAGGCAACTGATCTCCCTCCCTGGACCTCTTTTGTAGATTCAGCGCTGATGGTGGTGGCTGGAGTTCCTTCTTCTCTTCCATTCTGACTTATTGCATGCTCAGGTCTCCATCCTCAGCCAAATTCTTCACCTCTCCTCTTTACACTTAGGATGCCAGTTATAAAGATGGGAGATAAGGGATCCACAGAGGTCCTCATCTGGCCCCATGGAATCCTCATCATTAGCTCCAGGCCCCCTGCCATTCTCCCTCCTCCCTCTCTCCCCATCCCCCCATGCCCAAGTTCTTCTGTCTTTGCTGTCTCCTATTTAACTAATTATTCCCTCCTGGAAATTCTCTGCCTTGTTTTCTCTGGCAAACTGTTAACCTTTTACAAAAATGCTCTCAATTAATTTTTTCGCAAAAATAGTGACATTTTTACAGCCAGTGAAACAATGAAAAGAAGCTAAAAAATGTTAATAATACCACCCAATTTATACTTCCTTGAGCTAACAGATACTATGTACAAACTACCAGCTACACCTATACATTTATGAACATAAATATGCACTTTTATAAATAGATACTTTTTTACAACCAGTGACTGTCCATGATTCCCTACAATACATATGATTCTGAAGCTTCCCTTCCTCAGGAAACTGTACAGCATGGATGTCCTTCCAGATGAGCAAATCCAGTCTAATTTCTTTCTCGAATGCTGTGTGATAGTCCCGTATGAACACATTCAGTCTATCCAGTTATTTCCTGCTGAGAAGCATGCTGACTTTCTCCAGTTTCTGCCACTTCAAAAATTCTTTATATCATTGAACACTTTCTAATATACTCCTGCTCTTATTTCTGTAAGATATATTTCCAAAAATGGGACCACTGAGTCAACAAGTTCTTAGATATTGAACTTGAATCGCCGTTTCCAGATTACTTTCCAAAAAGGGCATAGAAGTTCACATCTTCCCCCAAAATGCAAGTGCATGCAGTGCTCAATAAATCCCTCTGACCCTGGATGTCATCCCCAGGGTTTTTCCAGTTTGTGTGAAAATGATATGGCATTGGCAGTTTGCGTCGTTTTTTCATGACTACCTTTTTTGATGCATTACTGGCCATCTTGATTCCATTTCTGTAAACCGCTTGTTCGTGTCTTTTGCTGGAGTTTTTGTGGGGTTGTCTGTCTCTATTTCAATAGTGGATAGCAGTTCTTTGTTTAGAGGGCTGTTAGTCCCTTGCCTGTGTATGTGTTTCAACGATTTTTCTAAGTATATTAATGTCTTTTTATATTGTTTATTTTGCCATATTAAGAAACATTATCTGGTTAAATATTTCTATTATTTTTATTTATGATTTCTACCTATCCTACATTGCTTAAGAAGGTCTTCATGCCATCTGTAATTCCAGCACTTTGGGAGGCAGAGGCAGGCATGTTGCCTGAGCCCAGGAGTTCAAGACCAGCCTGGGCAACACAGTGAAACCCTGCCTCTACTAAAAATACAAAAATTAGCTGGGCATGGTGGTGTGTGCTTGTAGTCCTAGCTACTTGGGAGGCTGAGGCAGGAGAATCACTTGAACCTGGGAGGTGGAGGTTGTAGTGAGCCAAGATTGTGCCACTATACTCCAGCCTGGCAACAGAGCGAGACTCCGTCCCCCCGCCCCCCCAAAAAAAAGAAGGTCTTAAGCCAAAGTCATACAAATACAAAGTCATACAAATATTTGAATATATTTTCTTTTAATATTTTTACGGTTATTTTATTTTACATTTATATTTTAAATTTATCCAAAACTTATTTGTGTTGAGGGTGGGAGGATATAGATTTGTTTTCTGCCAGCTCTGTCTGTTAAATAAACTACTCTTCCCTGGGGACGGAAATGGCACCTGGAACATACATTGATCTCATAGTGCATTGGTCGGCACAGCTTCAGTGTGAGGCGTACACTCCCTCCCTGTCATTCTTTTCTACAGTTTTCTTGTTTGAGTTTGGATGTATGTTAATATATCTGAAGAGCTTAAGACAGCACCTCTTTTTTGTTTTCTGCTAAATTTATTTTGTTTTACTTACATCTTTAAACATTCAACTATGGAAAATATTAAACATCTATAAATATATACAGAGTAATATGCTGAGTCCCATGTACCCATCACCCAGCTTCTGTAATTATCAAGCTGTGGCTAATCTTTTTTTTGGGGGGGTGGAGTTACCCTCACCCATTGCTAGTGCAACTACAAGTGTAAACGTGTTCACTGCTTTTATCATTATTACTACTAATCTTATTTTTATAACTTTTAAGTTCAGGGGCACATGTTTGTTACAAAGGTAAACTTGTGTTGTGGGGGTTTGTTGTACAGATTATTTCATCTCCCAGGTATTAAGCCTAGTACCCATTAGTTATTTTTCCTGATCCTCTCCCTCCTCCCACCCTCTGCCCTCCAGTAGGCCCCAGTGTGTGTTGTTCCCCTCTATGTGTCCATGTATTCTCATCATTTAGCTCCCACTTATAAGTGAGAACATGTGGTATTTGATTTTCTTTTCCTGCGTTAGTTTGTTAAGGATAATGGCCTCCAGCTCCATCCATGTCCCTGCAAAAGACATGATCTCATTCTTTTTTATGGTTGCATAGTATTCCATGATGTTTATGTACCACATTTTGTTTATCCAGCCTGTTATTGATGAGCATTTAGGTTGATTCCATGTCTTTGCTGTTGTAAATAGTGCTTTAATGAACATATAGGTGCATGTGCCTTTACAATAGAATGATTTATAGTGCTTTGGGTATATACCCAGTAATGGGGTTGCTGGGTTGAATGATATTTCTATGTTTAGGTCTTTGAGAAATCACCACACTATCTTCCACAATGGTTGAACTAATTCACACTCCTACCAGCAATGTATAAATGTTCCTTTTTCTCCACAACCTTGCCAACATCTGTTATTTTTTGACTTTTTTTTTTTTTTTGAGACAGAGTTTCACTCTGTTGCCCAGGCTGTAGTACAGTGGCGCAATCTCAATCTTGGCTCACTGCAACCTCTGCCTCCCAGGTTCTAGCAATTCCCCTGCATCAGCCTCCCGAGTAGCTGGGATTACAGGCGTGTGCCACCACACCCAACTAATTTTTTTGTATTTTTAGTAGAGATGGGGTTTCCCCATGTTGGCCAGGCTGGTCTTGAACCCCTGACCTCAGGTGATCCACCCCCGCCTTGGCCTCCCCAAGTGCTAGGATTACAGGCATGAGCCACCATGCCCTGCCATTTTTTGACTTTTTAATAAAAGCCATTCTGACTGGTGTGAGATGGTATCTCATTGTGGTTTTGATTTGCATGTCTTTAATGATCAGTGATATTGAACTTTTATTCATATGATTGTTGACTACATGTATGTCTTCTTTTGAGAAGTGTCTGTTCATGTCCTTTGCCCACTTTTTAGTGGGGTTTTTTTCTTGTAAATTTGTTTGAGTTCCTTATAGATACTGGATATTACACCTTTGTTAGATGCACAGTTTGCCGAAATTTTCTCCCATCCTGTAGGTTGTCTGTTTACTCTGTTGGTGTTTCTTTTGCTGTGCAGAAGCTCTTTAATTAGATCCCATTTGTCAATTTTTGCTTTTGTTGCAATTGCTTTTGGCATCTTCATCATGAAATCTCTGCCTGTACCTATGTCCAGGATGGTATTGCCTAGGTTATCTTCCAGAGCTTTTATAGTTTTGGGTTTTACATTTAAGTCTTTAATCCATCTTGAGTTGATTTTTGTATATGGTGGAAGGAAGGGGTTCAGTTTCAATCTTCCATACATGGCTAGCCAGTTATCCCAGCACCACTTATTAAATAGAGAGTCTTTTACACGTTCCTTGTTTTTGTCAGGTTTGTCAAAGATTAAATGGTTGAAGGTGTGCGGTCTTATTTCTGGTCTCTCTATTGTGTACCATTGGTCTACGTATCTGTTTTTGTACCAGTACCATGCTGTTTTGGCTACCGTAGCCCTGTAATATAGTTTGAAGTTAGGTAGCATGATGCCTCCAGCTTTGTTCTTTTTGCTTATGATTATCTTGGCTATTCAGGCTCTTTTTTGGTTCCATATGAAATTTAAGATACTTTTTTCTAGTTCTATGAAGAATCTCAATGGTAGTTTAATAGGAATAGCATTGAATTTATAAATTGCTTTGGGCAGTATGGCCACTTCAATCATATTGATTCTTCCTATCCATGAGCATGAAATGTTTCTCCATTTGTTTGTGTCACTTCTGATTTCTTTAAGCAGTGTTTTGTATTTTTCCTTGTAGAGATTTTTAACCTCCCTGGTTAGCTGTATTCCTTGGTATTTTATTCTTTTTGTGACAGTTGTGAATGGGAGTACATTCCTGATTTAGCTCTTGGCTTGACTGTTGTTGGTGTGTTACTACTATTATTATCAGTTCTTTTGTTCATACTTCAAAATAATTGTATCCAATTCCCCGAAATGCAGTATTAGAACTCTGCTTGACAGTGTATTCCAGCTTTGGGTTAATTTTGAAAAAATTGACATTTTTTATATTAACGTGTTTCACCTGCCCCTGCTGAAACATGATCAGCTTCTCTAGCTTGTCCTGTCTCCGTACCTGTAGCTTTCAGGCATCCTCTGAACACTCTTGTTTTGGATGGCTGGTTGGGTCTCCTCTTTCTCTTGACTGCTGATTGTATTTCCCCATTATGTGGCTAAGACTTGAGTCTTGAATTCTTTTTCTGACAAACTTGCCATTTGAGAGCACTCAGATAGCATCCTGTCTATAGCTGACCCCATGGTGACAGTTCCAGCCATGACTTCATTTATTCAGCAGATATTTGTCGGGTATTATGGCCCTGTGCCATGCTAGACACTGAAGAGACAATGGTGAACAAGACAGATGTAATCTCTGTTCCCTGATAGAGCCACGGGCATGCTCGGGATAGAGAGCCAGAGGGCTGACCTGGTCTGGGCAGCCAGGGGGTGCTTCCTAGAGGAAAAAGCGTTTAAGTTGAACTCTGAAGGACCAATAGGAATTAGTCAGGCTGAGCAGCAGGATGTGAATGTTGGGGTAGAGGAGGTAGAGGGTGGAAAGAACACCCAGGCAGAAGAAACAGCTTATTCACAAATCCTACAGTTGCTCAGATAGTGAGTGGGGCCCACGGTGAGTCTGGTAAAGGAGGGGGTGTTGGTGGAGGGTCGGAAAGAGCCAGAGTTGACCAAACTCAGGGGAGGTAATGGTGACAGATGTCAGTGTCATCTGGTTAGATTTGCTCTGAGCTGGGCTCTGTTCTCAGCCCTTTGTGTTTGTCTCAGTTCACCCTCACAGCAATCCATTGAGTTAAGATGTAAGGAAATGGAGTGCTGATACATCACCAACTTGGCCAGGTTTGCACGTCCCCAGGATCATGAGTCAGGACTGAAACTCGGGCTCCAGAGCCCACTGTGGCAAACTAAGATGCTGTTAAAGAGCTTTTTTTCAGGAGACTGGCTGAGTTTTAATTCTTATGTTTTGTCTGCTGTGTGAAGGAGCAATTAGAGATTGAACCAGTAGTTGAGGGGAGGACGTCAAGATTGTGGTTTGGGTAAGATTTTTTGCAACCCTAGCAAAACATGGAGACTGATATCCAAAGGAATGCACAACTAGGAAAGTGGGGAGTAACACAGAAACCAAACAAGTAAGCAAGTATTCTGTGTGAAGAAGCCCTGGAAGAAGGACTTGGAGGTGGAAAGAATTCTTTGTCACTCTTTGTCTTCTTTGTCATTCTTTCCACTTAGGGTGAATTATTTCCACAGTGTGAATCTGTCTTCACTAATACAATATTTTCTGGAGTGCGATGCAATTGATAGAGCCACCTGTACATAGGAAACTTGGGAAGTGCATGCTTGTTACGTATGCCCCAGTTGAAATCCACGCTGTGGCGTTTCCAAGTGACTAGAGTAGACTTCTCCAAGAACCAACTTTTTAGTTGTTTTAGCCGTGTGTTATGAACAGCTTTCTAACATGAATTGTATGTTTCAATAGCCTGTTAAGCTGTAGTCATGCAACTACAAATATCCTCTCCTTGATATAAATATGAAGCATGGCACAATCAAATCACAACTAGGAGGCCACATGTACCCTTTTAACCCCAGCTTCCCCTTGGGGGAGATCAGGCATCTCTCAGAGCCTCATTTTCCTCAAAGTTATCCACAGCAGAGCCAGGGACAGAGGAGACACCAGCTCTGCGCATGTGTACCAGTCAGGAATAACTTCTCTTATGACAGTAGAATGCATCTACATGGTTTCTGCTGTTTAATGAGTTCCACTGACTCCAGGTGTTCTGTTTGCATGACTAAGTAAAGAAAAATAGTTGTAGGAAAAGGCCATGAAGTGTAGGAGAGACTGAGGGGATGATTAGTCTGTTTTTAGACATGATTTTAATATGAAAGTAGAAATTCCAGGGAAGACAGAGGAGAGAGCTTAGCCCACCTTTAGCTCTCAGGATCCTGTATCTCCCTCCTCCTGGTTGGCATTGTTCCCCGCAAAGCACTAGGACAGTTTCAAAAAGTGTTACTGAAAGGGAAATGTCTGTTTATGTGATTATATATTTTTTCATTGAGGATAATTTCCTATCTTACCCTTTTTTTAATACACTTTACTTTTAGTGCAGTTTTAGGTTCACAGCAAAATTGAGAGGAAGGTGTAAAGAGTCCCTGTTCACCCCCAACCCCACACATGCATAGACTCCTCCATTGTCTCAGCCTCCCCCACCAGAGTGGTCCAGTTGTTACAACTGATGAACCTACATTGAGACATCATTATTGCCCAGAGTCCATGATTTACATCTGGGTTCACTCTTGCTGTTGTACACTCCACGGGTTTAGACAAATGTATAATGACATGCATCTACCATTATGGTATCATACAGAGTAGTTTCACTGCCCTAAAATCCTCTGTGCTCCACCTGTTCATCCTTTCCTCCCTCTAGCCCCTGGTAACCACTGATCATTTTACTGTCCCTGTGATTTTGCCTCTTCCAACATGTCAGTCATAAAGTATGCAGCCTTTTCAGATTGGCTTCTTTCACTTAGCAACATGCACTTAAGTTTTCTCCGTGGCCTTATACCCCATTTCTTTTTAGTGCTGAATAATATTCTATTGTCTGTATGTACCACAGTTTATTTATCCATTCACCTACTGAAGGACATCTTGGTTGCTTCTGAGTTTTGGCAATTATGAATAAATCTGCTGTAAACATCTGCGTTCTTATCTTACTCTTTTAGAATGCAAAATCAGAAAATACTCCCAATTCCTGAATGTGGAAAACTCCATAGGGATGTAAAAAGAGATCACCCTTTAGAGAAGGAGAAAATGCACATGATTCACCAGCATTTGACTGAAACATCAAACAGTTATAACAAAACAGATTACGCCACAAATGCATTATCCCAGGAGTCTGGTGCTGCACATCCCCTGAGACCCAAGAGATCATTTCAACTATTAGGGAGAAGAGAGGACCTTGGATTTAGTCCTAAGGATATTTTGTACGTATATTTTGTAGTTTTTCCTTTGACACTTCAGCAACTTGACCAAGGTGCTACTAAACTCTTCTCCAGGGAGAAAGCATGCAGTACCTGAGTTTGAACTATCAATGGTCCTCCATCCCTCCATCATGTCCATCACTGACCTCCTGTAGACCATGTGGGGCTCACTCTGTATTGGCCGTGGGCTCAGTGCTCTGGGGGATGACAGCAATCCTGCCACCGCCCCCATGTTGGAGATGAGAACAAGAAGTCGTAGGAAGCCTGAGTATCCTGCCCAAGGTCACACAGTTGAGAAATAGTAGCATTGGGATTTAACCTAGGTCATCTCCACCCAACTGCATTCTTACTACACCTTGGCAGCAGCTGAATCTGACCTCTCATCATCTGGTGTGGTCACTTCAGTGTATACGCCAGGAAATAAAATTCTGCAGCAGACAACTGGAGACTGAACTGAGTTTGAATTGAGAGGCTGGCCAGAAGGTTGACATTTCAGAGCCAAACTCATAGAGGGAATTTGATGCCTTTGACAGGGATGGATGAACTCTCTCAAGCAAGGCCCATTCAGAACAAGGCAGTTAGAGAAGGGAGAGAGCCAGCATTAAAGGTAGTTATGGAGAAGGGGAAACAAAGTAAAATCTCATAATGGGAGGTAAGAGCTTTAAATGCAGAGGGTTGTCTCTCAGGCACCGTGGGCTGCTATCACAGAATACTGTAGCCTGGGTGGCTTAAACAACAGACATTTATTTCTCACAGTTCTGGAGGCTGGGAAGTCCAAGAATAGAGTGCCAACATGGTTGGTTCTGGTGGGGCTCTCTTCCTGGTTGCTGACAACCACCTTCTTGCTGTGTCCTCACATGGCAGAGAGAGAGGAAGCAGATGTCTCTTCTTAACAGGGCACGAATTCCATTCATGAGGCTGCACCCTCATGACCTAATCACCTGCCAAAGGCCTCACCTCCTAATAACATTACCCTGGGGGGCTAGGGTTTCAATATATGAATTTGGTGGGGACACAGACATTCAGTTCATAACAGGAATCATTAGTATCATAGGAGAGAGAAGGAAAAATAAAGCACACATGAGACCCAGTGGGAGGAATAAGAGTGGAGGACAAAGGGCAGAGGGCTGGGAAGCATGTAGAGAGAAGGAACTGATAGAGCAGATGTGGATAGGAAGGTTAAGAAATCTGACAACGAGCAGGAGGCTACAGCTGCAACCATCGTTTGGAGGAGCCTTGCCCTCCAAGGAGAGTGTGAGGTGTGCTTATGGAAAGGTGCATTGACCTCAGGGCATGCATGTGGGTGAGGTGGGATTAAGCACACAGAAAGCAGAGGGTTAAATCTAAAAGTGAAAATGAAAATAATACCCAATTTTAGCTATATTATTTCCCAGGTACCACATGGAATGCCCGTGAAGGTAAACTAGATATCAGATCTAAGTGCCAGTTTTAACTTTAAAAGGAAAACCAAAAAAGGGCCACACTCAGTAGCCATGTTCTTTACTACTTTAAATGCAAGCTTCCGTATTAATGTGACTGTGGCCATAACCCATTGCCTGCCATATGCTAGGCATTGAAGTCACCATGCTGTTATTTCTTCTTTGTCATGACAGTCAGTGTCAGAGTTATTATTACAGACCAGGACTAACAGCCCATGCTTTTTTTGCTCATCCACAGGGTATCATGGTTATAAACTTTAGTTATTTATTTCTTCAATAAACAGATACAGTAACCCCTTAACACCCCCATACGTGGAGAATACATTCCGAAACCCCAGTGGATACCTGAAACTGCAGCTAGTACCAAACCCTATATATACTAACTTTTTTTCTGCATACCTACCTATGATAAAGTTTAATTTATAAATTAGGTATAGTAAGAGATTAACAACAATAATTTAGAAATAATTATCACAACATACTATAATAAAATTTATGTGAATATGGTTTCTGTCGCCCTCTCAAAATATTTTATTGTACTGTACTCACCTATTTTCAGACCCTGGTTGACCATGGGTAAGAAAAACCACAGATAAGGCAGGACTACTGTATACACATCTGTTTTTAGCTGGTGCTCTCTAGGTATCTCTGCACTGGGCATCAGGCCAACTGCTGGATCTCCAGGGGAGAATGACAGACATAGTCCATCCCTACCTGGACGTCACAGTATAATAAAAGATAAGCTAGTAACACACACATGCACATAGTTGCAATGAATGTGAAGCATAGTAAAGGAAAAAAGTGGGTTCGTGAGAAAATAAAGGTGGGACTTCGTTGAGATAATTTAACCAAGGAAAGCATTTGAGCAGGTGACATAGCACCTGAGACCTAAAGGATATGTGTGAGTCCTTACAGGAAAGATTCTGGGCCAAGGAGGAACGATCCTGAGAGTGTTGAGGGAAGAAAGCTCACAAAGCAGGAGGATGAGGAATAAAGAAAGGTCATGCGTAGAGAGGTGGAGAGTTAGGCAGGGGCTGCCCAGGTCACAGAAAGGGTCTTCTGTTTAATTCTCTCTGTAATTCTCTGTAACTGTAGAATTAAGGTGAAGGAAAAGTATGAACCCATTGAAAAGATCATACAGATCACTAAACGGAAAATGGATTGAGGTGGGGACAGAGAGGAGGAATGAGGGGCCATCTCAGCTGCTCTGTGCTGGGGCAGATGGTGGAAGTGAAAATGGGGAGAATCCAGTAGCCTCAATGCTATTTTGAAGGTGGAAATCCTGCCATGAAATTACTGATGCATCGTGAAAGAAGGCAGTTTAAGAATGGCTCCCGGGATACTGGTTTGATCAACTGAGTAGATGGAAGAACTTTTACTAAACTCAGGAAAATTGGAGGAGAAGCCAATTCAAAGAAGACAGCCACATGTGCTTTTTGCCTCATTATGTTTGCAATAACTGTGAGGTATCCAAGTGGAGACTAAGTGGTCAGATGTACAAAACCAAGGTAAAGTTCAGAAGAGAGTTGGGGGCTTGAAATATAAACCTGGAAAGTGTTGGCGTTTGGGTGATATTTAAAGACGTGGCTACTGACAGCTTCATCTGTGGAGAAAGCATAAGTGAGCATAAAGGAGCTCAGAGTGGAGCCCTGGGGTGTCATTTACATGTCAGATAGCCACAGAAAGGCCAGCCAAGAAGAGTCAGAAGGGGCGGCTGAGAAGTACTCAGATGAAACAGGAGAGCCAGGTGTTATTGCAGCAACAGAGGAGAATGTTCAAGGAAGAAGTCATCAAAGACAACAAACACAAGGAGGCAAATACAACAGGGAATGAAACACCCACAGTATTGGTAACAGGGCCATCCCATGGATCTTAGCAAGAATAGTCTTGGAGGAAAGGCCAAAGCTGAGGCCAGCTGGCACCAGGTTGAAGAATGAATGAAGGATATTCATTGGAATTTCATTCTAGATCAAAAGACTCAGTGTGGTGAGATGACAGTTCCTCATGAATTGGTCTCAAAATACAGTCCAAATGCTCAACATTTCAACATGGATTTTTGTGGAATTTGACAAAATAATTCTAAAATACCTATTGAATACTAAAGGTCTGAGACAGCAGTGGGGAAAAAAAGGAGGGTGGATGGAGAGATCAATGTTTTAAATGAACAGTAACTACAATATGTGGTATTCCTGCCTGGGCTGGTACTGTGGGAGAAACTGGAAAGCCTAGAACAGGCCTTGGACTATGTAGGAACTTGTACAAAATAGAGGCAGCCTTATAAATCAGCACAAGCTCTGCTGTGGGAAGGTTGGGAAAGGTGGGGATATGAGGTGAGGTTGAGAGATGAGCCACTTGGAGTATGGGATACCAGGCTGAGAATGGATGCATGGCCAAGTTCTTGTGCTGGACATGATGGGGTGATGGATTTGAGACCTGGTAGGGGAGAGAGTCTCTTAGGGGAGAATGAGCGCTTGGACCTAGCACCTGCTCCCACATGGCCCATGGCCCTGGTCCACAGCCTCCTGTCTCCCTCTCAGTCAGCCTCACCTCTCTGATGAGGAGTCAAAATAGGGAGATGTAAGTGAAGATTTCAGACGTTTCCATGTATCGTAATAGGACATAGTGAAGCAGGCCGCATGTGTTTTTCTGTTACTATTTTTGCTGTTTTCCATCGCTAATTCAAGTGGATTTTCCTAGAAATTGACCCATGCAGGAACAATCTTCCCATTGAACACTGTTGACAAAAAGAACCGTGGCAATGCCATCGTCACTTCTAACATTGAGAAATCCTCTAGAATATGCTCTTGGCTGGTAGGTACAGTGGATCATTGCAGCCATTGGAGCCCACATGAAGTTACTGATGACTGAAGTGTCCTGTGAGAGCAATGTTCTCAAGGGCATATTTCTTAAGGAATATACGTCTTGGGAAAGGGGCTAGTTTAGGTTCTGATTCTTGCTTTGCAAAATGATTTGTTGAAGCCAGGTTGCTAATGGGGTACAATAACATTCTGTCCGTAGTGTTTACATTTTCTGTTTGATGTGATCAAGCTTAGATCTCCCTTTCCTTTTTTCCTTCCTTCCTTTCTTCTTAGCTACACTGTTCAAGGGATTTTTTTTTAATTATGAAATTTGCTCCAGTCTTACTACTTAAGTGGGAAAAATGCAAACACTATTTCACAAAGTGTGTGTGTGTGTGTGTGTGCGTGTGTGTGTGTGTGTAATTCGAGAGACAGAGACAATGCTTAAATTCAGTTTCAAGAGTCCAGAGTCATGTAGGAACTATCCAGGAATTAAGCGATGTGTACTAGAGAGGTATTAGTCAGGGCTAGAGATTTAAATTTGGAAGACACTGGTGCTTAAATATTTAAGGCCCGATAGGGAATAAGATTACAAGGGAGGAAAGTGTAGACAGAGAAGAAAAAGGAGCTCAACACGGAGTCTTGGGCGCTTGAATATTCATAGGTTAAGAAAAGCAGAACCAAAAAAAAAAAAAAACTCTGTCTGGCTCAGGGTTGAGGACTGCATTAGAATTATAAATCTGAGAGTCATCAATATAGAGATATTTGAGTCCATGGGAATGAATGAAGGTACTTTCAATTAGTTTAAGTTAGATACAGTAACACATAGCCCCCAGATCTCGGCAGCTCAAACCACAAAGGTTTATTTTCTGCTCCTGGTGCACAGGGAAGTCAGGGCTTGCTACATGCCATTCTCCTCCAGGCTGATGGAGCGCTGCCATCAGGAGGTCACCAGGCTTAGGGGCAGGAGGAAGAGAAGGACTGGAGAGGTAAGCACTGGCAATTAAATGCATCCACTTAAAATGACATCTGCCACTTATATTTCATTGGTCAAAGCAAGTTACAGAGCCACGTGTAGCTTTGGGGAGGCCAGGAGCTGCAATTCTTCTGAGAGCCCAGAAGCAGAAGAAAAGTGGATATTAGTGAACAGTTTTAATGCCAACCACAGTCTATCCTTCTGGTCACTGAATATTTGATTCAGTCTTTTTGCTACACAAATATCAAAGGTAGTGGGAGACATCCTAAAGTCTCATCAGCCTCAAAGTCACGGGCTTCTGCGTGATGCCCAGTGGTCTCTTTGAAAGATGCAGATATAGCTTCTTTGAGTCTGGAGACCCATGGGCTAAATAAAAGAACAAGTTAGCTGATACCACGCAACCATACAGTCACACCCACACAACAACATGCAGTAGTAGAACAGGAATGGAATAACTGGGAGACAGGCGACTGTCAATGGCCATAGAAACCCTGAAATTCCACTGGGCAGAGGCTGTGAGGTCCCATCACCCTTGGTCGTTCAGTTTCCCAGCAGGGCAGGGACTTCATCTCCTACTCTCCTGGCCTTAGCTCCTCTTTGGAGAATAGGGCACTAAAGAGACCATGGCATCCTTGCAAGCTCGCAGCTTTCTCAGCCTGCTTCCTACCTGTAGTCATGTGGGGGGCTCTGGGCTCATTTTGTGTCTGGAGCAGTCCCAGGTCTCTGCTACATGAGGCTCCCGATCCCTCTGCCCCGCAATCACTCACAGCCCAGAGGCTTGGAATCTGGTGGGTCCCTATCAGCTGCAGGTGCCAGTTGCCATCCACATTCCTCTTGGAGATTTCAGATAAGTGGCATTTCTTTGCTTTCGTGCCCCCCACCCCTGCCCCTCTCTTGACTTAATTGTAGCTGGCTTCAACAGGAGGACCTACCCTTAAGCTCTTTTCCCTAAAACATCGTGTCTAGTTTTTCCACTGTGTGTGAGTCAGCCTTCAAACAACCATAATCCAGGGAACATTCCTTCAGGTAAAGGCTGGATGGTCCTTTCACATTGGTTTCAGGACCCCAGCACTCCTGCCCTTGTATTCTGACTGTGAAAGATGCGATCTCAGGTGTGTGAGAGCAACTGCATGGCTCAGCTTCTATGTATGCCCCCATTCTGTGAGTAGCAGAAACAATCCCAGTTCCTTGAAGCCCCACTCCAGCTTCTATCACCCATTCCTATCTCCTTAGGATTGCATCAGAGGCATATTGTGTATGATAAATGTGGTATTTCAAATCATTGATGAAGCACAGATCATGTAACTGTGTAGTAACACTTGGTCATCCATGTGAAAGCAATTCACTAGGGAAACCCTTTACCATTTGCAAATGTTACTTCCAGATGCATTAAAGTGTGAACATTTAGGAGAAAAATAACCCCAAGAACTATTACAAGGAGATATCAGAGAATAGTATTTATTTTACGGGAAGAATTTTCTAAGCAAACCCAAAACCCCACAAGCCATAGAAGAGAAACAGCACAGATTTTATTTCATTAAATTTTCAACTTCTGTAGGGAAAATCGTTTTTGTAAATGAAAAGACAAGCCACCAATGATAATGTAATGCCCGTAATACACAGAGTGCCTCAGATCAATAAGAAAAATGAGCAAGTAAAATTAACCAGGAAATATATACATAGGCAGTTCACCAAAGAAGAAATATAAATAGCCAATAAACATGTGAAAAGTTAACCAGCTCCGTGAGTAATCAGAGGAGAGCCAATTAACAACAACAACAAAACTCTGAGGTACCACGTTTTACTTACTATGTTGGCAAACAAAATAAGAAAGATGTCCAGTCTTGGCGAGGGTGTGGGGAGACGGCACTCACCTGGCTAGTGACTGGTGATGCGTTACTTGGTATATGGTCCTTGAAGGACAATATGGCGGTCTCTGTCTAAATTTTGCAATTCCATTTTGACCCAGCAACTCCACTTGCAGGATTTTTTTTCTACAGCAACTTCTGCCTCTGCAGGCTGAGAGAGTCAGACAAGTGTCCCAATTTTACTTTTGTTTTGTAATAGGAAGACAAAGCCCATGAAACAAAAATGGTTAAAGGAATCACAGTACATGTACACAAGGGAAAGCAATGCAGCAAGTCGGGGGAAATGAACTAGCTCTCTCTGGTGACACAGAGAAATATCTATGGCATAGGAAAAACAAATCACCCAAGAACATATCATATGATCTTAATTATATCATTGAAAAAGTTGAGGGCTTGAGTGTCAAGGGAAAGTCCAGAAGGATGTATGACTTGCGTTTCTTTCTCTCGGCAAGGCTGGCCTCCGAGATGAAGTGGCCAAATTTCATGGGCAAACGGGGGGCGGGGGGGGGGGGGTGGCGTGCGGTGCGGGGGGCAGTTGGGAGTGGTACATATACTTTCAGAAGGCGGCAGGGCAATTGTGCCCCATGTAGCACTGGCACCACAAACAAGGGCAGATTGTGTGGTGAGGTGGGGCAGCACCTCCAGAGCTGCGCCATCAGCTGAGTAGTTGGCTGGCAGGCCTCCGGGCCTCCTCCAGCAGTTTCAATCCCTTGCCACGCAGCCATCCCGAGTTCTCAGGCTCTGCAGGAGCTCCCCTCCTTTCTGGCTGGGCTCCAGGTCCTTGCCTCCTTCACCTCCTTGCCCTCCTGCATCCTATCTTCCACTCTCCTGACTTCTGCCCCATGGTCCTCATGGTGGAATCACTGTCCTAGCTAGTAGGAAGGACTGCTGGTCATCTTTCCAGCAACGCTGAGGCACTCCAGCCAGCAACATCTTCCCTGCTCTCTTCCCATCTACACTGCTGTCAGGGGGCTAAGAGGATTTGGGTCACAGCTGCCCAGGCAATCAGACAGGCCAGGGACTCAGAACTTTCCTTTTTGACAGCCAGTTGGAAATCCCATGGCCTCTGTGTGTATTGCTGTCTCTGGGATGTAATCTTATATTGTCTAGGCCTCTGTTTTGCCAACTGTAAGACCACGAAGTGGACAAGGACCACTGTGCTAGGGACCTTTCAACCCAAACATCCTGCAGCCCAGCCTGGCTCATTAGCAGTTCCTCCTGGGCCCTGGGTGGTGGCAACTCTGCTGGCTCTGGTCACTCCCTGGGCCGCAGTGGTCCTGCCTGCATTCCATCCCTCTTCAAACCAGCATCCCCAGACCTCTTTCTGTGATGAACCTCGTCTCCCTGACAGGGCCACCATTCCATGCAAACTGTCACTCCATGCCACGTGGCTGTGCATTGAAACTGGCAGTGCATTCAGGAGTGTGTTTGCAAACCTGCGATTTCCAGCCAGTGAGAGTGTTTGGAGTCGGTGGGCACCCATGTCTGTTCTGTGAGAAGCTGCCCATTTTCTGAGAGATCCATGAATATCTACCAAGAAGCCTTGTGTAATGGCCATAGAATATATACCTGTGTAGACCTGGACAGCTTGGTTTTCTCTAGATGGGAGCTGTGGCAGGCTTGGAAACTTCAGGGCCATTCCTGCGTGGCTGAGGTGAGGAGGGACTGACTGTGTCCATACCAATCAGAGCTCATCCTACACCCTCTCCCAGTCCCTGCCAGAGATTCCCTTGACCTCAGAGGGATCGGGGGCCCTTCACTCCCTATGGTATGTCATGGCTCAATAACCAGAACCTGCAAGGGCTGATGAGACTGTGCCACAGACTGTGTGCCACTGTGCCTTCATGGCACAGTCCTGGCAGATCCTCCCTTAGTCTAAGTTCACACAAGCAGACCCCGCCTCTTCTCCTTCAGTTATTTATCCATTCCCTCAGGCAGGCAGGCAGCAGAGTTTTATTGAGCACCGACTTCGAGCCAGATGCTGCACTGGGCATCGGGAATTCAGTAAAAAGATGCAGTCCCTGGCCTAGGAGCCTGGGTCCGATGCGGAGGCTGCTGTGCAGCGCATTTGCCTTCAGTCCCGTGACACAGCCAGGCTGTGAGGAGCAGGCATCCCTGGTCTTCTCTGTGGGATACACTTTCATGGTTTTTCAATGGTCTTCATTTATTTAAGGTAAAATTTTAATTTTATGGGCAGAAAAAGGAAACCAACTGTTGATCACGTTGATTTAGAAATGATTACATTGTTTTCTATTAGACAGAGTTCTTAATGTCTTTCTCAAAAGATGGAGGAGGAAATGAGTGATAGGGCTTTGTCTTTTTTACTTGATTTTCAACTCATTCTTTAAAAATGCTTGAAAAGGCTAACTGTGGCTGAAGACCACTGTAAGGGAGGAGAAAGCAAAACCTGCATTGACGAAGGAAAGGCAGCATCTCTGGCGGAAATTAATCACCTAAGCCACCTACTATGACTGCACAGGAGACAAGTGGTGGCCCAAAGGCTCTGTGTGTTTACAGTGTGGACATTTGAAGCAGCATCAGCATGGCCTTCACACAAACCTCATGATACTGTTCTAATGCCTTCTCCCCAGTTGTAAACCATCTGCTGCCTTGTACTGAAATATTGCACCCTGCTGACCTCAAAAGCAACAAGCATTCATGTACACACACACTGCGTATCCAGACATATAGATACATAGATGTGTGCATGCAGCATACACACTGATTACATAGAGGTACAGTCATGTGTTGCTTGACCACAGGGATACAATCCGAGAAATACGTTTAGGTGATTTTGTCATTGTGTGAACATCGTAGAGTGTGCTTGTACAAACCTAGATGGCATAGCCTACTACATGCCTAGGCTATGTGGTATAGCCTGTTGCTCCCAAGCTACAAACCTGTACAGAATGTTGCTGTACTGAATACTACAGGCAACTATAACACAATGGTAAGTATGTGTGTTTCTAAACTTAGAAAAGGTATAGTAAAAATACAGCGTAAAAGATAAAAATGGTATACCTGTCTAGGGCACTTACCATGGATGGAGCTTGCAGGACTGGGAGCTGCTCTGGGTGAGTCAGTGAGTGAGCGGTGAATGTGAAGGCCAGGGTGGTGAATGTGAAGGCCAGGACATTACACTGCTGTAGACTTTAGAAACACTGTGCCCTTAGGCTGCACTAAATTTATTTTTAAAAATTAAGTTACTGTCCAGGTGCGGTGGCTCACGCCTGTAATCCCAGCATTTTGGGAGGCTGAGGCGGGCAGATCAGGAGGTCAGGAGATTGAGAGCATCCTGGCTAACACAGTGAAACCCCATCTCTACTAAAAATACAAAAAATTAGCCGGGCGAGGTGGCGGGCGCCTGTAGTCCCAGCTACTCGGGAGGCTGAGGCAGGAGAATGGTGTGAACCCCGGGGGGCAGAGCCTACAGTGAGCTGAGAGCGCGCCACCGCACTCCAGCCTGGGCGACAGCGAGACTCCGTCTCAAAAAAAAAAAAAAAAAATGAAGTTACTGTGCCATGATGTTATCAACAGCTATGATGTCACTAGGTCATGAGAATTTTTCATTATAATCTGATAGGACCACCATTGTATATGCAGACCATTGACTGGAACATCATGATCTATCTGCACATGACTGTAAATAACAACTATTGGATGTGGCACAGATGGAAGCTACATAAACACTCTATACAATATGGCCAATTCACCGGGCTCCCTGTTAGTCTTGTGAGCAATTTTAAACTTTTCCACGATTCTTTCTCTGCTTTGGAGTGTTTCAATTAATTCTCCATTATATTACAATTTACATTTTTATTAAGCCTTTACAGAGAGCAGCTGAATTTCTTAATTATTCTGTCAATAGAAATTATATTAGCGTTTAAGCTTAAAAGGGAAAAAATATAGTATATATGTGTCATATATATTGAAGCACCAGGAAACTTGAGGAAGGGGACATGGGCTATCCCCAGACGGGGAGGATGGTCGAGGCCTGAGGCTGGAGTGTGTATGGTCAGAGGGGTGAGGGGACACTTTCAGGGAGTAGCCAGAGGGAGTGTGCTGGTGGGGAGAAAGGGAGAGGAAGTAGTTTATATCAGAGAGGAACAGGGTATCACATCATTCAGAGCATTGTAAGATGTGGTAGGACTTGGCTTTTCTTCTGAGTAAGATGTGATGTCATTGGAGAGGCCTGGGCAGAGGGACTTAATCCAGTTCAGTTTAACAAGATCACCGTGGCTGGTGTTTGAAAACCAGAAGTCAGCGTGGCAGGGCAGGGACGCTGGCAAGGAGAGAGCTGCAGTATTGCAAGGGAGGAATGACGGTGCTTGAGGATAGTAGCAGAGGAACAGTGCCAAGAGGAGGGCTGTCTCTTCAAATTATATTTAGAACCCAACAGGACTTGCTGATCGGCCAGATGCAGGTGTCAAAAATGTTAAAGTTGACTCCTGCATCTTTGGTCTGAACAAATGGAAGCTTGAGGTTGCCCTGATCAGAGATGTGGAAGATTACAGGAGAGTTTGATTTGCAAGGAAATACCAGCCTCTCTGCAGCTGAGTTTTGGCATGTTTACTTTCAGATGTGCATTACATGTCCAAGTTCTTGAGAAAATAAGGGAGTATGTTGGAGCCAACAATGAAGGAGGGATTTCAAACATAATGCATGGGCGAGCAATGGTGGTGCACGCCTGTGATCCCAGCACTTTGGGAGACTGAAGATCGCTTGAGTGCAGGAGTTCAAGGCTGCAGTGAATTATGATTGCACTACCGCACTCCAGCCTGGGCAACAGAATAAGACTCTGTCTCTAAAATAAAAATAAAACATAATGCCAGAACTTTCATGAATGTGAACCAATAATGCATTTCTCAGTAATGTAAAACAATGGGAAAAAATGACCAAAGACATAGATCCCAACAACAAAGTGATGAGACTCTATCTAATAGAAGCCTGTAGAATAGCAGGTTATATAAAGTCAGAGGGTTTACACAGTTTTTTTTTTTTTCCTAATCACTTATTCAGCATACATGTATTGAGTTCCTCATGTGGACCAGGGAGGTGCCTTAGAAGGATAATAAA
Organism: Homo sapiens; assembly: GCF_000001405.40. NCBI lineage: Eukaryota > Metazoa > Chordata > Mammalia > Primates > Hominidae > Homo > Homo sapiens. Next base: position 31,718,831 of record NC_000015.10, on the reverse strand, counting down.
GAAATGTGAATCACAAACCAACTGCTTATAAGCCTAAACAAACAAGCACAGTGCACAGTCCATGATAACAATGGAGTCATGTGGTAGCAGCAAGATTTGGGACGGGAACATTAGAAGTTGGGGAAAGCTTCTAAGTGGGCTGTTTAACAAGTGCTGGGAATTATCCAGCCAATAAGTGGGTGGTGCCATTAGAAGAGCTGCAGAGAAGCATGATGTGTTTGCAGAACTAGCACTTCAGGAAAAAACAAGTGGCCAAAGAGTGATGGGGCTTGTGTGATGAGCACTGGGACAATTTGAGCCTCAAACTACTAATTATAGTAACAGGTGATTATTTATTAAATAGGTGATGATTCTTAAGAAAAATGCATATGTTTGTATTAAAAGAAAGAAATGGATGAATAGAGAAATAAATGGGGGAGAAGGGAAAGTGCTTTCTTATAGTGGAGTGTCAGCTAATAAATGTAGGAGAAAGGAAGGAAATAGTCACCATTTGATGACCACCAAGTGCTAATTGTTGCAAACAGAAATTTCATTCCATGCTAAAACCAATGGCGGAGAAATTTAATGAGAAACAATATTTACAAAGAGTATATCTCTGCAAGATACAAACACAAAAATAGTAACTATTTAGGGGTGGGACCTGATGCACATCACCTTAGCCAAGAGGTCAACATAAGCATCATCAACATGGACCAAGTAGACATGATTTGTCCCTGAGGTGGTTCACAGGGGACAGAGCATCACTTCCACAGTGTTCCTGCCAGCAATACACAACAGAGTCTAATCATGAGGCCTCACAGGGCAGACCCAGACTGGGGACATTCTACCCTAAGTAGGGTATCAGGGTTGCAGAATGATAGACTGAACTCTGCCCAAGGATACCATCTCTCACCAGTTAGAATGGTGATCATTAAAAAGTCAGGAAACAACAGACGCTGGAGAGGATTTGGAGAAATAGGAACGCTTTTACACTGTTGGTGGGAATGTAAATTAGTTCAACCATTGTGGAAGACAGTGTGGCAATTCCTCAAGGATCTAGAACTAGAAATACCATTTGACCCAGCAATCCCATTACTGGGTATATACCCAAAGGTATATAAATCATTCTACTATAAAGACACATGCACATGTATGTTTATTGCAGCACTGTTCACAATAGCAAAGACTTGGGACCAACCCAAATGCCTATCAGTGATAGATTGGATAAAGAAAATGTGGCACATATACACCATGGAATACTATGCAGCCATGAAAAAGGATGAGTTCATGTCCTTTGTAGGGACATGGATGAAGCTGGAAACCATCATTTTCAGCAAACTAACACAGGAACAGAAAACCAAATATCGCATGTTCTCACTCATAAGTGGGAGTTGAACAATGAGAACACATGGACGCAGGGAGGGGAACATCACACACTGGGGCCTGTTGGGAACTGGGGGGCGAGGGGAGGGATAACATTAGGAGAAATACCTAATGTAGGTGACGGGTTGATGAGTGCAGCAAACCACCATGGCACATGTATACCTGTGTAACAAACCTGCACCTTCTGCACATGTATCCCAGAACTTAGAGTATAATAAAAATTTTTTAAAAGAAAAAAAGTGATAGACTGAGAAACTGTTTCAGATTTTCAAAAACTAGATTAGAAACATGAAAACGAAATGCAATGTGGGATCCTGGACAGAAAACAACCATTTTGTTACAAAGGACATTGTTGGGACAATGGATGAAACCTGAATAGTATCTGTAGAACAGACTTGTATGTGGAGAGAATGATAAATGTAAAACTTTAACCTTTGAGGGGATCTAGTTGTGAGGTTATGTAGGAATTCTGTATACTATTTTTGCAAGTTTTCTATATATCTGAAATTATTTCAAAATAAAATTTTAAATAAAGTAGGCAGAGTTAAAGAAGGCCTTTTATGCCACATTATCGAGCAGGATGTGTGACGGCCCCACAGGCCACAGGCTTTGTGGCTCATCCCCACGGTGAAGGCCTCTGGGCAGCTTCAGCCAGGGACTTCCCCATGCAGCCTCCTCCCTTTGTCCGTATGCACAGATTCTGCATAGTGTAGTCCAGGTACCTAGCCCTGGGAAGTCTTCATCTTTTGATAACTTTTAATCCGCAAAGTATCTCACTAAAATTGATAGGCCAGGTTCCATGCAGCATTCCCCACTGTTGGATTCTCATCAGTTTGCCTCCAGCGTGCCTTTGAGATGCGGTAACAAAGGTATCAGAACATGTGTTGTCTCTCCCCACTGCACATTCTCACGGGAGCCATCGCTGGTCCATGTGTGCCCATGGTCTGAAGGCTCATGCTCCCCGCTGTCCTGTTGCTCTCTGTGGAGGCTGTGCCCACTCACACGTCATTTGCTCCTCCATCTTTGAATGCTAATGTATCTCAACAAGATGATCTCCTTTTAGAACACAGAGCAAAGGTGTTAATACAAATTCCATTATTGAAATAACATATGTAATAATATATAATATGTAATTAATCCATATGTAATATATTAATCAATATTACATATAATACATAATATGTAGTATGTATTATATAATGTATATAAATATATAAAAATATATTTGTGTATTTTATATATAATACATGTGTATTATGTTATATGTATTTTATATACTATTATATATAAAATATGTTTAAATAATATAATTGTAAATTATTTTATATATATAAAAAACACATATTTCTCATGCTATTATCTGTTTCTTTGGGTTTCTGCCAAAAAATCGTTTTTATATTTATATTATAAATTATAAACATTTTAATATGTATATATTCGTTTTTATAGTTTTTATAACTATCTAACTTCCTTACAAACCAGCATGAGCCACAGCTCTCTCTATTTGCGTCTCACTGCACCACTGCACTGTGGGCAGCACCCGTTCTTATTGTACCCTCAGAACAGCGCACAGCCTAGCACCTGTAGGAAGGACTCGATAGAATTTTCTTGAATGGAAATAGCAGTGTACCCTTCAAGAAAGGGTCACTTTGGAGTTAGGAAAAGGATGAAATGCTCAGAGATAAAGCAGAGGAATGTGTTGAATGGCCAGTTGACTTTATAATTTTCATTTATTTCTTCAACTTGTTTTCACTGAGTGGCTGCAGCATCCCCTGAACTGTGTACTAAGGTCCCAAGGGTAGAAAAGACAAAACAAGCAAGTTCCCAGAACTTAAATTCTCCAGGGAACAGAATGGCATATATGACTGGCTGGATGGATCAATGAATGGACAGATGATGTATGTAGTGTTATTACAGACAATGGTAGTGCTACAAAAGAAGTGATTGGTACTGCAGTGAAATAATGGGGAATGTAGTTCAGCAAGGAAGTCAGAGAAGGCTTCTTAGCAGTGGTGAAATTGAAGCAGACACTTGAACTAAAAGGAGGGGGAAGGGAAGCACTGTGGAAGCTCTTCCAGGTGAAGTCAGTCCCAGGGCACAGAGGCCAAGGAAGCAGCAGGCTGTGTGTGGGGCACACAGAAGGCTCAGCCTGCAGTGCTGGTTCTGGACAGCCAGGCGCCATCTGAAGCTGCAGAGGTGGAACAGCGAAGTGAGGCAGGACAGTCGAAGGCTTGGAAAGAAGTTTGGTCTCACTCCAGTGCAGTGGGAAGCTATTGTTGGGTTTCAAGCAAGGTAGGATGTGACATAATTTACATCTTTTGTTTTGTTTTGTTTTTTTGAGACAGAGTCTCACTGTTGCCCAGTCTGGAGTGCAGTGGTGCGCTCAGCTCACTTCAACCTCAGCCTCCCAGGTTCAAGCAATTCTCCTACCTCAGCACCCTAGGTAGCAGGGACTACAGGTGCCCACCACCACACCCGGCTAATTTTTGTATTTTTAGTAGAGACGGGGTTTCACCATGTTGGCCAGCCTGGTCTGAAACTCCTGAACTCAGGTGATCCGCCTGCCTCGGCCTCCCAAAGTGCTGGGATTATAGGCGTGAGCCACCACGCCTGGCCAATTTACATCTTTTAAAGATTCTTGTGGCTGTGTTGAGAAGAAATTGGAGAAAGGGGCAGACTGTGGTTTGCTCATGTTAGTAAAAATACTTAAACTAAATGAACTGATCAATAGCACACCAGCAAATGTCCAGCTGAATGCCAGTAATGCTGTTTTTCAAAAATGTGTGCTGACAGAATTTGGAAAAGTCCTTCACAAGCTTATTTATTAGCTTTGCATAAGGGCTGTTTTATGGCCCGTAGATTTTTGCGGCTCATTGTTTTTATTGAAGAATAATGTACATACAGAAAAATGCACATCAAATGTACAACTTCATGAATTATAAAAAAATGTAAATATGCCTTTTTATTAAATAATCACTGCCCAGCTCAAAAACTAGAACATGAGATGCAGGCATCTGCCCCCTTGAGCCTTCTCCCTATTCTTTCTCCTTTATTCAGTCTTTCCATTCTCCTGACCTCTCACCTGCAGTTTTGCCTATTTTTAAACTCAGTGTGATGAATGGAATGAAATAATGTTTGCTGTGTGTACCACCAGTTCATTCATTCATACTACGCTATTCATGTACTATTTGTCCGTGTGTGAGTATACTGTAGTTTATCCATATATTCCAATTGTCCAGTGGATCCATTGGTTATCATTTGGGCTGCTTCTAGTTCTTAGTCCTATGGCGATACTTCCTGTATTTTTTGGTGCACAGGTGTACACATTTTGGTTGTGTAGGTACCGAGTGCTGAAAGTACTGGCTTACAGGGGATGTGTAGGATGAGCTGTGGTAGATTCTGCCAAGCGGTTTTTCCAAGTTGCCTTACTAATTACACTCACACCAGCTCCGTGGGAGGGCCCTGGTTGCGTCACATCTTTGCCAACACTCGGTATTTTCAATTTTTGTAATTTTAGACATTCTGGTGGGTATCTAATTTTCATTTTCATTTAATTTCACTGATGACTAATAAGGTTGAGCAACTTTTCATTGATTTTTGGCCATTCAGATGTCATCTTGTGAAGTGTATGTACAAGTATATTTCCATTTTGCTATTGAATTGACTGTTTATTTCTTATTAACTTCTGAAGTGTTTATTCAGGGTACCAGTCCTTTACTGAGTCTATGGATTGCAATGATGTTTTCTCTCTGTGTAGGTTGCTTTTCACCTTCTCTAGGTTGTTTGCTAGTGCAGAGAAGTTCTTAATGTATCTACTTTATCTGTTAGGGTTTTTTATTGTTGTCGTTATTGAGACAGAGTCTCTCCCTGTTGTCCTGGCTGGAGTGTAGTGGCACGATCTCAGCTCATTGCAACCTCTGCCTCCTGGGTTTAAGCGATTCTTCTGCCTCAGCCTCCCGAGTAGCTGGGACTACAGGCGCCCACCACCACACTCGGCTAATTTTTGTATTTTTAGATGAGACAAGGTTTCACCATGTTGCCCAAGCTTGTCTCAAACTCCCCACCTTAAGTGATCTGCTCGCCCCAGCCTCCCAAAGTGCTGGGATCACAGGTGTGAGCCACCGTGCCCAGCGTACTTTACCATTTCAATAGTAGTTTTGGCATCTTGTTTCAGAACTCTCTGCCCATCCCAAGTTCATGCAGATGCTCCTCCATGTTGCTTTCTAGAGGATTTATTGTTTTACCCTCTACATTCAGAAACGCCATCAACTTGGAGTTGATTTTCATGTATACTGTGAAGTAAGAAGACAGATTTTCTCATATGGCTTTCCCATGGACTCAGCACATTTACTGTGGACATAAATACTCTCTCAAATACTCCACAATGTCATTTTTGTCAAATATGACCTCTATAAAGCCACATGCAACAGAATGTCAGTATTGAAGTTTGACAGCAATATGGAAGTGTAACAGATGACACATCTAAAATGAGATGCCAGGCCAGAAGCCCCAGTTAGGAAGGAATGAGCTAGGATCATTTCCCTCATTTTTGAACACCTTGAACTGATCAAGAATATAAAGAAGGAATCAGATGTAGGGAGGAGAAAGGATTCTGTGAAGAGAAATTTTTGAAAAAGCTGTTAGAATGCCACTGTCAACTCAATGTCCTTCTGTTTCTGGGGCTTGGGGAAGGTGACCTACCCCTCACCTGGAGCCTTTAGGCTGAGGATCAAGAGAGTGTTGAAGATAAAGGTGCCAATGCTTGGATCTGGGCATCTCATGAGTGAGGAAAGGGACCAGGATGCATTCCTTACGGTTGTCAGAGTGCGTGAGGACCATTATGGCCCCCGGATGGGCCGTGCCTGTGGGAGCTGGCAGGGGTGGTGTTGGGCCCTGTCACTGGGGCAGCGTGGAAGGAGAGAGGGACCCGAGTAGCAAGAAGCTAGAGGAGGACTTCAGATGCCTAGTACGCTGACACTGCAGAAAGTGACTGTTAAGAGGAGGCGTGCAGCTGCCTGCGGTAGGAATGCTGCACGTGAGTGACCCCACCGTGGAAATCTCCAAAGAGGCTCCCAGGAGAGCAGCTGAGCCTCCTCCGGTGGCCGGACCCCAAGCCCGAGACAGGACATGAAGCAGTCCCTTCAGTCCAAAATGCTCCTTCCCCCACCTCCACACCACTACCCCAGAGCAGTTAGCAGAAGACAGATGCCAGGCACAGCACCTTCCCCAGGAAGGACCCTTTGGAATTCTCTCAACTAAATGCATTTTAAAGGGGCCAGAAAGAGATTTAAAACAATAAGTAAATAAGTTGCATTTTGATTACATCCCCAAAGTCCTGCTCTTTCAGTTTTCCTTTGAGCAGTTAACTACTGACCCTCTGCACCGCCCTAAGCAGAGGTAGCTGATCACTCAGGAGGGTCACTCTTGTGTGAGGGGAAGCCTCCCACTAGCCCAGAAGTGCTCTGGGCCATAGTTGAGCTTTCATATTGCTGCACCATGTAGACGCTCAAGTGAGACAGAAACACAAAAACACAATAACCGCCATCTGCCAAGGAAGCAGGAAAAATCACCTTTCAGGCCATTGTCCTGGTAAGTGGCCATGGCCTTCCAGCCACTCAGCATTTATACACAGGGAAAGCCACTTTAAGTAATGCAGTTGATGTATCTTAATCTGAGATGACACAAACATCAAAGGCATTTCTTCTCCTTTATTTCCAATAATCTCAAATATGCATTCTTTTCATATGTTCTTTGAACCTCAGTATAAAACATGGAATCAACTCTCTAACTTAAAAGCAGTGCAGTTTTGCAAAGTATCTTGCTCTAAGAGATGTTAGGGAGGTGATGCCTTTGTCATTCCTGGTTTGTATTTTTCCATTTTCCAAAAACTCTGTAGGTATTACAGATATCATTGCATAATTTAGAATTTAATCCTCCTGGAGAGTCAGGTGTCTTCAAGGTGATTTATAGCAAGTGAAGCTTGCAGAATTCTGGAGAGTGGTGATATAAAGTAAGGTAAGGCAAGAGAGAGGGAGAAACAAAGGAAGGAAAACATGTTTTATGTGGGCTTCCAGTTATGGAAGTGTAAACTGCATCCTGGGAGACAGAACAGAACCGGGAAAAGAATATGACAAATACAGATTCATTGATCACCATGAGTGTGCCCTGATTTTGTAATAGAAATAAGGAATAAAAATGTTATCAGTCACAGCCTTTAAGTGATAGGATTCTAGATCATTGTTATTTTCATCTTTGTTTCTTATGTGTTTTCTGAACTTTCCCTAATAGACATCTGTCAGTTTTGTAACCAGAAAAACATACATATTAAATGAGCACAAAGGTGTTGAACACTTCAACTCTATTTGCTATTCACCATAGAAAGGGTTTTGTTTTTTTTTTCCTAGTCAGGCCACAATCAATTCAGCTGAATGAACATGAACCGAAATACACACCTGCACATGCTCCTCAGGTGAGTGTTCTGAAGGACAGGCACCCACCACTGGGCCACCGGGACTTGAATTTCACCCAGCCGCACGGCCATGGGAATACCTGGGAGGACAAGGTAGCTGGGCAATTAGAAAGAAAGACTCCCCTACCCCAAGTTTGTGGCCTGGGGGCCCCAGATGCTTGGCTATTGCAGGAGGTAAAGCTGTAGAAATTGACTGGGACTGCTTCTATGGACAGCAAAGGGAGAAACAGCAATACAATAATAGTGGATTTCAGTATTCCACTTTCAATAATGGATAGCTCTTCCAGACAGAAAATCAAAAAGGAAGCGTGGGTGTGAACAGCAGTGTAGGCCAAGTGGACCTAACAGACATTCACAGATCATTCCACCCGGCAGCAGAAGAACACACATTCTTCTTATTTCTTACTGCCCAGCTGTTGGCCTTGTCCTCCCAGGTCTCCCTCTGGTGCCCCCTGCCCTGAGGTCTTGCTGTCCTGCTCTGCACCTCTATGCAGGGCTGGAGGCCATTCTGGATGTCTGAGAACTTTTCTGGCAGGTATTCCCATGGCCGTGCGGCTGGGTGAAATTCATGTCCTGGTGGCCCAGTGGTGGGTGCCTGTCCTTCAGAACACTCACCCCAGGAGCACGTGCAGGTGTGCGTTTCAGTTCATGTTCATTCAACTGAATTGATTGTGGCCTGACTAGAAAAAGCCCTTTCTGTGATAAATAGCAAATGGAGTTGAAGGCTTCAGTGCCTTTGTGTTTGTTTAATATCTACGTTTTTCTGATTACAAAAAAGACAGATGTCTATTAGGGAAAGTGCAGAAAACACATAAGAAACAAAGACAAAAGTGACAATTAGGATCCTATCACTCATGGCTGTGACTGATAACATTTTTATTCCTTATTTCTATTACAAAATCAGTGCACACTCGTGGTGACCAGTGACTCTATTTGTCGTATTCTTTTCCCACTTCTGTTCTATCTCCCAGGATGCAGTTTATACTTCCATAACTTTTTCTGTACTTACACAAACATGACTATTTATAGGGTTTTATTTTGTTTTGTTTGTTTTGTCTTAACAAAAGGACTTAGACCATATATTCCTCTGCAACTTGTTTTCTTTAGTTAACAATAAACTATGGAAGCATTCCCAGATACACACACACTTGTGTGTGTGTATAATGTATGTGTGTGTATATATATATACACATATATTTGCATATACACACATACAAAAACATTTTTTAAGGCAGCTGCACAGTCCTCTTTCATGGGCAGCAGGCCTGCATATAGAACCACCACACACAGATATGCAAAGCAAATGGAGCTTTATTTTCCTCTAACTGATGTGTCCTCCTGTGCTCTGTGTTCTGTCTCTTCCCGCCCTCAGCCTTTCCATCAGTGTCATCCCATGCTCTGCGGCTGTAAATCCTCTTTGGTGAATGCCCGGTTCTTCAGGACCCCATCTCCTCCTGGTTCCCTGGCCACATCATCTGTTGTGCAAATGTAAAACTCTTGGGAGTGAGGGGGCACTTTAGTAAGGACACTGGAGCCACAAGTGTATCCGGGGATCTCATAGCTGTCCCTATGCAGGTTCCCAGGTGCCCCACGTGTGTGCAGGCTGGTGTCCAGAGAATGCTGCTGGGTTTGTCCACACCTGTGGTGCCCCGCTGGCACCTTTGTGGACGTCTGCATCTCATGGAGTTCCTGCCCTTTCCTGTGAGTGCTCATGCCCCTGGGTCCCTCAGCTCTCTGCTTCTGAGTCTGCCAGTCCTGCTTTTCCAGCCCTGAGTCTTGGGGATTCATCCTGTGGTCCTAGGCCATAGCATCCTTGCTCTAGCAGGCGTAGCTAGGAGGTCTGGCCTGTTCAGCCCTCTGCAGGAGCGCACACAGCTCTTCCTGGGCACGACCTGGGAGTGGCCTGTGTTTTCTCTCCCTCTCTGTCCTGCAGGTCTTTTGCATTACCTTGTATGCTGTGGCATTCCGCTCGGATTCTGTCTAGTCTCTTCCCACAATCCCAAAGAGGAGCAGAGTGTAATCTACTCCTCGACTGCTGTCACTTTCACATCTTCTCTGACATTCCCCTCCACTGGGGCCTTGGGCCCAGAAACAGCCCAGGCCACCTGTATCTCTCACTGCCTCCTTCCCCAGCTTCCTCCCCGTCAGAGTCCCTTGAAGTGGGGCTTTCCATTTCTTAGTCATCGAGTCTTGAAGTCCCCTTGTCCGTGACAGATAGTAAAATTCTCTGTCTGGGTCTCCCTCAAAAGACCCTTGAAATGCTAATGGAGCTATTGGAATTTAGAAAATTGGTTAATTGCTTCCTCTTCCTCCAATAAACCTGGATTTCTAGAGGATATTCTTGCTAAGGAGGTTAAGAAAAGTCAGCACTAAGGCTCAGGGCTGATCAGTGGCCTCTTTGATTCTGAATATAAATCAGTCTTAAAGAGGAGGGCTGCAAAGGAAACATGACTTAAGGAAGAAAGATATGACAGTGCGAAAGTGTATGCTCATTACAATATAGTGCGGCTGCGTCCAAATTCCTCCCGCCTCTCCCCTATGGATGGTGGTCACGCTTTTGCCATCCCAAATAATGCTGAGGAGGGGAAAGCCTCTTACACATGTCTTCTTCTTTATTAAAACTCTTAATTTCTGTGGAATAAAATCCTAACACTGTGATGCAAAGGGCATGTGCAATTTAACTTTTTAAATCTGCTGATTCATCTTTTTTCGATCCATGCTCTCACCATTAATGTATGAAGTGCTGTTTCCCCACATCTTTACCACCACCGGATGTTAGAAACTCTTTTTAAGTTTTACAGTCTCATTAGATTAAAAAGCAAAAGTGTCTTGTGTCATCTCACATTTGCTTGACTGCTTGTGCGGGGCAGGTGGTGTGTGCTTTCACAGGCTGTCAGCTGTCCCCAGCCTCTCTTTTACAGAAGTGGCTCCTGCCCATTGTCTCCTAAGGCTGTTCTCCCTTTTAATTCTCTATGGTGCAGGCTCTTTATATATTAGGAACTCTAACTTTTGGTCAGATGGGTTGGAAGTTTCTCCCAATCTCTTTTTTACTTTGTATATATTATATTTATGTTTTACCATAGGAATTCATACCAAAAGCAAGAAGTATGACAAGTATGACTTTTTATTAAAGGACTTAAAAATCTAGATAAATGAAAAATTATACTGTACTCCTGGATGGGGAAGCTGAATTTGAAGCCATCAGTTATTTTGAAATTAACATGTATTTGTAATGCAATTTTGGTCAGTACTCTAGGTTTTTGTTTTAACTGAGCCCAAGCTGTCCAGCAATGTCAGCAAGAAATTCTTCAAGAAGAATAGTAAGAGGGGTCTTGTGTCATCTATAAAGGTGTCACATAGCTACACTCATCAAAAAATATAGTATTGGTGCCAAAAATGAAAAAAATTAAAATCACTGAAAGAAGAGATTTTGCAAACAGATCAAAGTATAGATATATTTTAACTCACTTGGAAAAGATGGCATATTTAATAAGTATCTTGTTGTAATCAATGATGTTGGAAGGGAATAAAATTGGATGCCAACACTGAGGCACGTACATGAATAAATTCCAGATGGGTTTTGAACCTAAATGTAGAGCAAAAAAATCCAGTTATGTAAATAGTAGGAAAAAGAGTAGAATGTGATCCATATAATCTCAATTGAGAGAGGTCTTCTTAAATAATGCAGGAAACCCAGAATGATAAAGAAATAGAGTGGCAGATATGGCTATATGAAAACAGTTTAGCATCTTTTCCTTTAGTCTTTTACATATGCAGTTTTACATTCTTGAGGTTTTTTAATATATATGGTTTTCTCTTGATTTTTTTCACTTCCTAAGTGTTTCCCCAAGAAATATAAAACTTCAAAAATGTAATTTCAGTATCTATGTTCCAGTTTATACTTGTGCTGTCATTTAATTAGAACTTACCATTTTTAAACACAAGCCACAGTTCTTTGAAATTATATTTCAAAAGTAGAAAACACATTCCATAATATCTTGAATAGATCTGAATAGAATCTTGACATGCAAGACACATGGCATACCGTGGTAGCAACTCTCAGGATAAGACAAGTGTGCACTACATGGTAAACTAGACCTGGTGCTCATACATAGAATCCAAGGAGAAACAATGTTTAATAAGTTATTAGCATCATTTCATATAAATTGGGAAGAAAATTATTGGACCCTTTCCTCATCCCATGTATACGGACAAATAGAAGATAGAGGCAACAGAGATACCTCAGGGACCAGGCGCTGATTGCAGATGTGTGGCAGAAGTACTGTGTGAAATCCACGGCGCATCCAGGGGGCTTTTCTTTGATCACACCCTGAGAATTTTCATAAACTAAACACTGTTTGGGAGTTTTAAGAGGAGGAAAAGAACTTTGCTTCTGCAAATTATGGCAGTCATGTCAATGTTACCGAATATTCCGGGACAGATTTCCAGAAGAAAAGAGTGCATCTTGTGAACCGTCAGCTTGCAGTGGCCTTGGCTAGAAGTCAGCATAGGGTCTGACTTCATTTTCTTTCTGGGTAATGTTTTTGAGGGGGAACACCGGGGACATTATACATCTGAATTTTTGGAGTACGTTTGATTAAAGAGGTAGCATAGTGTAATTGTGAAAAAAAGTTTATTTGGAATTAGAAGAGTTGAGTTCAAATCTCTAAACCCTCACTTACCTGTTATTCTCTTTAGAGAAGTCACTTCACTTTCAAGACCAGATTTTCCATTTGTAAAATGAAAGTTTGGGATCTAAGTGACTTCAAAAGTCCCTTCAAGCTATAACACTCTGCTCTTGTAAATTCCTCATGACAGTCCTATGGTAAAGATGGGAAAAGTGTAGCCTGAATGTCATTTTAATGAGATAGGAGTCACCATTGTCAATGACTATATACAGAGAACACATTTGTCTGTCAGTCCTTTAGTTAAGCCTAGAAAGGGGTCTCTGGCAGACTGCTGTGAGGCTGTGTCTTCCTTCCCATCTAGCCATTTTCTAAATGCTGTAGAATAAGGGTTAGCAAAGTTTTTCATGAAGGATCAACAGTAAATATTGCAAGTTTTGCAGGCTCTATGGTCTCTGTTTACAACCAGCCAACTCAGCCAATAGACATTACATAAATGAACAGTTGTGCTTGTGTTCCAGTAAAACTTAATTTATAAAAAACAGGCAGCTGATGGGCAGGCTGAGGTGCCCTGACACCTACTCTTGCACAGTGAGAACATTCGTGGCCCACAGATCAAATTGTCATTTATTTGGTTAAGTTTTATTCAGCACTAAGTCGTAGGGTTGCAAATATGCATGTATCAGTTCTTGATCTCCAGGAACTTCCCAGTGAGGAGATAGCAGGTGAATGAGATGGGATGCTCCTTAAGATAGTGAGGTCCCTGGGGTGTGGATCCGGTCCTGTGAGTACGCAGAGCTGTGAGTGTGTGATTCTGCCTGGAGGTTAGGCCGGGCAACTAGAGCCAAAAGGAGTCCAGATGGCTTGTCCTAGGCAGGAGTTGTGGTGCACTGAATCTAACAAGATGAAAGTCAGTACTGACGGAAATGGGACAGTGAGTATAGACTACAAGATAAAAGCAAAGAAGCAAATAAAAAACAGCTGTTCAAGTGGGAAGCAAAAGCTGTCACTTAACCAGCAACTTCATGTGAGTTTCTGCAGCTGCAGGAAACTAGAACAGGATAAATGGGTCCCAACTCATCAGGGCCTTGAGCTTCTCCATCCTGTGGGCCGATCGTGTCTGAAAGGTTGTCTTCATTTCTTGGCCAGTGCAAGGAAGGGCTAGAGGGAAGTAATTTCCTGACACTAGGCTGACTGTGATGGAAAAGGAAAGAGTAAGTACCGGGTATTCTGCTAATTCTCACATCAACCCTGTGAGCCAGGGATTACATTATATCCATTATAGAGCAGCACTTCTCAAATTTTGCTGTGTGTAAGCATCTCTGGCGATACAGTTGAAATGTGGGTTCTGGTTCAGTAGGTCTGAGTGGGGCCTGAGAACGTTAATTTCTGATGAGCACCAGCAGATGCCAACACAGCTGGGCAAAAGTACTGTATGAAATCCACGGCGTATCCAGGGGGGTTTTCTTTGATCACACCCTGAGAATTTTCATAAAATAAACACTGTTTAGGAGTTTTAAGAGGAAGAATAGAACTTTGCTTCTGCAAATTATGGCAGTCATGTCAATGTTACAGAATATTCCAGGACAGATCTCCAGAAGAAAAGAGTGCATCTTGTGAACCGTCAGCTTGCAATGGCCTTGGCTAGAAGTCAGCATAGGGTCTGACTTCATTTTCTTTCTGGATAATGTTTTTGAGGGGGAACACTGGGGACATTATATGTCTGAATTTTCACCGTACCTTTAATTAAAGAGATATCTTTAATTAAAGTAGCTCTGTGAACAGCAAGGAAGTGGATGAGGAAACAGAAATTGGCAGAGTCCATGATTTGTCCAGATTAAACTGCTATGAGTGACTGTAACAAAAATTCAGAACTTACGTAACTCAAATAGGTATATTTGAGAAATAGGTCGGCACAGGTCAAGATGTGAAAGCCCAATAAAGCTAGGCAGAGACTTGGTAAGATAAAAAAAAAAAGTGCCTCAAAATGTTCAGTGACAGTAGTGCCCTGATACAGGCAGTACTTAAGGAAAAATCAGTATTTAAGGAAGAGCTGTAAAGGGTCTCCAGGAGTGGGCAAAGTATGTTTTTAATTAAACATTTTATTTTGAGATGATTGTATATTGATCTGCAGTTGTAAGAAATAATAGAGTTCCAGTGTCCCCTTTACCTGTTTTCTCCCAATGGTAGCATTGTGCAAAACTATGGTCCAATATCACAACCAGGACATTAATGTTGATGTAGTCAATATGTAGAACATTTCCATCCCACAAGGTTCCCCAGTGCTGCTCTTTATATCCACAGTCACTTACCCAACCTCATTCTTAACCTCTGGCAACCATTAATCTGTCTCCATTTCTACAATTTTGTATTGTAATAATGTTATATCAATGGAATCATATAATATGTAATTTGGGGATTTTTTTTTACTTGGAATAATTCCCTGGATATTCATCCAAGTTGTTGTGGTTATCAAGAGTTCATTCCTTTTCCTTACTGAGTAGTATTTCATGGTATGGGCATTCCACAGTTTGTTTAGTCATTCACTCCTTGAGGGTTCTGGATCATTTCTGGTTCCAGGCTATTATGAAGAAAGTTGCTATGAACATCCTTATAAAGGTGTTTGGGTGAATGTTAAGACTCCATTTCTCTAGGATAAGTGCTCAGGAATCCAGTTGCTGGGTTGCATGGTAGTTTTATGTTTAGTTTTAGGAGAAACTGCTTTCCAGAGTGGCTGTGTCATTTTCGTTCCCACAAACAGCATGTGAGTGATCTGTTTCTCTGCGTCCTTGTCAACTATTGGTGTTGTCACTGTTTTTTATTTTTGCTGTTCTGATAGATGTGTAATGATAACTCATTGTGTTTTAATTTGCATTTCCTTGATGGCTAAGGTTGTTGAACATTTTTATGTGCTTATTTGTCATATATACCTTCTCTTCAGTGAAATGTCTCTTTGTGGTTTTTTTGCCAATTTTCTAATGGATTTAACTGTTGAGTTTTGAGAATTCTTTATATATTCTAGATAGTAGTCCTTTGTCAGATACATGGTTTGCAAATATTTTCTCCCAGTCAGTAGCTGGTCTTTTTACTCTCTTTCACAGAACAAAAAGTTCAAGTTTATCAATTTTTACTTTTATGGATCATGCTTTTGGTATGAAGTCTAGTAACGACTTCTTTCCTAACCCTAAATCCCTAAGATTTTCTCGTATGTTTATTTTCAAAAAGTTTTGTAGTCTTATATTTTACATTCAAGTTTGTGATCCATTTTAAGTTAATTTTTACTGTATACAAGGTATGAGACTTAGGTCAAGTCTCTTTCTTTCTTTCTTTCTTTTTTTCTTGTTTTTTGTGCCTATGCCTGTCCCTTGTTCCAGCACCATTTGTTGCCAAGACCATCTTTCCTCTGTCAAGTTGCTTTTTCACCTCTGTCAAAAATCAGTTCCGGGTTCTCTATTCTGTTCCTTCAATCTATATTTCTATTCCTTCACCAGTACTGCAGTCTTCATTACTGTAGTCATATGGTAAACCTTAAAATTGGCTAGATTGATTCTTCTCACTTTATCCTTCTTTTTCAAAATTATTTTAACTATTCTAATTCTTCTACCTCTCCATATAAATATTACAATAACTTTGTCCATATCTATTAAAAATCTTGCTGAATTTTGACAGGAATTGTCTGTCAATTTATACATCAATTTGGGGAGTATTGGCATCATTAGTGTATTGAGTTTTTCAATCTGTGGACACAGTATGTTTCTACATTTATTTAATTAGTAGATTTTTATATCTTTAATGTTTTATGGTGTTCAGCATACAAGTCCTATGCATATTTTGTTAGATTTATAACTATTTTTATTGAATGATTATAAATAGAATTACATTTTTAATGTTAGTGTCCACATGTTCATTGATATTACAGAGAGATACAACTGATTTTTATGTTGACCTTGTGTCATGTGACCTTGCCGTAGTCACTTCTTAGTTCTAAAAGTTTTCAGAGTCCTTGAGGTTTTCTGCATTAGACATCTTGTCATCTGCAAATAAGTTTTACTCCTTTTCTTCTAATATACATGCCATTCATTTCCTTCTCTTACCTGATTGCACTGGCAAGAATATCCAGCACTATGCTGAATAAGAGTGATGAGAGCAGACATCCTTGCTTGTTCCCAATCTTAGGGGAAAACCATTCTTTCACCATTAAATATGATGTTAGCTGTAGGTTTTTTGTGAATGCTCTTTGTTAAGTTGAAAGTATTCTATTCTTATTTCATGAAGGGGATGTTGAATTTTATGAATTTTTTTCCTTCATCAACTGATGTGATCATGTGATTTTTCTTTTTAGTCTGTTAATATGGTGGATTACATTGACTGATTTTTGAAGATCAAACCAGACTTACATTTCTGAAATGAACCCCACTTAATAATGGTATATAATTACTTTTCAATATTGATGAATCCCATCAGTAATATTTTGTTAAAGATTTTTGCATCTATATTCATGAGGGATATTGGTCTATAGTTTTATTTGTTTACATTGGGTTTGTCTGGTTTTGGTATGAGAGTAATTGTGGCTTCGTAGAAGTGTCGGAAAGTGTTTTCATTTCTTCTATTTTCTGGAAGAGACAGTAGAATAGGTGTTAATTCATATTTAAATGTTTGGTAGAATTCTCCAGTGAAACCATCTAGGCCTGGACATTTCTTTGGAGGAGGCTTTTAAATTCTGAATTTAATTTTCCATAGTTGTAGGACTATCCAAATGACCGGTTTCATATTAGATTAATTAAGGTAGTTTGGGCTTCTCAAGGAATTGGTCCATTTCATCTAAGTTGCTAAATTTATATATGTAGAATTGTTCATAATATTACCATATTATCCTTTTGATGCCTCCAGGGCCAATATTCCTTTTTCATTCCAGATATTGATCATTTGTGTCATCTTTTTAAACTTTTTATTTTAAATATATTTTTAAATTATAATAACTTTAAATAATAATTTTTTAAGTTAGGAAAAAATTGTAAAAAGTTTAGAGTTCCCATTTACCTTTCACCGAGTTTTTCCAAATGTTAACACTTTACGAAACCACAGTACTATTATCAAAACCAGAGAATTAACATTGACACAACCGTGTTAACTATTCTACCAACATCATTACAAAAATTTCACTACTTTTCTCACTAATGTCCTCTTTCTGTTCTAGAATCCAATCTAGGTCCTACCCTGCATTTGGTTATTATGTCTCATTAGTCGCTTTTAATCTGCGACAGTTCCTGAGTCTTTCCTTGTCATTACCCTTATACTTTTGAAGAGAACTGGTCAGTTATTTGGTAGAATGACCTTCCATTTGGGTTTGTCTAATATTTTCTCACAACTAGATCAAGGTGAGGCTGTGCACTACAGGGAAGGAGACGGCTGATGTGCTCTGCTTGTTTCTGTGCTGGTGCACATGCTATTGATATGTCTTATACTGGCATGTTGACCTTGGTCCCTTGACTAAGGTGCTATCTGTCAGGTTTCTCTAGTGCAAAGTTACCATTTTTCCATTTGTCATTAGTAAATATCTTGCAGGAGATACTTTGAGACTATGATGCAGGTATCTTTTTCTCATCACACCTTTGAGTTAGAAAGGTTTGGGGGCTCAGAGGAAAATCCTCAAGACATATTCTTACACCACTGAATGATATCAGGTGGCCTGTGATAGTGGCATCTATACAAGGGACAAGGAAAGCAGAAAAAGGCCATTCTCTATGAATATCATGATTTTATGATTGCCCGAATTGGGGAGAAGAGGTGAGGAGTGAGAGATACAGAGAAAGAGATAGAGGAAAAGAGAAAGACTGATTCACAGAGAAAGAGATCTGAAGTTCAGAACTCATTGAGATGGAGAGGGCGAAGTCAAGGGAGAATTCAATTTTTCAGTCTTGACTGACTTGAAGAACAGGTAAGTTTTGCAAGGAAGGCAGGTTTGGTTCTAAGAAATCTGAGGTACCTGTGAGACGTATAAGTGCACATCCCATCAGAGAGCAGGGCAAAGGGTGGAAAAGAGAACAAGACTAGAGAGGGCCACTTGGGAGTCACCCGAACACAGGTGTTATGAATATTTAGTGAGTATAAATCAGTTATCCAACAGAAAGAGCCAAGCCAAGCACAAAGTTGGGAGAATACCCATAGTTTGTTGGAAAAGGAATCAGTGAGACAAACTGAAGTCATGGGGAGATGAAGGACGATGGTGCCATGTATAAGGAAGAGTTCACAGTGGCAGCATGACCACTGTGTTAACTAAGAGCTAGAAGGTCAGTGATTCCGTCATTAGCAGGGGGTGACTTCTGTGGCTGTGGTTTCAGTCAGGTGGTAGGGATGGAATCCAGATGTAGGCAGGGGATAGGAGAGTGCAGAGAACGCAGTAAGTGATGAAGAAAGAAGTGGACAGCAATTATTGTGAGCGGTTCAACGGGGAATTTTCTTTGTTAACAATGCAGAGGGAAACATAACTGTAACGTCACTTCCACTAACAGCGCAGTCAGACAGATTCGATTGCTAAAGAAGACTCACAGGGCCCAGAAGGACAGTGCTCACAAGTCTGTGGTTTATTGACAAGAAGGGATGTGATAGAGCAACAAGCATGAAGGCAAGGACCTGCCTTGCATCCAAAGGCTGCCTCACAGCAAGCAGTGTGGACACACTGAGGCCGATACGGGCTGCCTCCAATGGTCTTCCCTCTGCAGGCCTGAGCCAGATGTGTTTTCTCTCTCAGAACCACATACCCATGCAAGGAAGGAACACCTCAGATCCAAGCAGCCCAGTGGAGTCACAGTGGGGCTTTTTGCAGCCTTCTGGTCACATAAGCATATTATTGCTACATGAGCAGCTCTAACATCAGAGCCCCCTCCCCAAACACGTGCAAAACATCAGTCTCACAGTCATCCATAAACAATGAGGACAAACAGGCAGAACCTACCCTGAAACTCACCTCGGACCCAAGGGTAAAAACAACAGTATTGGCTGAGCGTGATGGCTCACGCCAGTAATCCCAGCACTTTGGGAGGCCGAGGCGGGCGGATCACGAGGTCAGGAGATTGAGACCATCCTGGCTAACACGGTGAAACCCCATCTCTACTAAAACTACAAAAAATTAGCCGGGCGTGGTGGCGGGCGCCTGTAGTCCCAGCTACTCGGGAGGCTGAGGCAGGAGAATGGCATGAACTCAGGAGGTGGAGCTTGCAGTGAGCTGAGATCGCACCACTGCACTCCAGCCTGGGTGGCAAAGCGAGACTCCATCTCAAAAAAAAAAAAAAAAGTATTAATCACTGCCTTTCATAGTTTGATGCAGAATGTCTCGTACTTCAGCAAAGCAGCTCAGGCCAATTTCAGACCTGCTGGAATTAACCCTCCTAGCACATCCCTCTACGAATGTTATCTCAGTAAGTCCTTATTACCATCCTGTTAAATAGGTGCCATTACTCTTATTTTTAAGAAGGGCAATGTGATGCTCAGAAAGAGTAAGTACACTGCCAAAGCAACACACCAGGAGAAGGGAGGCGGGAACTGATTCTGTGGGACAGGAGGGCAGATGCCTTCACAACAAGAGGCCCCCGGGTGTGTTTGAAACAAGCTGGGAGTAAAAAGGATTAGAGAGGAGGAGCTTGCAGGTATGAGAGCAGCAAAGGGATAACTGTGAAAGGCGGGTCTCCTGAGAAATGAGAACAAATGTGCTCCTGAGACTGCTTAAGAAGAAAGAGAGAAGATGAAGCTATTAGCAGAGGCTGGGGCCCAGGCCTCGGTAGCCTTTAGATGAGTGGTTCTCCACCCCAGAGGGCTGGTGCAAACACAGCTTGCTGGGCAGTGCCCCCACTTCCAACTCAGCAGGTCTAGGTGGAGCCTGGGAACTTGCATTTTTAACAAATCTCCAACAATGCTGATGTTGTGGGCCAGGGGCCTCACTTTGAGAACCACTGTTCAGGCTTGTCAGTGCCACATGGGTTGGGTGAACTGGAAGGAGAAGAGCTGGGGTGGAGGGATGACTCTCTGGGACCCCTCTTGCCGGTCTCTTTGCAGAAGTATCAACAGGTCATGATACCAGGGAAGGAACATAAATAAAAGGGACCAAGTTGGATAAATGCCAGGGTATTAGAGTAAAATGTGTTTCAGCTGCTTAGCTTTGATGTGAAAATTTGAACAAATAACCAGAGAATAAGGGACTGTTTCCATTCCTAGTTTGAAAAAAATTATATTTAATAAAAGATGGAATTGTCACTAGCATAATTTTAACGATTTTGAAATAGAAAATATCCTTGGAGGGGAGGGAAGGGTTAGGAAAGAATGTGTGTAGTTGGAGGAAGGAACAATGCTTGGCTGCTGTCCTGGTGGGAGTCAGTGAAGCTGCCTGATGAGCAGTAGCAGGACCATGGGCTCGATTATCAGGGAATGACTTTTTAGATGGCGGAGATGCCTCTGGGGCTTCAGGAGCTGTGGAGATAAGGTGACCAGTGTCTTCAAGCTGGGATAAAGCATTGTTCACATCTCAGCACATTTCGAGAAGTGGCACAATGCTAACACAGCGCATTGGCTTTGCTGTTCAGGTTGCAGGTGACTGGTTGTGTGACCCTGGGCAGGTTGTCTCACTCCTCTGGGCTCAGGACAGGTGGTCTTTAAGCAGGTGTGCATGCTAGCTAGCCCCTGCAGCGCGGGGTTGTTGTGAAAATGTAATGATAGAGAATATGGCGCATGCCTGGTACGAGGAGACACTCAGAAATGTCCTCTTCTGCTTCAAGGTCAGGTAGAAGAATCTTTTCAATTTCACCTCCTGAACCCCAAGTAGCTCTAAGTCTCATTCTTCTGAAACCCTTGTCTTCTGTGGCCCCTGAGCCTAAAACCACAGATGCTGGGTCTTTGTGGCCCCCTGGAGGCCAGGCTTCAGGAGGACCCTGGTCACAACCCGAATGGGATAGCAGCCTAGCAAGATTCAGCAGACAGCATGCGAGTAAACAGATTAACAGGGTGATTGCTAACGCCACAGAAAGTAATGTGGGTGAGTGAGTGAAAGCAAAGGTTGAGAAACATCATTCATAAAGGGCAGCCAAGGAGGGCCTTTCTAAGGAGGTAGCAGCATTAAACCTGAGGGTGAGGAGGGGCCGCCTGGGGAAGGAGGCAGGTGGAGGGGAGGAGTCCACTCGGGAAATCCCAGGTCACCTGGACATGTCACTGGGCCCTGGGATTGGCGTGCAGGTCAAATGCAATGTTGGTTGTGCTTAGGCAATTGAAAGCAAGTAGAAGCTAAAAAAGGGATGATTTATCTTGGTTCTGAGAAGTTGGGTTAACAGTGAGGTCAGGAAGCAGAGGTGAGCAGCCAGCACCCTCTTTCTCTTGGGAAACTTGAACACATTTTAGAATTATAGTTCCCCCAGGGAAGAAGTTAGCAGAGGCCACCCCACACCCAGGACAGGTGACAGAGCAGCAGTCTCCTCTCCCTGACCTTGATGCCTGGGCACAAAGGCAGCTTTTGCTGAGCAACAAGATGCTTGGACTCCCCACTCCTCCTCTATTTTCCTCTCCTGGCTGCATTTGCCCTGAAAGGCTGCAGACACCTAGCCCCAGGCCCTCCAAGTGGGCACCCACCCCCATCTGGGTGACAGAGGCTGCTACTCATGGGAACTCCCCTAACTCCCTCTGAGTCCCTCTGAGTCATCTGGGTGGTGGACCAGCAGCCGTTGGGTCTGACCTCTCACCAGGACGCGTGCCTCTGAGCACTGGGACACAGGCCCTTTGAGGTCTCTCTGGAGCTGAAGGGCCGGCTCGCACACTGGGATGGAGTGGAATATGTGTGATATGTTGGTGAGGGATGCAGGCAGGTGTGGGAGGAAGTGGAGCAGGCACAGTCCATGGAGGACACGGGGCCCGGGTGCAGAGGCACACAGGCATCATCTAGATGGTGAGAAGGCGATGGGCCCAGATTCTGCCCTAGTGCAGGGAAGGCACCAAGATTTCAGATCAGAGGGAACTGCAGGAGAGCTGCAGAGACCCTCTCCCTTCAGCAGATTTAGGTGCTGCCTGTGACTTGCCAGACTGGCAGTCCCCAGCATGCTGCCAGCAGGCACGCTCAAAATGCGCTTCTGGCCTGAGCCCTTGCTGGCCTCAACACGCCAGCGGCTGCCCCTCTGTGGAGAGGAGTTCTCTGTAATGATGCTGCAGGGACAGCCCATTCTGCCTGTCCACCCCCAGCCCCTTGTGCCCCCCTCAACCCTGTGCCCTGTCACTCACACCCACAGCTACACCAAATCCTTCCCCAACCCCCTGCACAGGGGACTCCTTCGTGTGCAGGCCACCCACCCCCAACCCGTGTCTGCACTGGAGGTTCTCTGCGGAGAATTCTCCTCCGTGGGGCAGTAGAAGGACAGGCCTGTGTGTGCCTGAGCCCCTCTTCCTCAGGTGTGTGTGAGAGAATTTACCTGAGAGAAGTTAGCAATGCCTGCCTAGTGAAGGCCTGGCACAGAATAGGCCCTCAGCAAACACCAGAGACCTCTGCCCTCCTTACCCTTCTGGGAACTCTTATTTAGAGTTTAAGGCCCAAGCCAAGTATCTCCTTCTCTCTGAAGAGTTCCCTTTCCCCGGAGGCAGATGACAAGGCAAGCCGTGACTTCCCTTGGACGGGGGCTGCTCTGCATCTCAGGCGTTCACCAGGGAGCGGGCTGAGCTGCGGGTGTCGGTCTCCAGGTCTGTCTCCTGTTTCAGATTACAGGGCTCTTGACGGCAAAACCACTCAACTTTATTTCTGCCTCGTGGCCTACACCTCCTAGCATAGTAAGTGCTCATTAAAATGTTGCTGGTTTGTGCAGGATCTGGATTTTATGCAAATGAATAATAAACTAAAGTTTTGCTAGCTGACTACAGTGAAATATCAATCACTTCATGTCTGTTTGGATGACTGTTACCCACAAGAGAAGAGATACGTGTTGGTGAAAGTGTGGAGAAAAGAGAACACTAGTACAGTGTTGGTGGGTATGTAAATTAGTGCAGCCATTACGGAAAAAGTGTGGCGGTTCCTCAGTAAAATAAAACTAGAACTACCATGTAATCCAGCCATCCCACTGCTGGTATATAGTCAAAGGAAATGAAATCAGTACATCAAAGAGTTACCTGCACTCCTATGTTCACTGCAGCACTCTATCCACAATAGCCAAGACATGGAACCACCCTGTGCTCATCCAAAGATGAATGGATAAAGAAAATGTAAAACATGGCCGGGGCGGTGGCTCACGCCTGTAATCCCAGCACTTTGGGAGGCCGAGGTGGGCGGATCGCAAGGTCAGGGGATCGAGACCATCCTGGCTAACACGGTGAAACCCCGTCTCTACTAAAAATACAAAAAATTAGCCAGGCGTGGTGGTGGGTGCCTGTAGTCCCAGCTACTCAGGAGGCTGAGGCAGGAGAATGACGTGAACCCAGCAGGCGGAGCTTGCAGTGAGCCGAGATCGCGCCACTGCACTCCAACCTGGGCGACAGAGCAAGACTCTGTCTCAAAAAAAAAAAAGAAAATGTAAAACGTGGTATAAATACACAATGGATAATATTCAGTGATAAAAAGAATGAAATCCTGTCACGTACGGCAAGAATGAACCTGGAGGGCATCATGTTAAGTGAAATAAGCCAGGCACAGAAAGACAAATACTGCATGATCTCACTTATGTGTGGAATCCGAAAAAGGTGAACTCACGGAAGCAGAGAGCAGAATGGTGTTGGCCAGGTGCTGGGGGAGGTGGGGTGGGTTGAGATGTTGGTCAAAGGATACAAATTTCATTTAGGCAGGATAAATAAGTTCAAGGGATATATGGGGACTATTATAACATGGTAACTATTGTAACGATGTATCCTTAAAAATTCTTGAAACTTGCTGAGAGTAGATAATAATAAAGTAAACTGGTGTTACAAAAAGTTTTTTGGTTGAATGATGAGCAAAGGTTTCCCGGGGGAAGGGGGCTTGAGGGGATCTGGGCTTGTGAAGGGTGGAGGGGTGTTATGACAGGGAGAGGGAGAACTGAATGAAAAAAGACAGCAAAACCTAGGTAGGAGTGGGGGACAAGGAGAGCGGTAAGAGCCCAGGATCCAGGTAGCCTGAGGGAGGAGGCCCCCAGCCGAGGGATGCCAGAGAGCATGCCAGTGCCTGTTGACCCTTCACACACCTGCGCTGCGTGGGCCCCCTCCACTGGCTCTGTGAGGGCAGTGTCCTGGCTTCTGAGCGCCACTCTGGGGTCACTAAGGTCACATGGCACCCTGCTGGGTAGCTGCTGCTCATTTTGTACCTGCTGTTTCCCAGCAGTCAGTCCTGGAAGCATCTCTGGTCCTGTAGTCCTGCCTTCATCTTGAGCCCTTCTCAGTGCCTTGTATTTTTACTTTACAATAGTGTCAGCTTAGAGCAGTGAATCCTTCGGGTCCCTGGAGCATCTTCAGAGGTCCCTTTTCATCTTCACCAGGACCTTTGGAACAGCCCAAGTCCCGTGGTGATGCAGGGACAAAGCAGCTGTGGTGGCTTTTTAGACCATAGGCAAGTAGGGGACATGACTAGTACTGATCCCAGACCTGGGGAAGCCCGGCTGATGGGTTTCCCGTGTGTGCTGGCCTTCAGTGACACCAAGGGGCTGGATGGAGAGGAGGATTCAGCTAGAACAGCCTCTTTGGGCTTTCACTTGCACCTTACAGACCTGGGTCTCTGCTCTCACCTGGAGCGCCCCAGACACGCGGTGTGTCCACAGCGTTAGCACACTCCCTGGGCCCGCTGTCAGCCCTGGGGGCTTTGAGAAGGGTGTGTCTGCCTGGCATCACCACATCCAATCCAGCCACATTCTGCATTTCAGAGCCAGAATACAGGTCTAAAATGCCTGTTTTGTTTTAGAAACTACTGTTCTCCCCAGGATTAAAATGTGCAGGAAGCATTCATCCCACCCTTAGTTTAGCTGATAGCCTTACCCCCCTCCCTTTTGTTTTGTTGTGGATCTGAACTTATTTTACCCAATGGCTATTTTCTTGCATTTCCCTCTAGAGGTATTGGCATTTCGAGAAGCACTTCAGCCTTCCAGATCTTTACATAATTCATTACGGACATATTTTGGACTTACAGTATCTTAGAGTACAAAAAAAAGAGACTCTCCTCTTTATTTCCAGAAGTTGTTACAGACTTCTCCTGAATTTAAATTTCCTGAAAATTTTTCCTGGACATGCTGTAAGTTTTTATTCCATTAGGGAACCATAAACAAAACCACTTACCAGCAGGCCTGAGGCAGAGATGAACACCTGGCCTGAGCATCTCTCCTGCACCTTCCTGAGAGACAGACCGAGTGATCACTGTGTGAATTAAAGCCCATTTCCTAGAAACTCACTCTTCTCTTGAAGCTTTTAGGAAGACTAAGAGATAAAGCCATCCACCAAGAGATAAAGCCAGGAAAAGTGTCTGTCCCAGTGCAAGTGTGTGAGGGTTGTTAGTGGTGGGGATGGGCATCCTTCATTCTTTCAGCCAGGGGACTGCACGTCCGTGGAGTGAACACCCCAGAGGTGGGCAGGGGACCAAGTCCAGCATGGGAGACAGGACCCCTGGGTCAAAGGCTGTTCTTAGGTAAGCTTCGTGACAAACATGGCATTTGAGCTGGGTCTTGAGTGGAGCCAGGAGAAAACAGGAATTTTGAAAATTCCTGAGGGAAAAAATGTGAACAAAGAAAGGGACCCAGGAAGTAGTTTATTGTTAACTATAATTTTCCTACTATGGTATCAAATACAAGAATGAATTTCTTCTATCCAACTGCATGTTGGTGCCCATTAGTCAACTTCTCTTCCTCCCCACTTCCCTTCCCAGCCCCTGGTAAACACTGTTCTACTCTCTACCTCTTTGAGACCCACTTTTTTTTGCTCCCACATTTGAGTAAGAACATGTGATATTTGTCTCTCTGTGCCTTGCTTATTTCACTTAACATGATGATATCCAGTTCCATCCATGATGCTGCAAATGACGGGATTCCATTATTTTTATGGTTGAGTAATATTCCGTTCTGTGTATATTCCACACTTTCTTTATCCATTCATCCATTGATGGACACTTAGGTTGATTCCACATTTCAGCTATTGCAGACAGTGCTGCAATAAACATGGGAGTGCAGATATTTCTTCAATATACTGATTTCCTTTCCTTTTAATATATACTCAGCCGTGGGATTCCTGGATATGTGGTCCTTCTATTTTTAGTTTCTTGAGGAACCTCCATACTGTTTTCCATAATGATGGTACTAATTTACATTCCCTTTCTCCACATCCTTACCAGCATCTGTTATTTTTTGTCTTTTTTATAAAAGCCAATTCTAACTAGAGTGAGATGATATCTCATTGTGGTTTTAATTTGCATTTCCCTGGTGATTAGTGATATTGAGCATTTTTTCATATGCCTGTTTTCTGTTTGTATGTCTTCTTTTGAGAAACATCTATTCAGGTCATTTGCTGATTTTCTAATCAGATTATTTGTTTTTTTGCTATTGAGTTGTTTGAGCTCCTTATATAATCTGGTTATTAATCCCTTGTCAGATGGAAGTTTGCAGATATTTTCCCCCTTTCTCTGGGTTGTCTCTTCACTTAGTTGTTTTGCTTCCTGTGCAGAAGCTTTTTAGCTTGATATAAACCCATTTTTCTATTGTTGCCTTTTTGAGATCTTATGCAAAAATCTTTGCCCAAACCAATGTCCTGAAGTGTTTCCCCAGTGTTTTCTTCTGGTAGTTCCATAATTTTAGGTCTTATATTTAAGCCTTTAATCCATTTTAGAGTTGATTTCTGTATATGATGAGATGAGGGTCTAGTTTCATTCTTCTGCATATGGATATTTGGTTTTCTCAGCACCATTTATTAAAGAGACTGTGTTTTCCCTGGTGTGTGTTCTTGCCACCTTTGTTGAAACTGAGTTGGCTGTTAAGTGTGTGGATTTATTTGTGGGTTCTCTGTTCTGTTCCATTGGTTGATGTGTCTGTTTCTATGCCAGTACCATGCTCTTTTGGTTACTATAGATTGGTAGTATCATTTGAAAACACAACCATGATGCCTTTAGCTTTGTTCTTTTTGCTCAGGATCACTTCAGCTGTTCAAGGTCTTTTGTGGTTTCATATGAATTTCAGGCTTTTTTCTGTTTCTGTGAAGAATGTCATTGGTATTTTGATGGGAATTGCATTGAATCTGTAAATCACTTTGGTTAATATAGACATTTTAACAATATTAATTCTTCTAATCCATGAGCATGGGATATCTTTCCATTTTTTCAGGTTCTTCCTGTTGAGTTACAGGGGTTCTGTATATGTTATGGATATTAATCCCTTATCAGATATATGATTTGCAAATATTTTCTGTCATTCTGTTGGTTGCCTTTTCACTTTGTTGATAATGTCCTTTGGTACACAAAAGTTTTTAATTTTGATGAAGTCCATTTTATCTATTTTTCCTTTTGTTGCCTGTTCTTTTGGTGGTGTCATACCCAAGAAATACTTGTCAAATCCAGTTTCATAAAGCTTTTCCTCTGTATTTTCCTGTATGAGTTTTATAGGTTTAGCTCTTACATTTAGGTCTTTGATCCATTTTTAGTTAATTTTTGCATACAATGTTAGGTAAGAGTCTAACTTCATTATTTTGCATGTGGATATGCGGTTTTCCCAGCACCATTTATTGGAAAGATTGTTCTTTCCACATGGAATGGTCTTGTGGAAAACCTTTGGCCATTTATGCGAGGCCATGTGTGGCACCCTTGTGGAAAACGATTTAACCATGTATTTGAGGATTTATTTCTGGTCTACCTTGTGTGGACTATAAATCTGTCTTTATGCCCACACCACATGCTTTGATTACCATAGATTCATAGTATGTTTTGAAATCAAGATGTGTGAGACTTCCAACTTTATTCTTCTTTTTCAAGATTGTCTTGGCTATTGATTCTGTTCTTTTGCATTAGAAGTCAGAAAATTTATTGCCTACAAAATCATTTTGAAAGTACTACTCAAGCCTTCTAGTAAAATTAAAACTTAATAAAGGACCAATGAGAGATATGCAAATTATTCGTGATCAGTTAGCAAACACCAAAACACAGTTGTGTTACAAGTAATAATATAGAACTGAAGCTTAAAGTAGTTGTTAAGAATTATGATTCCTAAGAAAGTAGAACACAAAAATCAAAAGCAATTTCAAATCAACATTTTAAATGATTTCAACAAAATATAGCAGGTATCAGAGGAAGAGATGGGAATTAGATTGAACTAGGGACCTTATCCTATGTGGAAATTAGAGGTTGTATATGTTATTTGACTGAGTAAAAATTAAATTTTATGTATAAGTTATTAGATAAAATAAATGGCCTCAAAAGGTAAAAATATACAGACATCTGCTGACCTAGGGGATGCCCAGTCGAGATGGGGTGTACCTGGTTCCACTGTGTGGAACATGAACAGCCCCCTCACTTTGAGGTTCCCTGCAGATCACACCCCCAGAACTTCTCTCCCAGAATCTTAGAAGTCAGAGTTCAGTGTTTGAGCCCCGCTGAGAAGCACAGTCCCCTCCCCTGGCACATCAGCTTCTAGGGGCTCTGAGCCCACCCTCACGTCTGTTAAGTCCACACGGATGAGACTTTTCCCATTGATCCTCATCTGTCTCCTGATGGGACATTCATTTGAAAATTAAAGGGTGGGATCGTGTGTTGGGAGTGGGATTCAGGGCTGTGGGATTCACCAGCCAATTTCAAATGCATGTTAAATATTTAAAATCATTTAAAAATTTGAAACATTAATATTTAATTTTTAAACTATAAAAAATTAATCCTAAAATTGAAATTGTTAATTCTCACTTCCCATGAAGTGTGAACATTCTCTTTTATTCTCATTGTCTTTTCCAGAGTTCTCAGGCGCTGTGGTCTCACCTTCCACTGGGGCAACAATGGGCCATTTCCAGCAGGGACGGCGCAGTGTTGGCCTGCATGCCTGACTGCCACACACCTCCAGAATCAGGTGTCTGAAAAGTAAGTCCTGTGTTCGTGGGGTCTTAGTGGCAGGCCAAAGGGGCAAGTGCAGTCACCGCCTCTGACAATAGAGCTGGTAGTGGTTCTGTGGACTCCCTGGAAATCAGATCTAAAGCCCAGATAAAGTGTAAGGTTCATTGAGAAAGAGTCATGAAATGTATTTCATACTGCATTAGAATTTGAGATTGGAATAATAGGCATTATTCTTTAAAAGGAAAAAAAAAACAACTGTAGTGATTGACAAGTGACTTGATTTATACCAGTGCAAAATTTGTCATCTGTTGCAACCATTATTGATTTTTTAAATATTATAAGCAAAAGAAAAATAGTGCCATTATCTTAACACACTAATTATTTTTACTTTTACTGTTTCCTGTTACTTCTTATCCAATAATACAATTTTAATCTGACTGAGAGCATAACCATTCTTTTGCTTTATGACTCTTGGAACAAAATTTTTATATACCTTCTTGCCTACTTTTTATTTTATAAGCTTTAATTCTACAGCAAACTTGAAGGAATAGAAAAGTGAACACCCGTAATTCTTCACCCAGATTTACCAATTGTTTATACACAAACAGACACACACAGGTGGTAAATATGTGTTTGTGTGTGTTTGATTCTTTTTGTCTGAATCATTTGAAAGTAAGTTGCTGACATCATGAGACACTCTGGCATCATCTCCTAAGTACACAGCTACCTTCTACAAAAGTATAGCACTATTACCACTGTGAAATATAATATCGATAAAGTGATATTATCCAAATATGTTGTCCCTACCCAGATACCCCTGATTGTCCCCCAAATATTCATCATAGCTGTTTTTCCCTGCCTAGTGTTCAATTAAGTATCACTCACTGAATTCAGTTACGCCTCTTTTTATCTGAACTAAAGGCCTGCTTTCGTTTTTCTCTTTCGTGATGTTGACGTCTTTGAAGAGTCTGAGCCACTTGTTTTATGGAGTGCTGCACAATCTGGACCTGTCTGATTATTTCCTCATACTTAGATTCAGATAGACATTTCCTCCATTTCTCTTTCCAGCACATCAGTGGGCACACCGTGGCTCATGGTGATAAGTTTGTTCACTGGGCTAAGGTCATTTCTACAAGAGTTCTCTTTATAAAGTTACTTTTTTTTTTTTTTTGAGATGGAGTCTCGCTCTGTCGCCAGGCTGGAGTGCAGTGGCACGATCTCGGCTCACTGCAACCTCCACCTACCGGATTCAAGCAATTCTCCTGTCTCAGCCTCCCGAGTAGCTGGGACTACAGGCGCCCGTCACCACGCCCAGCTAATTTTTGTATTTTTAGTAGAGATGAGATTTCACCATGTTGGCTAGGATGGTCTCAATCTCTTGACCTCAGGTGATCCACCTGCCTTGACCTCTAAAAGTGCTGCGATTACAGGTGTGAGCCACCACGTCCAGCCTGTAAAGTCACTTTTTACATTCTTTGTCTTTTACTAGTAAGCAATGGGGCAAACTTTGAAGCCCTGTGAACATTCTCTTCCCTGGCTGATTTTCATCCAGTGATCTTAGCATCCCTTGATGGTTGTTATTATAATTTTTAACCCATTAGTTTATTGGGACCTCAGACTTTCTTTGTCACATAGTCCTTCATGTTTCACATTTTCTGTGGTTGTGGGGTCATCACACAAGGGAGCATATACTGAGGTGGTCAAGAGGAGGACTCTGAAGTTAGACCATTCAGATAGGCATCTAGGTATGCATCTTGTCTCTGTCATACAACAGCCAGGTGACTGCGAGCAAACATTTCTCCTCACAAACCTTCAGTGTCCTTATAATTACAATTAGGAGACTGGGAGTGACCATCGCAGGAGGCATATGGTAGAGGGTACAGCCTGTGGCTGGCCTTGCTAAGCAGTAGCTGTTAATTATTATCAGACACAAGACACATGGGCGAGAGCCACTGGATGCTGCTTTTATTCCTGAGATCTCTTATAAGACCTTTAGCAAAAATGCTAATAAATCTGAGTGACAGAGCAGAGGCCCCACGCTCTGTGTCCCTGCAGTTAAAAGGTTGCATAGGGAATGAAACCACTATGGCAGGAAGTATTCATCAGCGAACACTGTCCCGATGTGCACTCCCCCATCGGCTTCCTCCTCCTGCTCTCGGTCAGCCTTAACTGCCTCCCCTCGCTAGGCCTGAACCTCCCTAGTCTGTTGTCGGTTTGCCTTTCAGTCAGTAACCAATTGGGCTTTTATTTGAAGATTATGTGTGGTTTTTTTTTTTTTCTATTTAAATCAAGTCCTTTTAGTTTTATTGGCATCCCATTGCCACAGAATGCATCTTCCTTGAGAATGTTTTGAAAATTTTACCAAGAAAACAGTTTGTGAAAA
Source organism: Homo sapiens (assembly GCF_000001405.40). Lineage (NCBI taxonomy): Eukaryota > Metazoa > Chordata > Mammalia > Primates > Hominidae > Homo > Homo sapiens. Next base: position 31,687,002 of record NC_000015.10, on the reverse strand, counting down.
TATAGGTTATTTTAGAAGCTACACACGAATATGAATTAGACTGAGTCTTCAAAAACATTGCTGTTGGAAAACATGTTAATATCTTAAAAATACTTCCTCTGAAAAGGTTACTTGCCTCATTTTCTTCCCCACAACTCTTAAAAGCAGATGAGAGCTGGTGCTCACAGAGAAGACCGCTCTGTGTCCTGCATCCAAATGACATGCTTTCTGTTGGCTTCTTGTCGGGCTGAGCTTGAAGGGATGGCCCTGTGGGGTTCCTCTGCTTTCTGGGGCAATATCAACCCAGCCAGCCTGGGGTTTGCCAGGACCGGAGGACTCTTCTGGTGGGCTCCAGCCCCAGGCTTCCCTGAAGCCTTTCCACATCTCCTTTTTCCTTCTTACCAGCTGTTTACATGCCAGGAATCCTTGCTTGTCTCCTCGTCCTCTGGATCTGCTCCTTGGAGATGGGACTGTGTCTTTTCTGCTTTCCCAGGAGCAAACCCAAAGGTTATGGGAGGAGTGAAGTGCAGGTGAAAGCAAACCTCTGGTTCTGCATCAACACCAAGGAAATCACTGAGTTTCACTTGAGTGTGTGGATGGAAATATCAGGGCTGCTTTTTTTCAGTTTCCCAAAGCACATCCTGCAGAATGTCTGTCCACTTGGAAACCTGAGCTCTCTAGTCTTGAGTGAGCTCCACGCTCATGGCCTGTGTGCTGGAGAACCAAATGGAGGTGGCTGGAAGCCAAGGCAAAGCCCCTGCAGAGAGGCCCACTCCCAGGAGGCTTGCAGGTGCTTGGCCACACTCAGGGGAAAAGGACCCCTCCTTCTCCACAGCCCTGGGCCAGGCCTCTCCCTCTTCCTGTTCCCTTCTGCATAGCAGCAGCCTGGCAGTATGTGTTCCCCAGTGTGGGTTCAACAGCATCACCAGCCAGGAAACCCTCACACCCAGAACTTGGTTTTGGGTCTTACTCTTCAAAGCCCTGGTGCTGAGCCATGGAAAGAGACACAGTCCCCCGTGAGATGGCATAAGTATAAATTCACAAAAGGCTTGAAGACACACCCTCAGGGCAGTTCTTAAATCCCCTGGGGGCTTGCGATCCACACAGACATTGTGCCCCATAAGTGTGTGAAGGTGGGTCAGCCAGTCAAGAGAAGGCCAGGAACCCAGTGTCTATTCAGCACTTTGCTGAATTCCCTATGTCCATCTTGGTTCTGGTTTACTCCTAGAGCGTGCAAAAGCTCAATTCTCAGGCAAAGTCGTCTGTTGCCATGTTCCAAAGCTTTATTTAACTCATCAGTAAGGGAACCAGCAAAAAGACAAATGATCTGGCTCCACAAGCATTTGGTAACTGGGATCTTTTTTTGAGACGGAGTCTCGCTCTGTCGCCCAGGCTGGAGTGCAGTGGTGCGATCTTGGCTCACTGCAAGCTCCACCTCTCGGGTTCACACCATTTTCCTGCCTCAGCCTCCCTAGTAGCTGGGACTACAGGCGCCCGCCACCACGCCCGGCTAATTTTTTTGTTTTTTGTTTTTTTTTTTTCAGTAGAGACAGGGTTTCACCGTGTTAGCCAGGATAGTCTTGATCTCCTGACGTCATGATCCACCCGCCTTGGTCTCCCAAAGTGCTGGGATGACAGGCGTGAGCCACCGCACCCAGCCAGTAACTGGGATTTTTAAGGTCAGTTGGGAAACAAATGCGGAAATAAGATGCTAAGTTAAGGCAAACCTCTACAAAGCAATGAAAAAAATGCCAAATTTGGAGTTAACTTGTTTACTAGGCAGTAAAAGTCATAAGCTATCAATTCTGCAGGCTAATCTCACAGGGCTGTAAACCTCTTTATTTTAACCAATTGTGAATGATTAGATAAATATTTGTCACACTGCTCAAGAGCTTCAGAATGGGATCAATCAGACTTATTTGCATTCTAGCAGAATATCACAGATTCCAGAAATCATCATTTTTCCCTTTTTCAAGTTTGGAATCAACGTTTCCATAACAATCAGCTAAAATATGGTGATTGACAAGTTGTGAGTGATCACGTAGCACCGGGTGAAGGTGCTGCTTTTTGGCCTGCACAATGCACTTGAGCTCCGGTGTAGATACTGCAAGGCCATGTGTGGGAGGCAGCTTCTGACACAGCTCCCAAGCATTCCTGCCTCCTGACATCGCATCTTTGTGTTGTCCCCTGCCCTTGGGTGTGGGCTGGACATGGTGACTTGCTGTTAATAAACAAAATACAGCAGAAGTGACAGATGTCACTTCCAAGACCAGGATACAAACACTGCGACTTCTGTCTTGCTCAGGCTCTCTCTGACTCTTCTCACGTGGTTGCTCTGATGAAACAACTCTGATGTTGTGATCTCACCTATGGAAAGGCCCACGTGGCAAAGAACTGAGCTTCTTAGTTCAACAACCCTCAGAAACAATTCTGTGAATGATCACATGAGTAAGCTTGGAAGAGAATGCTTCCTCATTTGAGCCTTCAGACGAGACTGCAGCCTCAACTCACATTTTGGTTGCAGCCTTGTGAGAGACCCTGAGCTAAGGTGCACTCTGACTTCTGCCCCACAGAAATGGTGAGATTATGAATATGTGTTATTTTAAGTCCCTAAATCTGGGAGTTGTCGTTTCACAGCAATAGGTAACTGATGCAGCATCCATGAAATTTATAGTGTTGATTGTTCTTGGATATATGCTTCTCAGCAGAGCTGTGTTTCATCTTTGCCAGCTTCTCCCATCTCCTTTCTCCTGCTTCTCTACTCCCGCTTTCCTATTATTTATTAATCTTCCTTTCTTTATTCCCACTCCATTTGAGTTCCACTTCTCTGCAACTGTAATTGCATCCTTGGCCATTGATTAGGGAGGCTTAACTAGAGGCACCTTATTTGTGGAGACAATGTGCAAGTCAGAAAGATTCCCCATCCTTGGCCAGTAGCAAAATCGTTTTCTTTGTTGAAATCAATTGCTTCCAACTTACTGTGGCTACATCATCCAGGGCTGCAATGCTTCTTATTTGGTCTTGAGCCAATGCTTAGTGTTTGAATGAAATTGGCTTTACCATTCTTTCCTCAGGGGAGTGTGGACAAATAAATTTTCTGCTTAAGAATGCAGTTTCTTTCTGACTCAAACAGCTGATCCTATAAACTTGGACTTCATAGTCATCAGTTTCAATTCAGAACCAACCTTTTAAAAATTATATGTTATTTTGATATAAAAAGTACCAAAAGCAAATCTTCTGAAGGAATAGAACTCCAGACGGTTTTGTTAGGTTTCCAAGGTTATTAATCTAAGAATATGTTGCAAATAAATACATAAATAATGGCCACAATAATCATAATCATACCTATCTTTTTAATTTTTTTATTTCTGTGGGTGTATAGTAGATGTATATATTTATGAGGTACCTATCCTTTTTTTGGTACTTGCTATGTGCCAGGCACTATGCTATGTAATCACCACCACAACCATATTAAAATAGAAACTGCTATCCTCATTTCAAAACTGAGTCAGTGAGAACCAGGGACTACACATAAATTGTCCCCAGGAATTTTTGGAATACCTGCATGGATTTGTATTTATATAAGTGTTTCTAGTGACTAAAAATGAAAACCCAAGAAACTAAAGAAGAAAACAATTACTAGATTATTAGGTCATAAAGTTGACAGGGTATTATAGAAAGCTGGGTGGGTTCTTCAGAATCCACCTATCTCACTGTTATCTATTTTAAAAGTTCAGAGCCATACATGATGACAGATATTTATTTCCTTTATGTTTATTTTTTTATTTTGGAAAATTGTTTATTCTATTTGAAAAGATAGACACTAAAATAAAACACTGAATTTTACCAGTCGCTGACATGTGTAAGTAGTCCACTAATATGGGCCGATAAGAAAGCCCAAAAGCTGAAATTCTCCTGTATTTGTGAAATCTAAATTATTTTTTCTTAATGGAAAGAGCCACTGCCGTTGACTATCTTGATTCCACTTACTCTAAGTGGTCTGGAAACTTCCAAGTATAAGCAACCAGCCCACTGGAATTTCTAACCAAATGTCCCTTAGACACCCTTCCCTGTGTCCCTTTTTAACACGCACAGTCACACACAGTTATGCGAATGTGCACATACATTCATACACACATGCGCATGCAAACATGCACATATATTCACACACACTCAACATAAACATGCACACAGAAGTCACAAATACACATACACACTATTAAACACATGCACACTCACATGGACATGCACACACACAGCACATGCATGCACATGCTCACACATGGACACCTAAACATACAGGCACACCTAGTCTATGATCCATTCAGAGTTAATTTTTATATATGGTGTAAGATGTAGATTGAGTTTACTTTACTGAAGTCCATTTGCTCCAGCATCATTTTTTGGAAAAGTCTATCTTTTCTCCATTGGATTGTCTTTGTGCCTTTGTCAAAAATCAGTTGTCTTTTGTTTTAGTAGTAAACGTGTCTATCCTTTACTATCCCAATACTATACTGTCTTGGCCACAGGAGGTTTATAATGCATCTTAAAATCAAGTGTGCGAGTCCTCTAACTTTTTTCTTTTTCAACGTTGTTTTGGCTAATCTAGTTTATCTTTCTATATAGATTTAGAATCAGCTTGTCTGTGCCTACAAAGAAACCTGCTGGAATGTTGACTGGGATTGCACTGAATTTATAGATCAGTGTGACTATACTTGACATCTTAACTGTGGTATATCTTACAATCCATAAAAACAATACATCTCTCTATTTAGGTCAATTTTGGTCTCTTTTGTCTGAATTTTGTGAATTCCTTAGTTAGAATTTTTGACTGTGTCCTGGCTCTGTTGTTCTCCAGGTCTACATGGACCCTGTTCCCTTTTTCTAGCTTTGCACCACTGTCCATACCTCTTCCCCAATTACATGGAGCTCAGCCCTCCACTTTGCAAAATCCCCAGTCCTCTGTGGTTTTCAGATGAGATGTCACTTCCTCAGAGCCTCTCTCACTCTCTCCTCCACTCCAGTCTAGCATGGGTGCCCTTCCCTTGTGCCTGACACCATCTTGTCTCTCATAGCTCTAAGCATCATATAACTGCCTCATTAATTTGCTTTTTAGGCCAGCAGCCCAAATACTCTTAGAAGGTAGAGACCCTGCCTAATTTTAGGTTGTATCCCTAGCACATAACACAGAGCAATGGCCCAGTTAATGGCAGCTGAGTGTAAGAATGGAGCAATGAAAGAGTGAAAGGAACTGAAAAGGGGGAAGTAAACTAGCCTTGAGTGAGGCTCTGCTCTGTGTCAAGCACCATGAAGGTAGGTCAACAGTGGTCAATAGAAATTAGACTGTCAGAGAGAAATTAGACAGTCATTATTAGACAGTGAAACACAGTCAGACAGAAAGGTATAGAGGGAGAAAGGAAAGGAGGGAGGGGGATATATAGACAGACATTCAGGCAGGTTTTGGATAATCAGATAAATACATTCATAGGCATACGGGTAGATATGCACACAAACAAGATAGATTGAAAGACATACAGACAAGGAAAAACATTGAGACTCCAGATGGACAGACAGAAAAACAGAGAGTTTCTAGCATAGAGAGACAGACAGGTGGTCATATAGACAGATATATAGCACAAAGACCTACAGACATACTGACAAATAGACACCCAGAAACATGCATAGGTGGGTGGCTGGGTGGGTGGGTGCATGGATGGATGGATGGATGGAGACAGGTAGAAATAGACAGGATGGCAGAAAGAAAGAAACATGGATAGTTAGACATCTACTTAGCAGACACATGACCAACAGAAGGGGAGACAGAAAATCAGGAAAGAGGAAGGCAGACAGACAATGAGAAAATTAATAAGAAAGATAGATACATACGGACAGGAAAAAATATATATCAAAAGATACATAGGTAGGTAGGTAGGTGGGTGGAACAAGAAAGGGAGAGATAGAATATAGATTGAAGATAGATGATAGGTGGACAGACAGGCAGGCAGACCGATACATATATTTTTATTTAGGTTTATTTAAACTTAACAAATTTCTAAGAAAGATATGGTATCTTCCGCATGTATTGATGGGGAAGTGGATTCACAGGGGTTTAGTGACTTCCTAAAGACCACACTTGAAGAGAATGGCAAAACCTCAACTCAAAACTAGCCCTGCCTTTCCCCGGGGTTTGTGCCAGCACAGCCTGCATGGATTCTCCAGCCCACATCACTTCAGCTGCTAAACAAAGTGCACCTTTCTACTCTTCTCTTGCTTGCATCTGCCTCCATCTGGAGCCCAGTCCCCTGTCATTTCTTGTATCTTATTTAATAGTTTCAGTAGGAAATGATGCTTGAAGTATGGTTTATTATGTGAGCAGGGGACAAAGAGTTTGGGAGGCCTTAAAGTAGAGATGAGTGTCCTGCTCCTTCCCTCCCGGGTCCTGAGCTCCTAAGAGCCCTCATGACCATAGCCAGTTTTCCTTCTGGACAGTTTTCTACCCATGAGACCTTTTTCCCGTTAGTATTGTTTAATCACGCTATAACACATTAATATCTTAGAGACACTTTCATGATGACACCTGTAATGTAGTCCAGGTACTGATATAATAGGCTTGATTCAGTCAATCTCCTATGGACAAACTTTTTTTACATTTCCAGCTATGCTGTAGGGAACATCCTTAGACATGCCTCTTTGTACACATAATTAGAGTGTTCTCTCAGGAAGATACTGAATGGCAGAATTGTACAGTTACAATTCTATATTAAAATGTGTATTCTATATTAAAAACAATTTTAGATACTAAAAAAATGCCCCCTGCTGACCTCACCACTAGCCCAATATTCTCCTACTAGCAATGTTAAAAACTACCAATTTCACTTCACCAGGACTTGATGTTTTCAGGCTTTTTTTCCCTTGCCAATTTGATGCATGAGGGCTTGGGTGAGGGTGGTTAGTGATTATCTTGTCGAATTTGTATTTTCATCATTATGACTAAGGTTGATTCTCTTTTCATTTGTCGACTAGTCATTTGAGTTTCCTGTAAATTACACAATCATATAATATGCCAATTTTTTAATTGGTCCTTTGAATACCAATGCCTTGTTTTTATGTTTTTTCCAGAACTTCTTATTCTGTTATGTAACTTTAAAATATCTATGATTTTTTTCTCATATAGAACTTTGTTTATTGTCTTTGGTTTTTGCTATTATCAGTTTTATCAACTTTATTTTGATGGTGTATTAGTCTGTTTTCACACTGCAATAAAGAGCTGCCCAAGATTGGGTAATTTATAAAGGAAAGAGGTTTAATTGGCTCACAGTTCAGCATGGCTGAGGAGTCCTCAGGAGACTTACAATCATGGCGGAACGTGAAGGGGAAGCAAGGCACATTTCTTTACAGGGCAGCAGGAAGGAGAAATGCAAGCAGTGGAAATGCCAGGCACTTAGAGAGCCATCATATCTCATGAGAACTCATTCACTATCATGAGAACTCACTCACTATCATGAGAACAGCATGGGAGAAACCACCCCCATGATCCAATGACCTCCACCTGGTCCCACCCTTGACACATGGGGATTACAATTCAAGATAAGATTTTGGGTGGGGACATAGCCAAACCATATAATTCCACATCTGGCCCCTTCCAAATCAAATCTCATGTTCTCACATTTCAAGACACAGTCATGCCTTTCCAACAGTCCCCCAAAGTCTTAACTTATTCCAGCATTAACCCAGAAGTCCAAGTCCAAAATTTCATCTGAGACAAGGCAAGTCCCTTATGCCTATGAACCTGTAAAGTCAAAAGCAAATTAGTTACTTCCTAGATACAATGGGGGTACAAGCATTGGGTGAATACAGCCATTCCAAATTGGAGAAATTAGCCAAAACAAAGGGGCTGCAGGCCCCATGCAAGTCCAAAATCCAGTAGGGCAATGTTAAACCTTAAAGTTCCAAAATGATCTCCTCTGACTCCATGTCTCACATCCAGGTCATGCTGATGGAACAGGTGAGCTCCTACAGCCTTGGGCAGCTCCATCCCTGTGGTATTGCAGGGTATAGACCCGCTCCTGGCTGCTTTCACAGGCTTGTGTTGAGTGTCTGCGACTTTTCTAGGTGCACAGTACAAGCTGTTGGTGGATCTACGATTCTGGGATCTGGAGAATAGTGGCTCTCTTCTCACAGCTCCACTAAGCAGTGCCTCAGTGGGGACTCTTGTGTGGGGGCTGTGACCCCACATTTCCCCTCTGCACTGCCCTAGCAGAGGTTCTTCATGAGGGCTTTGCCCCTGCAGCAAACTTTTGCCTGGACATCCAAGCATTTCCATAGATCCTCTGAAATCTAGGCAGAGGTTAACCTCAATTCTTGACTTCTGTGCAGCTGCAGGCCAACCACCACATGAAAGCTGCCAAGGCTTGGGGCTTGCACCCTCTGAAGCAACAACCTGAGCTGTACATTGGCCCGTTTTAGCCACAGCTGGGACACAGGGCACCAAGTCCTGAGACTGCACAAAGCAGCAAGGCCCTGGGCCCAACCCACAAAACCGTTTTTTTCCTCCTAGGCCTCCTGGCTTGTGATGGGAGGGGCTGCTGTGAAGACCTCTGACATGCCCTGGAGACATTTTCCCCATTATCTTGGTGATTAACATTTGGCTCCTCATTACTTATGTACATTTCTACAGCCAGCTTGAATTACTCCTCAAAAAATTGGTTTTTCTTTTCTATCGCATTGTCAGGCTGCAAATTTTCTGAACTTTTATGCTCTGCTTCCTTTTAAACATAAGTTCCAATTCCAAACCATATCTTTGTGAATGAATAAAACTAAATGCTTTTAAGAGCACCAAGTCATCTCTTAAACACTTTGCTGCTTAGAAATTTCTCCCACCAGATACCCTAAATCATCTCTCTCAAGTTCAGAGTTCCACAGATCCCTAGGGCAGGGGCAAAATGCCACCAGTCTCTTTGCTAAAGCATAAAAAGGGTCACCTTTGCTCCAGTTCCCAACAAGTTCCTCATCTCCATCTGAGACCACCTCAGCCTGGACTTGATTGTCCATCTCACTGTCAGCATTTTGATCAAAGCCACTCAGCAAGTCTAGGAAGTTCCAAAGTTTCCCACATCTTCCTGTCTTCTGAGCCCTCCAAACTGTTCCAACTTCTGCCTGTACCCAGTTCTAAAGTCACTTCCACATTCTTGGGTATCTTTATAGCAGCACCCCACTCTCTGTGATACCAATTTACTCTATTAGTCTGTTTTGATACTGCTATAAAGAACTGCCTGAGACTGGGTAATTTACAAAGGAAAGAGATTTAATTGACTCACAGTTCAGCATGGTTGGGGAGTCCTTAGGAAACTTACAATCATGGTGGAAGGTGAAGGGGAAGCAAGATACCTTCTTTACAGGACAGCGGGAAGGAGAAATACAAGCAGGGGAAATGCCAGGCACTTATAAAAACCATCAGATCTCATGAGAACTCACTCATTATCATGAGAACAGCATGGGGGAAACCACCCCCATGATCCAATTACCTCCACCTGATCCCACCCTTGACACATGGGGATTATGGGGATTACAATTCAGGATGACATTTTGGGTGGGGACACAGCCAAACCATATTGGATGGACCTTCACTTTTTAGCTCTTAAAAAGGCTTTATTTATTAGTTAGGGCTGGCTAAATGCTAAAATGAACATCCCCACAAATCTCAGCACTTTAACACAAGGCAGCTTTATTTCTTGCCATGTGCCAGCCTGATAGAGACCACACCATCATGTAGGGACCCACATTTCTCCCATCCAGCAGCTCTACTATCCCCTGGAGTCACTGACTCTCTGCTGAATCCTCTCTAATGAGCTGAGCTGGCAAATAAGAGATAAGGGAGAAGTGGGGATGCAGTGGGAGACTGGGGCCAGGCCTGGAAATGGCTCACGTTCCTTCCATGCCATATTCTATTTTCATGGAACTTAAGTCACGTGGCCACACCTTGCTTGGCCTTGGGAGGCCAAGAAATGTGACCTAGAAACACAAAGGCAAGGGCCATGGTCAACATCAGGCAGGGTCTCCAGCACACTTTATTACCGCAAGGTCATAAATGTATTCACCTATACTTTTCTCTGGCACACTTACAGTTTTACTTCTTGTCTATGTGTATTTAATTCCTGTGGAATTTGTTGGTCAGTGATATGATGTAGGGAATCTTGCTTTATTTTTTCCAATTAGGTTTCCAACTTATTTTATAAATTTTATAATGTGGTCCTTTTCCCACAGGTTTTTCAGAAATTTGGGATTCCCCACGTGTGTCATTCTGTCAGTTAGCGATGCTTTCAGCTTCGTTGGAGATGTTTAATTTCACAAGACAGAGTTGGGAGCCAGTGCACCATTGGGTTGACTGCTCAGTGATGTCATGGCAGCATCTTTCAGGTTCTCTTGACCCGTCCCTCATGGTCACAGGCCAGCACAGCTTCTCGTATCACATCACTTCAAGGTGGAAGGATTCTATGCATACCTCTTAGGAAAGCAAAACATTTGCCAAAAGTAGCCTAGCAGATTTCCTGTTGCATTTTGGCAGCTCATGGAGGAGAAAGAACTGGCCACATGGATACTTTTAGCTGCAGGAAAAACTGGTAAAGCAGAAGTCAGAATTGTCTTGATTCACTTAGCCCAATCATCAGCCCATGTATTAAGCCCGTGGATTTACTACATGGGGCTGAGCACATTGTAGCCATGAGCAAAAGCAAAGGTCTGTTGGCAATAAGGAAGGGGAATGGGTATTGGATGGGAAGTTAAGGGCATCTGCCATTATCATCTACCAAATTCTCTCTCTCTTCTCCCACTACCCTCACACATCTCTGCATTTTCTGTTCTCCTCCACAGGTCCATGTGTCTCTGTCTGTTCCTGTGTATCCATCACTTTAGTCACAATATCTTTATGTGTGAAGTGTGGGAGAACAAACATGCAACTTATTTTCTTCAAAATTGTCTTGGAATTACTGGCTTATTCTTCTAAGTTTTAGAAACTGTTTGTCAGCTTCCACAAAAAATTCTGTATTGATTGCATTCAATTTATTATACATATTAGAGAGGAACTGGCAACTTACCAATATAGTCTTCCCATCCATTTATTGAAGTTCTCTTTCTATACCTCATTAAAGATTTATTGTTTTCTGCAAAGGAAAAAAAATAAAGGTTTCCTTCTTTTTGTGTGTTTTTCCTAATTAACTTACAGGATATTTGGTGGGGGTTGGTTGGCTATTATGAAATAGATCTTTTTGTGTTGTTTTTAAAATTCTAACTTGGCTAATGTTGACATGTAGGAAAAGTGTTGATTTTTGGATGTTGATCTTGTTCCAGCCATTTAAAATGTTCTCATTTGTTACAATACTTAGTCATGAGTTTGTTCTAAACCTTGATGGAAATGCTTCTAAAGTTTTCATTATTAGGTCTGATAAGTCCTAAAAAATTAGAATCAATATCATTTAATAAGTAGAAAAAAAGGTTCCTTCTATTCCTGGTTTGTTTCAACGTGGTATAATGAATAACTGTGGGCTTTTTGGCATCTTTTAAGATGACCGTATGGTTTTTCTCCTCAAATTTGTTAAGATAGTGTATTGGCATGAGAATCATGTTTGGCTGTTAGTAACAGAGAGGAGACATTATGGCAGATTTAACAAGAGGAGAATTCACTTCTCTCACATGTACGAGAATGAGGCACTCCAGGGTTGGTAATGGCATCTCTAGAACCCCACAGACTCATCTCTTTCCACCCTAATAACCCCCACAACCAAGCACCCAAGATGGCTGCAGCAGCTCCAAGGCTCTAATTTGTCTCTTTATGTCTTTTTCTGTGTTATGGACTCATTTGCTAATCTTTAATTTTAAGTTGTACATCTATGTTTATAAATGGTATTTGCCTTGGGTTTTTTTTTTCTATTGCCTCTTTTCTAGTTCAGACCTCTAAGTCATTTTACCTTTGTCTATCAATTAGGAATACATTCAGCTACAAGTAACCAGACATTTGACTTAACTGGCTTGAAAAAATAGATACTTAGATGAGAAGTATAATAAGAAGTCCACGGGTGGACTGTCTACGGCTGGTGCAAGTGTTCCATGATACCATCGGAAATAGCTTCCTACTCCACCCAACTTTTCTTGGGTTTTGTCCTCTTGCATTATGTTTTGTACTCCCAGAATGGTGGGTGGACTTGCAGATGTTATTTCCTCACTCAAGGCAGAAAGAAGGGGAAAAAGGCATCATGAGAAAGGACTATTCCATTTAAGCCTGTCTCTTTCTATCAGGTAAGCAAGTGCTTTCCTCTAAACCCAACCAGTTGGAAACCCAACCATTTCCATCAGGTAGACTGGATCGTCGTCCAGCATGGCACATGCAGATTGGTGAATCACAAGTCAGGGAATAACGGGCTTTTACCAATTGCATTTCATCCCTGGGTGCTAGGAATTTTGTCTGTCTTTTCTGAAATCCAGGGTCTCAACTGCTCCCTGATAAACCAAGATTCAGTCTGCAGTAGGTGCAAGGGTATGCAGTGGACAACATCTAAGAAGCTGGGCTAGCACCTGCCCGTTGCCTTCTAGGCTCTGGATGCCAATTTTTTGTATCTTCATTTATTTTCCTAAAGCATGTCATTCCTGTCAGTTCTGTCTTCTGAAATTCTCATCAGCCTCCCACTGGCCTCATAACATAGGTAAGCTACTCACCCTGGCAGCCCCCAGGGCTGGCCCTCACCTTCATCCCCAGCCTCTTGGCCACCGGCTCTCCTGGACACACTGGGGTATCTGTGCCCGGCCAACACCCATGCTGCTCATCCAGCCCAGAATGCCCTCTTTGCACTTTTCCTTAATCCTCCTAAAAAATTTATCTTACCTTCAGCTGTCTTCATCTGCCAGGCACAGAGAACTGTTCCTTTCTTATATTCCAATGGGTTTACTTGTAAGCAGTATTAGAGTACTGATTCCAATCTAGGTGGAATTTTGGGTATTTTCATGTCTGCCCATCAGAATGGAGTATGAAGGTAGGTTTAGTGTTTTTAGTTTCCTTTTGTTCATTTATTCAGCATACTTATTATCCGGTATATTCCAGCTTGTGGTGATGTTAAGACAAATAAAACATGAACCCTGTCCTCCAGGGCAGCCTTCACAGAGAGAAGAAGGAGGCAAGTAGGTTGGGGTGACAGCTCAATGCGCAAAGTGTGCCCCAACACTTGTCACAATGACAATGGCAGGCCAGGAAAAGAGGCTGACCCATTAGGCTGTCTTTTCCTTGAAAATAAGGTGCCTTTACCCAGAAGAACTGATTTAATGATTGGAATCGATAGGAAAAGTAGCAACCTGATTTGTAAGGTTTTTGGATTTTTTTTAAACCCTTGTCAATGGCACATTGGTCTGATTCAGGCACATATTTTATGCCAGTGTAACAGCTAGATTTGTGAGCCTGAAGAATAAAAACATAAATCTTTCAAAGCAAAGCGGCCTTGCAAGCATTCCAATGCTGAGGGTTTAGAATTGTCAGTCAAGCTCTGCTGCGCATTTTCAGGGATGAGATAATCTCTGTGACATGGAGGTTCTCGTGTAAGGTGATCTTTTCAGGGTGTGGGCACATTACACTGTTGCAAGATTGTAGTTTTCTACAAGTCAGAACAAGTGTTACCATGTTTTGGGTCCTTACAAAGTTCACTTTCATGTTTAAGACTTTTCTTCAAAACTATTGATTATTATTCCTTGTGGATACTTTAGGAATTGTCTACAAACTAGTCCAAATTTAGAATGGTTGGACTTAGGATTTTCTAACTTTAGGATAGATTTCTTGGGAGGTTACCCCATCATAAGTCAAGGAGCTTCTGGACTTAACGATGGTTCGACTTATTTCAGCTTTAAGATGGATTTATTGGAATATTAAATTCATTTTCAACTTAATGTATTTTCAACTTAAGGTAAGTTTATTGGTGTATAACCCCATCATAAATTGAGCATCTGTAGTTTTTATGAACAGTCTGTAACCTTTTTGGGATCCTAAGCCCATGACTGTAATGACAGCTATACACTTGCTGTCATAGGAGGAACCCTGGAAGAATTCTATATGCCATTGATGAGTATATCATTTCAGTGCACACAGGAGAAGACTTCAGTAGGTCCTACACTTACTGCTATTCCCAAATATGTAAATTTTAAAAGAGACTTTTCTTCCATCTTTCCATACTGGGAGAAAACTATGGGAAGGTACAACTGAGTGAGTGTCAACTAAGGAAATGTTTTGCTTCCAATCATGCATCTATGCACATAATATATTTCAAAGGCACCAGATGTTTTGACCTGACACCTTTTGAAGACACCCCGTTCCATTGTAAAGGGATGGTATTGTGTGATGGAACAATGGTGACTTTTGGATCAAAGTGAGTCTATGTGGGAATCCTTACTCTGCCACTGGGCACTCTGGGCTTTAGTAAAGTGGAACTAAACCACTGTCCCTGTGGAATTGTTGCCTGTAGGAGAGTTAACTCACCCTTAAAGCAGTAAGCACGATCAATGTAATTGTGGGCACTCAGCAAGTAACATTTATTTTCCTTAGTGAGATAGATAGGGGATTTAGGCCCATGGGAAGAATCTTTTTAACTCCATTCAAATAAATTTGAAAACCAAGTTAAGATGGATAAATCTCTAGGAAAATATGACCTAACAAAATTAAACCATATAGAGATAGAAAGACTGGGCAGAGCAATTTCCACAGGAAAAAATTAGAGGAAGGTGTAAAAGAGCTCCCTGAAAAAGAAGGACCAGGAAGATTGATTTGTGGGTCAAATCTACCAACCTTCAGATATCGAATGGCCCTGGTGCTACTTAGGTTAATCCAGAGCATTGAAAATAAAGTGAAACTTTCAATTTTGTTTTATGTATATAATATTAACTATAAAGCCTGACAACGATTACACATAAAAGTAAAAACCATAGCTCAATCTAGTTTATTAATATTAATTTAAGAATTTTACAGAAAACCAAATGCCGCGTGTTCTTACTTAAAAGTGGGAGCTAAGCATTAAGTACACACGGACTCAAAGAAAGGAACAACAGACTCCGGGACCTACTTGAGGATGGAGGGTGGGAAGAGGATGAGGATAAAAATACTACCTAGCAGGTCCTATGCTTATTACCTGGGTGGCAAAATAATCTGTACACCAAACCCCCATGACATGCAGTTTACGTATATCACAAACCTGTGCATGTCCCCCGAGCCTAAAGTAAAAGTTAGAAAAAAATAAACAAGTATTATGGGAATCGTTTAAAAAAGAGTTTTAAATAAAAATTAGCAAAACCAAATCAAAAAGCACATAAAAAGAAACATCAATGAATGATTAAAGGAGATTTATTCCAGAAACATGAGTTAGGTTCAGTATTAGGAAGCACATTAATATAATTCATCATATTAGTAGATTTTATGAAAAAAATAGTATGAAAGTCAACATCTATCCATAATAAAACCACTCAGTAGAAGAGGTTCATGTATACCTTTTAAACGTGTGTGTCACTACCCAACTTCAAACTATACTACAAGGCTACAGAAACCAAAACAGCATGGTACTGCTACAAAAAACAGACACATAGACCAATGGAACAGAATAGAGATCTTGGAAATAAGACCACACATCTGCAACCATCTGATTTTTGACAAAAACAAGCAATGGGGAAAGGATTCCTTATTTAATAAATGGTGCTGGGAAAACTGGCTAGCCATATGCAGAAAATTGAAACTGGATCCCTTCCTTACACCTTATACAAAAATTAACTCAAGATGGATTAAAGATTTAAATGTAAAACCCAAAACTATAAAAACCCTAGAAGAAAATCTAGGCAATGCCATCTAGGACGTAGGCATGGGCAAAGATTTCATGGCAAAAACATCAAAAGCAATTGCAATAAAAGCAAAGATTGGGATCTAATTAAACTAAAGAGCTTCTGCACAGCAAAGGAAGCTGTTGTCAGGTGAACAGACAGCCTACAGAATGGGAGAAGATTTTTTTTTTTTTTGAGACGGAGTCTCGCTTTGTCCCCCAGGCTGGAGTGCAGTGGTGCAATCTCGGCTCACTGCAAGCTCCGCCTCCCGGGTTCATGCCATTCTCCTGTCTCAGCCTCCCAAGTAGCTGGGACTACAGGCGCCCGCCACCACGCCCGGCTAATTTTTTTTTTGTATTTTTAGTAGAGACGGGGTTTCACCTTGTTAGCCAGGATGGTCTTGATCTCCTGACCTCGTGATCCGCCCGCTTCGGCCTCCCAAAGTGCTGGGATTACAGGCGTGAGCCACCGCGCCCGGCCGGGAGAAGATTTTTATAATCTAGCCATCTGATAAAGGTCTAATATCCAGAATCTACAAGGAACAAATTTACAAGAAAGAAACAAACCCATTAAAAAGTGGGCAAAGGATATGAACAGACACTTCTCAAAAGAAGACATTTAGGTGGCTAACAAACATATGAAATAGAGCTCAACATCACTGGTCATTACAGAAATGCAAAGCAAAACTGCAATGAGATACCATCTCGTGCTAGTCAGAATGACAATTATTAAAAAGCCAAGAAGCAACAGATGCTGGTGACGCTGTGGAGAAATAAGAATGCATTTATACTGTTAGTGGGAATGTAAATTAGTTCAACCATTGTGGAAAACAGTGTGGCGATTCCTCAAAGACCTAGAACCAGAAATAACATTTGACCCGGCAATCCCATTACTATATATACCCAAAGGAATACAAATCATTCTGTTATAAAGATACATGCATGTGTGTGTTCATTTCAGCAGTATTCACAATAGCAAAGACATGGAATCAACCCAAATGCCCATCAGTGATAGACTGGATAAAGAAAATATGGGATCTTCATGGCTCTGACTCAGATGGACACAGCAGCATTCCGAGGCTTGCATCGTGAATTTTTAGCTCCAGATCGACTGCAAGAACAAACCAGCAGTCCTGAGAGGACCCACAGACCCTCTGAAGGAAGCAGACTGCTCCTGCAGGACCCAGGAAACACCTCAAATACTGTGAGTGCTCACCTGCGGAAGTGGAAAAGGGAGATCCTGCTCTCCCGAACACACACCCCCAATGGAGAAATTGAAGGTCTGTTTGCAGGAGAAGTTTCCGACCTTAACTGGAGCTGAGTCAGTTTAAAGAACTGAGTGAAATACAGGGGTAGAGGAAGCAGTGGGAAAGGCCCTGGGAGCTCCCTGGGTCCCCAAGCAGGCCATTCCTGCCTGGCACCACAGGGATCCTTTGGGAGGGAAGCCAGAGGAGGGGGGAAAAACACCACAGGGAGAAGGAAGTCTCCAGCTGAACTTTGTAACAATTTGAACTGGGTGAGAAGCCTCTTTGCCAGAACTCAGGGGAGGGTGCGAATCTGTCCTGCAGACTCTCCACAGGCGGGGGTAGAACCAAGCCCTTTTCTTTCTAGCTGGGAAGCAGGTAACCTGGGGCAAGTTCTCAGCTCTGCTCACCCACTGCCTGGAAACAGACTTGGGGCTGTTAGGGGAGGCACAGTGGGAGAAGACCGGCCCTTCGGACTGCATGGCAGCTGGGTGAGGCCTGCGACTGCCGGCTTTCCCTCACTTCCCTGACAGCCTGCATGACTCAGCAGAGGCAACCATAATCCTCGTAGGTACACAACTCCATTGACCTGGGAACCTCACCCCCATCCCCCACAGCAGCCTCAGCAAGACGCACCGAAGGACAGTCTGAACTACGACACCCAACCCTGCCCCCACCTGATGGGCCTTCCCTATCCACCCTGGTAGCTGAAGATAAATGGCATGTAATCTTGGGAGTTCTAGGGCCCCACCCACCACTGGTTCTTCTCCATGCTACCACAGCTGATGCTCCCTGGAAAGTGCCATCTCCTGGCAGGTGGCCAACCATCACAAAAATAGGATATTAAACCACCAAAGCTAAGAATCCTTGCAGAGTCCATTTGACCCCACCACCAGCTCCAGGAGAACAGGTGCTGGTGTCCACAGCTAAGACACCCATAGATGGTTTACATCACAGGGCTCTGTACAGACAATACCCAGTACCAGTCTGGAGCCAGGTAGACTTGCTGGGTGGCTAGACCCAGAAGAGAGACAGCAGTCGCTGCAGTTTGGCTGGCAGGAAGCCACAGTTATAGGAAAAGCAGGAGAGTACTGCTACAATGGAACACGCCATGAGACAAAAGAATCTGAACAACAGCCTGCAGCCCTAGACCTTCCCTCTGACAGAGCTTACCCAAATGAGAAGAAACCAGAAAACCAACCCTGCTAAGATGACCAAACAAGGCTCTTTAACACCCCCCAAAAAATCACACTAGTTCACCAGCAATGGATCCAAACCAAGAAGAAATCTCTGATTTACCTGAAAAATAATTCAGGAGGTTAGTTATTAAGCTAATCAGGGAGGCACCAGAGAAAGGCAAAGCCCAATGTGAGGAAATCCAAAAAACAATAAAAGAAGGGAAGGGAGAAATATTCAAGGAAATAGAGAGCTTAAAGAAAAAACTATCAAAACTTCAGGAAACACTGGACACACTTATAGAAATGCAAAATGCTTTGGAAAATCTCAGCAATAGAATTGAACAAGTATAAGAAAGAAATTCAGAGCTCGAAGACAAAGTCTTTGAATTAATCCAATCCAACAAAGACAAAGAAAAAATAATAAGAAAATATGAACAAAGCCTCCAAGAAGGCTGGGACTATGTTAAACAACCAAACCTAAGAATAATCAGTGTTCCTGAGGAATAAGAGATTTCTAAAAGCTTGGAAAAATATATTTGGGGGGAATAATGGAGGAAAACTTCCCTGGCCTTGCCAGAGACCTAGTCATTCAAATACAAGAAGCACAAAGAACACCTGGGAAATTCATCTCAAAAAGATCATCACTTAGGCACATTGTCATCAGATTATCTAAAGTTCAGATGAAGGAAAGAATCTTAAGAGCTGTGAGACAGAAGCACCAGGTAACCTATAAAGGAAAACCTGTCAGACTAACAGCAGATTTCTCAGCAGAAACCCTACAAGCTAGAAGGGATTGGGGCCCTATCTTCAGTATCCTCAAATGAAACCATTTTCAGCTAAGAATTTTGTATGCAGCAAAACTAAGCATCATATATGATAGAAAGATACAGCCTTTCAGAAAATACAGAGAGAATTGACCACTACCAAGCCACCACTAGAAGAACTGCTAAAAGGAGCTCTAAATCTTGAAACAAATCCTAGAAACATATCAAAACAAAACTTTGTAAAGCATAAATCACACGGGACCTATAAAACAAAAATACAAGTTAAAAAGCAAAAACAAAAAATGAAAAAACCAAGGTACACAGGCAACAAATAGCACAATGAATGCAATGGTACCTCACATCTCAATAATAACATTGAATGTAAATGGCCTAAATGCTCCACTTAAAATATACAGAACTGCAAAATAAATAAGAACTCACCAATGAACTATCTGCTGCCTTCAGGAGACTCACCTAACACATAAGGACTCACGTAAACTTAAAGTAAAGGGGTGGAAAAAGGCATTTCATGCAAATGGACACCAAAAGCAAGCAGCAGTAGCTATTCTTATATCAGGCAAAACAAACTTTAAAGCAACAGCAGTTAAAAGAGACACAGAAGGACCATTATATAATGGTAAAAGGCCTTGTCCAACAGGAAAACATCACAATCCTAAACATACGTGCACCTAACACTGGAGCTCCCAAGTTTATACAACAATTACTAATAGACCTAAGAAATGAGATAGACAGCAACACAATAATATGGGGGACTTCAGTACTCCACTGACAGCACTAGACAGGTCATCAAGATAGAAAGTCAAAGAAACAATGGATTTAAACTATACCTTGGAACAAATGGACTTAACAGATATGTACAGAACATTTCATCCGACAACCACGGAATGCACATTCTATTCAACAGCACATGGAAGTTTCTCCAAGGTAGACCATATGATAGGCCTCAAAATGAGCCTCAGTAAATATAAGAAAATTAAAGTATATCAAGCACTCTCTCAGACCACAGTGGAGGCAAACTGGAAATCAATTCCAAAAGGAACCTTCAAAACCATGCAAATACATGGGAATTAAATAACCTGTTCCTGAATGAGCATTGGGTCAAAAATGTAATCACGATGGAAATTTAAAAATTATTCAAACTCAACGACAATAATGACACAACCTATCAAACCTCTGGGATACAGCAAAGGGGATACTAGGAGGAAAGTTCATAGCCCTAAACACCTATCAAAAAGACTGAAAGGGCAGAAACTGACATTCTAAAGTCACACCTCAAGGAACTAGAGAAACAAGAACAAACCAAACCCAAACCCAGCAGAAGAAAGGAAATAACCAAGATCAGAGCAGAACTAAATGAAATTGAAACAAACAAAATACAAAAGATAAATGAAACAAAAGCTGATTTTTTGAAAAAATAAATAAAATTCAAGACCACTAGCAAGATTAACTAAGAAAAGAAGAGAGAAAATCTAAATAACCTCATTAAGAAACAAACGGGAGATATTACACCACAGAAATACAAAAGATGTGACACCACAGAAATACAAAGGATTATTCAAGGCTACTATGAACACCTTTACACACATAAACTAGAAAACCTAGAAGACATGGATAAATTCCTGGAAAAATACAATCCTCCTAGCTTAAATCAGGAAGAATTAGATACCCTGAACAGACCAATAACAAGCAGTGTGATTGAAATCTTAATTTAAAAATTACCAACAAAAGAAGTCCAGGACCAGATGGATTCACAGCAGAATTCGACGCTATTCCACAAGACAGAGAAAGAAGAAAGCCTCCCTAATTCATTCTATGAAGCTAGCCTCACCCTAATACCAAAACCAGGAAAGGACATAACCAAAAAAGAAAACTACAGACTGATATCCTTGCTGAACATAGATGCTAAAATCCTTAACAAAATACTGGCTAACAGAATCCAACAAAATATCAAAAAAAAAAATCCACCATGATCAAGTGGGTTTCATACGAGGGATGAAGGGATGATTTCACATACGCAAGTCAATAAACGCAATGTACCACACAAACAGAATTTGGAACAAAAATCACGTGATCGTCTCGATAGATGCAGAAAAAGCATTCAACAAAATCCAGCATCGCTTTATGATTAAAACTCTCAGCAAAATCGGCATACAAGGGACATACCTCAATGTAATAAAAGCCATCTGTGACAAACCCATAGCCAACATAATACTGAATGGGAAAAGTTGAAAGCTTCCCTCTGAGAACTGGAACAAGACAAGGATGCCCACTCTCACCACTCCTCTTCAACATAGTACTTGAAGTCCTAGCCAGAGCAATCAGACGAGAGAAATAAAGGGCATCCACATCAGTGAAGAGGCAGTCATACTATCACTGTTTGCTGATAATATGATTGTTTACCTTGAAAACCCTAAAGACTCCTCCAGAAAGCTCCTAGAACTGATGAAAGAATTCAGCAAAGTTTCTGGATACAAGATTAATGTACACAAATTGGTAGCTCTTCTATACACCAGGAGAGACCAAGCAGAGAATCAAATCAATAACTCAACCGTTTTTATAACAGCTGCAAAAATAAAATCAAATACTTAGGAATATACCTAACCAAGGAGATGAAAGACCTCTACAAGGAAAACTACAGAACACTGGTGAAAGAAATCATAGATGACACAAACAATTGGGAACACATCCCATGCTCATGGATGGGTAGAATCAATATTGAGAAAATGACCATACTGCCAAAAGCAATCTACAAATTCAGTGCAATCCCCATCAAAATACTGCCATCATTCTTCACAGAATTAGAAACAGCAATTCTAAAATTCGTATGGAACCAAAAAAAGAGCCTGCATAGCCAAAGTAAGACTAAGCAAAAAGAACAAATTTGGAGGCATCACACTACCTGCTTTCAAACTATACTATAAGGCCGTAGTCACCAAAACAGCGTGGTACTGGTATAAAAATAGGCACATAGAGCAATGGAAAACAATAGAGAACCCAGAAATACACCCAAATACTTACAGCCAACTGATCTTTGACAAAGCAAACAAAAACATAAAGTAGGGAAAGGATGCCCTTTTGAGCAAACGATGCTGGGATAATTGGCTGGCCACATGTAGGAGAATGGAACAGGATCCTCATCTCTCACTTTATACAAAAATCAACTCAAGAGGGATTAATGACTTATATCTAAGACCTGAAACTATAAAAGTTCTAGAAGATAACATTGGAAAACCCCTTGTAGACATTGGCTTAGTCAAGGATTTCACGAGCAAGAACCCAAAAGCAAATGCAATAAAAACAAAGATAAATAGCTGGGACTTAATTAAACTAAAGAGCTTTTGCATGGTAAAAGGAACAGCCAGCAGAGTAAACAGATACCCCACAGAGTGGGAGAAAATCTTCACAATCTATACATCTGACAAAGGACTAATATCCAGAATCTACCACAAACTCAAATCAGTAAGAAAAAAAAATCCCATCAAAAAGTGGGCTAAGGATATGAATAGACAGTTCTCAAAAGAAGATATACAAATGGCCAACAAACATGAAAAAATGCTCAAATCTCTAATGGTCAGGGAAATGGAAATCAAAACCACAATGTAATACCACCTTACTCCTGCAAGAATGGCCGTAATAAAAAAAAAAAATCAACAAACAGTAGATGTTGGCATGGATGTGGTGAACAGGGAATGTTCTGGTGGGAATGTAAACTAGTGCAGCCACTATGGAAAACAGTGTGGAGACTCCTTAAAGAACTAAAAGTAGAGCTACCATTTGATCCAGCAATCCCACTACTTGGTATCTACCCAGAGGAAAAGAAATCATTATACGAAGAAGATACTTGCACACGCATGTTTGTAGCAGCACAGTTCACAATTGCAAAATCATGGGACCAACCCAAATGCCATCAATCAATGAGTGGATAAAGAAACTATAGTATATTTATACAATGGAATACTAGTTGGCCATAAAAAGAAATGAATTAACATCATTTGCAGTGACCTGGATGAGACTGGAGACTATTATTCTAAGTGAAGTAACTCAGGAATGGAAAACCAAACATCGTATGTTCTCACTGATATGTGGGAGCTAAGCTATGAGGACGCAAAGGCATAAGAATGATACAATGGACTTTGGGGACTTGGGGGGAAGGATGGGAGGGGAGCAAAGGATAAAAGACTGCAAATAGGGTTCTGTGTGTACTGCTCAGGTGATGGGTGCACCAAAATCTCAAAAATCGCCACTGAAGAACTTACTCATGTAACCAAACACCACCTGTACCCCAATAACTTATGGAAAAATAAAAATTTTTTAAAGAAAATGTGGTACATATACATCATGGAATACTATGCAGCCATAAAAAGGAAACAGATCATGTCCTTTGCAGGGACATGGTTGGAACTGAAAGCCATTATCCTCAGCAAACTAACACAGGAACAGAAAACCAAACACCACATGTTCTCACTTATAAGTGAGAGCTGAACAATGAGAACACATGGACACAGGGAGGGGAACAACACACCCTGGGGCCTGTCGGGGGGTGGGGGGGATGGTGAGCATCAGGATAAATAATGCATGCAGGGCTTAATACCCAGGTGATGGGTTGATAGGTACAACAAACCACCATGGCACACGTTTACCTATGTAACAAACCTGCACATCCTGCACATGTATCCTGGAACTTTAAATTTTTAAAAACTTGTGTGTGTGTGTGTGTGTGTGTGTGTGTGTGTGTGTTTAGCCCAAGACCCCACACCCAGCATCTTTTTCAGTGTGGAAACACCAAAGTTATTTCCACTAAAGTTAGGAGCAAAGCAAAGATGCCCATAACATCTCATAGTATGTAATATTATATTGAATGCATTAATCAAGGAAATCGGACAGGATTTGGCAATAGAGGGATACTCCATCTCAAAAAAAAAAAGAGTTAACACAAACTATATTTGCATTTGATATGATTGTGTATCTGGAAAACTAAAAAAAACTGAAAATTTGCTATAAATTGTAAGAACTTAGTAAAATAGCAAGATATAAATTTAGCACACAGAAATCAATAGCTTTGATTTGAGCAGGATAAATTGAAAGAGTAACTGTGTAATATGCTATCATTCCTGATTTTATTAGGAACTAGGATTTGGTGTGGGAAGGAGGTTCATCTGTAAAAGAGATTAGGTTAAGTAAAAACTCCTAAGTCTTCAATTTGAATTGGAAATATTAGAATGAACTCAAAATTTGTTTTTAAAACAAACATATTTCTTAGCTGTCCAAGAAGTCCTGTAAACAATGACTAAACCACTAGTTATGGGTACACCAAGCATTCAGATTGTGGTCTTGAAAAACCATTCTCAATAAAAAAGACTCATAGTTCTTTGGAGAAATGTTGAATTCTAGATCCGGAACAGTAAATGTAGAAAAGGGACCTGAAACATTTTGTCACACAAGATATGTAGAAAAGACTCTATCAGCTACACTAGTGTCAAGGGAACTTGATTCAGGACTTAAGCATCAATAAAGACAACAACTGCTCTATATTGGATAGATTGAAATGCATAAAATATGTTTAAATCGACGAATGCAAAATATTTCAAAAAAAGAAGTAACAAATTGATCCCGTGGAAGGAAGCTAGTGAACCAACTTGTCCAAGTAAAATGATGAATTAAAAGGTCATAAATAAAGCATCTATCTTGCCTTTTCTATTAGGTGTCTACCACTGGGTGACCAAATAGTAGATTAGTAGAAATTTCCCTTTAAGAATTCCAGCTAATAAATAAAGAATGAATAAAAGAATTATGCTGCCAGTATACGCAACCCCTCTTGAATTGCTGGGTCTAGGCAATGATCATCAGTGGCTGCGACCATCACAGGCAGAGACAGATACTCAGTGCCAACTGATGGAAGAAGACAGCACCAAAGTGTGCCCCAAATTGAATCTGAATCTGATCGAGTCTTACATCCCAGTGCTGATTTACATGAAATAGAGAGGACAGAGGAGCATGTGACATGGCACCATAGGAGCAATCAGTAAAAGCCAGATGATAGAAAACTCTAGAGAAAAATATATATATAAGATTTTTCAACAAACAGAGGGAAAAAGACGGAGGCAAAATCTGTAGATTAAAAAAGACATATCAACCAATTACAATAAGAGATCTTACTTGAATTCTGATTCAAACAAACTGAAAAAGTAAATATGTGAACTTACAACATTTGATATCATTGGAAATTTGCACACTGGATATTGCACTGAAGAATTTTTGTTATTTTTAGGTGGGATTATGGTACTGTGGTTATGTTTTAAAGAGTCTTAGAGAGAGATGGAAGTAGTTGTGGATGAAATAATGTGTTATCTGGAATTTGCTTCAAAATTATGTGAGCAGGAGAAGGGTTGGAGATAGAGAAGAAGCATGGTTGGCTAAGAATTGATGATTGTCATGCCTGAGGCATGGGTACATTGGCTTTAATATCCTTTTCTGTCTACTTTTATACATATTTAAATTTTTATTAGAAAAATATTTTTAAAATATATACCATCAGGTAATTCTGTGTTCTCCTTGTTAGCCTAAAAATCTAAGCTCAAGAGTAGAGAGACTGGAATGTTGAGGTGCCATTTACAATTTCTAGTGCCCCACTTTCTCCTGTCAGTTAAACTACTGTTTAACTCGTATTAAGAACCATTGAAGAATTTGATATGTCATTGATGAGTATATCATTTCAATGCATGTAAGACAAAACCCCAGTAGATCCTACACTTACTGCTATTCCCAAAGTTATACATTTTAGGAGAGACTTTTCTTCCATCTTTCCATACTAGGAGAAAATTATGAAAAAGTATAATAAGTGAGTGTCAACTAAGGAATTGTTTTGCTTCCAATCATGCATCTATGCACGTATTTTATTTTAAAGGCACCAGATGCTCTGAGAGCTGGCACAAGGCCCAGTCATGGCCCCTGAACAGAAGGCATGTCTCCTTCCCATTGGGCCCATTGGGTGTCCAGCCCGCGGCACCTGCTGGACAAGTGAAATGGGCTCAAAGCCCACACATGTGCCTTCTCCGAGCCTCAGGTACAAGTGGTGTGTCCCAGCACTGCCCACTGTTGCTGCTGGAGCCTTCCTCAGTTCCTACAAGACAATGTGTTTGAGAATATCAGCTTCAACAAGGGGAAAACTAAAGAGTGAAATGATCCTGCAACAATGCGAAGAACTTCAATGTGCCCCACAGACATTCCTATAGCCACTTTTGATTTTCACACAGCCCTATCTGTCGCTGTCTGGCCAAACTTCTCTTCTTATTCCTCAGAAAGAAGCACCTTTCCTCTCCTCACCCAGGGCTTTTTACATTGAATTTCCTGGAGAACTTGCTTCATCACAGTCCAAATTACTCTTAGACTCATCTTTATCTCTAGCTGGTGTTGTGGAGGTTATGTAAGTAATATACGTGGCCAAGCTTTGGAAATGATAATGTGCTCTACGCATATGAATGTTTGGCAGAACCAACCTTCCCAGAACTCATGCCCCCGCACTGAAAGACACTGGGCTTTCTTAATTTTCATCTAAACCGTGAAGATGCTCTGGAAGATGTGTTTCCCTAATGTGGCATCCACAGAAGCCTTTCTGCCCTAGTGCACCACGCTTGCCCAAGGTCACAATGGCGTCTGGCAAGGGATGGGCCACACAGGCTCTTGGAATGTTGACATCTGAGTTGAGACATCCAATTCATTTCACCACGGGAGCCCAGGCATCTGATCTTCTTACCAGGGTGGGCTTCCTCGCCAGGCCGGACAAGATGAACGCATGCCTGACCTTTTTTCATATTTAACCATTCACCCCCTTAACAGGGATGTATAAATGTATGGGTAGTCAAGGGTGGATTCTCAATACCAGAACAGTACATTTGCCTATTGTTTTAATCTATGTCAATGGTAATAATAGTAATAGTGCATGTTCTTTCAGTGTCATCTCACTGTATCCTTACTGCAATTCTAAGAGGCAGGGTTGTTCTCACCCTCATTGCTCAGATGTGACAACCAAGGCTTCAAGAAATGAAGTAGCCTTTCCAGGGTTGCAGGGGCTTTGCACCCAGCCAGGCCATCAGCTCCCAAGCCTGTGCTCGACCCCAGATCTGTTCATCCACCCCTCTGTTCCCTTATCCCTGTGTTCAGTGTGCTGTATCATCAAACAGACCTGATGAGAGCGAGCTCCCACTCCCCACTCACTTGTGTGCCCCTTCCCGTGGCCCTCGCTGGCCCTCTCTGAGGTCAGGCTCTCTGGCTGTGATGGGTGTTCACTGGGCTGCCTCCCAACCACCTGCCTCCCAGGCAGCAGCTTTGAGCTCATGCCAGGGCCTGGCAGCCCTGCAGAGCCAGGGGCAAAGGAAAAATGGTCATGCCAACCTTGCCTTCATTTAAAAGGCTGACATTTTGTTCCTCAAAGATATTTTTGCGCTAATTTTTATTTTTGCAAATATAGCACTAAAATGTTGTTTATGTCGATTCCTGAGTGTTTTTGCACCCTCTTAGATTCTGCAGCAGTGGCAGGTGCCTCCTCGCCTCACCTTAGAGTTGGCCCTGCTGTGTGCCAGGCACTGTGAGCAGGAGGATAGAAAGGAGGATGAAGTGGATCCCAGCTCTCAGGCAGCTGGCCCTCTGTTAAGACAGATGTTAAAAGCATTCACTACCCTGTTTGCTGTCCTGAGAGTGAAGAGTAACCTCCAGGCACTCATTCACCCATAGTCTTCCTGTACCTGTCCCCAGGGATCAGACCACAAGCCTCTGCCATCATCTCCCAGTCTCATTCTCCATCTACCCGTTTTATTGCCTTCCAGTGTCCAGTTATAACATCTACAAATATAATGCAGCAGTGTTTTATTTGAGCTTCATTGAAACAGAAGTTTTAATTTTATTTTATTTATTTATTTATTTATTTATTTATTTATTTATTTATTCATTCATTCATTCATTCATTCATTCATTCATGCCCAGGCTGGAGTGCAATGGCGCGATCTCAGCTCACTGTAACCTCCACCTCTCAGGTTCAAGCAATTCTCCTGCCTCAGCCTCCCAAGTAGCTGGGATTACAGGTGCCTGCCACCACACCTGGCTTTTTTTTTTTTTTTTAATTAGTAGAGACGGGGTTTCACCATGTTGGCCAGGCTGCCCTTGAACTCCAGACCTCAGGTGATCTACGAGCCTCGGCCTCCCAAAGTGCTGGGATTACAGGTGTAAGCCACCGCACCTGGCCAAAACAGAAGTTAATGAAAAATGGATCCTGAGGTAGTTTGGTCTTTATCCTGCTACACCTCTGTCTTGCAATTTTACTCTCTCTGGTTGGACCACTTCCTCCACTAAGTGTCTTCCAAATCCAGCAGTTGGTCTCTGAGACCTGTATGTGTGTGTCTGTCCCTTTCTGCTTACTGGGGAGATCCTGGGAAGGCTCAGGGGGCTCATAGTTCCCACAGAGTCCCTGCAGTCATGGCCTGAACAGAGTAGCAGCTCCATGAAGGTTGCTTAAGTGATCAATGAACACTGCAACCTCGGATACGGGAAAGAAGACGGAATTGAAGGCAGGAGCCCCCACCAGTTTAACCCTCTGTGATTCCAAGCCAAGGCACTAGAGGTAGGCCCCTTATTCCTGCCTTCAGCAAGCTGGTGGAAGCAGTTTTCTTGCTCAGTGGAGACCTGGGAAGGCAAGGGTGGTCTCAGGGTCCCTGTTGAGAGTTCATTCATTGGCTCATAATTAATGTATATTGAGCATGTACTATGGGCCAGTACATTTTGTGCATGAGTTCCTTAAAATTTCATAATAACTGTGAGATACAATTATTATTATAATTGTATTGATGAGGAAACTGAGGCACAGAGAGGCGATATAACATGCCCAAGGTCACACAAAGTGGTGGAACCATTTTGGCCCCAGAGACTGATTCCAGGGCCAACGCTCTGTCCCCACACGGCACTGCCCCTCCTAAGGCAGTCACCATGCATTGATGGGACACATTACTCTCCCTGGGGTGGCTGATGAGACCTTCAGAGACATTCTGTCCAAGGGCTAGGATGCACTGAGGAGAACAGGAATGCAGGGCCAGGGCACGGCCACCCAGAGCCTCATGCTGTTCAAAGCGGCTGAGTGAGTGCTTTAGACCACACAAGGCAGGTTGAGAGGCACAGTGCATGCTTGGGAGGATGGCACGGAGCAGTGGGTGAGGATGGCCCAGGTAGCTGGGGTCAAATGTCCCCACCAGCCCAGTCCCTCCCATATCATCATGGGACATGAATGTGAGGGTGTGGTGATGGTGGCAGTGTGAGGTTTAAGAAATACATCTGGAAAGCTGGGTGTGGTGGCTCACGCCTGCAATCCCAGCACTCTGGGAGGCTGAGGTGAGCGGATCACAAGGTCAGGAGATCGAGACCATCCTAGCTAACATGGTGAAACCCTGTCTCTACTAAAAATACAAAAAAAAAATTAGCTGGGCATGGTGGTGGGCGCCTGTACTCCCAGCTACTCAGGAGGCTGAGGCAAGGAGGATGGCATGAACCCGGGAGGCGGAGCTTCCAGTGAGCCGAGATCGCGCCACTGCACTCCAGCCTGGGCGACAGAGCAAGACTCTGTCTCAAAAAAAAAAAGAAAAAGGAAAAGGAAAAAACAGCTCTGTGCTGTGCAAGTAATCCTCACTGAAATAGATGTGCTTGCTAAAACGAGGAAAGCTGAGACAGCCCCTGGCCAGGCCCGGGCATGGGAGTTGCTGGTCAGCTGGTAAGCGGGGACCTGTAGGGCCCAGGAAGACAGAGTACATGCCTCAGGCAATTGGCCAAGGCCAAGATCCAGCCTCCTGTGACAAAAAGCCAAGCCTTCGGCCTCAGTCTGAGAGTAAGGAGATCACATGCTCTTGTTCTCTGATCTGTCCCCCAGGTGGCAGTGACGAAAGAAGAGACTCTCCCGGCCGAGGCCCCAGTGCATGGAGAGAAGGAAGAAATCAATTTCCTAATTGGTACCATATACATCAGGTCAAATAATTTTCTTCTTTTCTGGCCGCATCAACTAAAAATTGTACCCAATAGGAGCTGTGTGCAAGACGGGGTGGTCACAGTGAATGTCTCTGAGGGTACAGACCTCCCTGCCTGAGACCCTCAGTCCTCAGGGTCTTGCACGTTAGGTGAGCTCATTTCCTGCATTCCTACAGAAAATCAGGAGGGCTCAGAGAGGTGAAGCCCATGTCACAGCTGGACAGGGGCAGGGCCAGGGTCAAATCAGGCTATGTGCCTGGCTCTAAAGCATGGGCCACTGACACAGGACCTACTCCACCAAGCAGCACCCATCCCAGTGGGTTACTGTGAAAGAAAGAACAGAGGACAGTCATCAATAGCATGGGATTCAAACTCACCCCACAATATGTAAAATTAATTACATACTTCCTAGCATAAAATTTTCCATTGCCTGTAATGGGGTCTGCAAGCTTTTTCCATAAAGTTCCAGGAAGTACATCTTTTCAATTTTGTGGACCTTAAGGGTCTCTGTTTTAACTACTCAACTCAGCCAGGTGCAAAAGCAGCCACAGACGCTATGCAAATGAGTGGGTATGGCTGTGTTCCCATAAAACTTCATTTACAAAAATGGGTGGCAGACCACATGTGGCCCATGGTCTATAACTTGCAGACCTCTTATCTACACAAACACAAGGATGCATTTGCACTCCACCGGCAAAGATTGAGCACCCACTGGGGCCCCAGCACCATTCACTAGTGTAAGTTACTCTCACTTGTAATGTCACAGTTGCTTTTCCCCAGCAGTCAGCTGCTACAGTCAGCCTGGGTCAAGCTGCTGTACATCCATTCTATTTCTCTGGCTGGGATCATGCTGCCTGGGAAATCTGACATTCTTAAGAATGTTGTTGGATTGATGGCAGCTCTTAGAGGGATGGTAGATAGTTCAGTAGCCATCTTCAGCAAGTGTGGTATTTCCGTCAACTGTGGATTAACCTTGGCTATTAGTCTTTCCTAATAGCCAAGTAAGGGGTGAGAGCTGAGGGGGTAGGATGGCACACTGATAAAGGCATAATTGGAATAGAGTGGGTAACATTCATCACATTGTGGAAGTATTACAAGTCTATACAATTCGGAAGAGGATTAGAAATCTAGCAACTCCAACTGAATTTTTCTAGGTATACTTAGGTGTTTGAAATTTTAAAATAGTCTTTTTTCCTCATCAGTTATTGGAATTAATAAAATGTAAGTTCAGGAGTGCTGGAGATAGTGATGACCCCTTGCCTTAGTCTATCTGGGCTGCTATGTCAAAATACAATAGCTTGGGAGGCTTATGAACAACAGAAATGTATTCCACACAGTACTAAAGGCTGGGAAGTCTAAGATCAGGGAACCAGCAGATTTGGTGTCTAGTAAGGGCCCATTTCCTGCTTCATAGATGGCACTGTCTTTCTCCATCACCTTGGAGATTAGATATCAACATATGAATTTTGGGAGGGAACACAAACATTTGGCTCATAATACCCCTTCTCTCACATGGCATGTACACAGGGATGAAATTTTAGTTAGCATTCTATAATATAATGTCTTGCATGAAGAATCAGGCAGTTGGACCAAACCAATTCTAAAAAATATGACAGCAGGTGGAAATGGCTCCACCCTCGAGGGTTCTCTCGCTCAGGTCTCTGCATGTAGTTGTCACTTGCAGCTCCATTTCCATCACGTGGTAAAATGCCCTTTCTCTTCTTTCCTGCAGATGGATGGTTTCTAGTGTGCTTCCAAACCCCACCTCGGCTGAGTGTTGGGCAGCACTTCTACATGATCCTATGACTCTTGATATGGACGCAGTCCTGTCAGACTTTGTTCGGTCCACGGGGGCAGAACCTGGTCTGGCCAGAGACCTGCTGGAAGGTAAGCCCACCTCCTTGTTCCCCACACCACCATTCTGGGCATAACCACCTTCCAAATAAGAAGATTTCCAATACCTGATGACAGTGGTACTTGAGCACTAAGTGGGCTTTGCTTTGTGTTACATCTTACCGATATTAAGTCAAAATTTTATCACTAATTATTATATTTAAGAAAATATGTTCAATGGAGCAGAAATTATAAAACATTCAAGAAAATACTTTTGTGGTAGGCCTTAGTTTCATATCTCTGTGTTAGCGGAGACGAAAATACTCTAGGCCAGGGTTTTTGGTGGAAAAAGCACCTACTATCCAGGAAAGCCACTGGGAGTAATTCACAAGCAAGAAGACAGCCTTCATCCTCCAGCTTTTCACGTAGATACCATTTGCTGCATGAGAAATTGCATCCTCCGTATGTATGATGTTTT
The DNA here is from genome assembly GCF_000001405.40 of Homo sapiens. Classification (NCBI taxonomy): domain Eukaryota; kingdom Metazoa; phylum Chordata; class Mammalia; order Primates; family Hominidae; genus Homo; species Homo sapiens. The sequence goes on along the minus strand of NC_000015.10, from coordinate 31,654,671 downwards.
CAGATATGTATTCAGCCATAACCATAGTGAACTAAAATGAAAGTGTAGTTTCTATGTCTCTAAAATGGATTTACCTTTCTTTTTTTTTTCTGATGGCGGCAGTGGTATGTAAAGGTGGGAGGGACCAGTTACAACTTCTCAGGACAGTCAGCTGTGTGAGAGGAGAGAACTTTGTAATGTTTACTCTTTACTTCAAATGTATAAACTGCAATTTGTGGAGTTAGTAAATACTTGGTCAAGAATTGTAAGTCACAATGATTCTTTAAGTCACTTAGGGAAAATAAGAATTATTGTACATTTGCAGAAGTGGAGAGAACTATTCAATCATATTGAAAATTAAGAACCACCTACTGGAGGATTATCAAAAAATGGCAATGGCAAAAGCATAGTTTTTAAATTTTCCCCAACCTATTAGAATTTCAAACCAACTCCAAGTTTAGAATAAAATATGCTGAGAGTTTTTGCAATCTATGGAAATCAAAATATGATTCTCCCTTCCTGCTATTTATATTATATAATGTCTCCCTGTCAGTTTCCATTATTTTCATTAAGTGGGCAGCAGAGTGGAGAAGCAGGCTTGGAATAAGGTCGGCAGTGAAATCCGAGTTTGAGTTCAGATTCAGCCACTTATCAACTATGAGATATAGGACAAATTATTTTACTTCCCTTACCCTGAGATTTCTTCTATGTTGAGCTTAACCCACCTTACAAGGTGACTGTGAATATTAGAAGTTGTGATATAAAATGTGTGGTAAAGAAGCAGCATGTAGCAGATGCTCAAAAAAGTATAGAAGACCATGCTTGTGGTGGCCATTATTGTAATTAGTACTAACATCAGTATTAATGTCTAGACAGCCTTATAGGAAGCAAGAGTTGTCATCTCTTTTCTTTATTTTTTTTACTTATATTTTTCACATTAAGATACAGAAAAATTGAGTTTTTTGTGTCTAGTTCTATGAACTTTAACACATGTATGGATTTGTGTTATTACTACCACATTCAGGACACAGAAGCACTTCATCCCCTCCAGATTCTCTGTCCTGATGTCTTTTATAATCAGACCCTCCCCTACCCCAACCACTGGCAGTCAGTGCTCTGTTTTCTATCACTAGTTTTGTCTCTTTGCAAGAATGTCAGATAAATGTCCTACAGAGCCTAATCTTCTGAAACTGGCTCCTTTTCATGCAGGGAGATCATTTTGAGACTCATCAAGTCATGTGTCAGTAGCCGGTTCCTTTTTGTTGCTGAGTAGTATTCCATTCTGCAGGTACTCCAGAATTTCTCCACTCATCTGTCCAGGGGCATTTCAGTTGTTTTCCATTTTTGGCAGTTACAACTAGAGCTTCTAGAAACATTTAAGAACAGGATTTTGTGAATATAGTTTTAATTTTTCTTTGTTTTTTCTTTTTTTTTTTTGGTGACACAGAGTCTCACTCTAGCCCAGGCTGGAGTGCAGTGGCGCTATCTCGGCTCATTGCAACCTCCGCCTCCTGGGTCCCAGTTCAAGCAATTTTCCTGCCTCAGCCTCCTGAGTAGCTGTGATTACAGCCGCGCATCACCATGCCCAGCTAATTTTTGTATTTTTAGTAGAGACGGGATTTCAACATATTGGCCAGGCTGGTCTTGAGCTCCTGACCTCGTGATCTGCCCGCCTCAGCCTCCCAAAGGGCTGGGATTATAGGTGTGAGCCACTGTGCCTGGCCTAGTTTTAATTTTTCTAGGCTAAATACATGTTAACCTTGTAAGAAACTGCCAACCTGTTTTCCAGAGTTCTGTACCACTTTGCATTCCTACCAGCAGTGCCTGAGAGCTCCAGCTGCCCCACATCCTTGTCAACACTTGGTATTTCTTCCTTTTTTGTTTTTTCATTTTAACCATTTGATAGCTGTGTGATGGTATTTCTTCATGGTTTTAATTTTCATTTTCCTAATAATTAATGACGTTGAAAATTTTCATGCTGTTTATTTTCCATCTTTTTATTCTCTTTCGTGAAATGTCTGTTCAGGCTTTTTGCCTATGTCTAAATTGAGTTGTTTGATTGAGTTTTAAGAGTTCTTTACATATTCTGAATATAAATCTTTTGTTCAGATTTGTGATTTGTGAATATCTTCTCCCAATCTGTGCTTGACTTTTCAGTCTCTTAACAGGGCCTTTTACAGGGCACAGTTTTAAATTCTGATGCGTTCCAACTGACTTTTTTCTGAGGATCATGCTTTGAGTGACATATCTGAGAAATTTTGCATAACTCCAGGTCATGAAGATTTTCTTGTAGTTGGTCTTTTAAAAGTTTTATACTTTCATGTTTTACATTTAGATCTATGATCCATTTGAGATGATTTTTGTATAATATGTGAGATTTAGGTCCAGATTCAGTTTTATGCATACGGATATCCAATTGTTTCAACATCATTTATAGAAAATATCCTCCTTCTTTCATTGAAATTGAATTGCCTTTGCAATTTGACGAAAAGCCAACTGAGGGTATTTGTAAGGAATATATTTCTGGACAGTGGTTCTGTTCCATTGATCATTATGTCTGTTCTTTTATCAACATTGTGCCATATTGATTTCTGTAGCTTTGTAATGAGTCTTAAAATCAGATAGTGTGATTTTTCTAAATTTATTCTTCTTTTTCAGGAGTGTTTCAGCTATTCTTTTTTTTTTTTTTTTTGCCTTTCTATGTGAACTTTAGGATCTGCTTACCTCTATCTACTCTAAACTGTTTTGCTGAGATTTTGTCTACAATTTTAGTAAATCTACAACTCAATCCTATGTTATGTCTTTCAGTCCATGAAGGAGTGCCATAATTTCCATTTGCTTGGGCCTCCATTAAGTTCTTTCGTCAACATTTTATGGTTTTTGGCATGTAGATCCTATACATGTTTTGTTCTATGTGTATTGGGGGGCGGGGTTGTAAACTATTGTACATGGTATTTTTTATTTCAGTTTCTACTTGTTCATTGGCAATATACAGAAATATAACTGATTTTTGTGTGTTGATCTTGCATCCTGCAATCTTGCTAAAGCTAAACTCAGTTTGTTCTAGGAGGGCTGTGTGTGTGTGTGTGTGTGTGTGTGTGTGTGTGTGTGTGTGTGTGTTCCTTGGGATTTTCTACATAGGTGATCATGTTATCTGTGAGTAAGGACAGTTTTATTTCTTCCTTTCCAGTCTCTAGGCCTTTCTGGTTTTCTTGTCTTATTTCACTGACGAAGACTATTCAAAAGGTTAAATAGTGGTGTTAAAAAAGAAGATCCTTGTGTTGTTCTTAATCTCTGAGAACAAGCAGTATTTCACCATTAAGTAGAATGTTGGCTATAGGTTTTAGTAGATGGTCTTTATCAGGTGAAGAAAATTTCTTTCTATTCCAAGTTTGCTGAGCGTTTTATAATAAATAGATACTGAATTTTTAAAATGAAGATCAAGTGGGTTTTTTGCTTTAAACTGTTGCTATACTAGATTAAACTGATTGCCTTCTAGTGGTAAACCAGACTTTCAGCTATTTCTTTCCATGTTTCTATGTTCTGCCCTTTTTTTCTTTCCTTCTGGGACTCAGATGATAGGAAGCTCGGCCCTTTTGTTATTACCTAAGGTCTCTATGGTTCTGTTCAAGGTTTTCAAGCTTTGTCTGTTATTCAGATTCAGTCATTTCTATTAATTTATTTATGAACTGACTGACTACTTCCTCCATCATCTTCATCCCAGTAGTGAGCCCAGCCAGTGTGTTTTCTATTTTTGTAGTTGATTTTTTTCATTTCTAATATTTCCACTTAGTTCTTCTTCATATCTTCCATTTCTTTGCAAAATTTTCTATATGTTTTAAGAGTACCCTCCTTTACTTGTACAATATTTTTAACAACTGCTTGAAAATCTTTGTCAAATAATTCCAGTATCTGTTTCATCTCAGAGTAGCTGTTGGCTTTTTGTATGCTGAGTATGGTTTCAGTATGCTGAATTGTATCCTAGACATTTTAAATACTATGTTTTGAGATTCTGGTTATTGTTAAAATCTTACAGTGAACATTATTAACTTTATTTTAGAAGATAATCACCCCAAATGGGTTCAGACCACAAATTCCAAGTTCCTGCAAGACTTGTGTGGATTGTGGTTGCTGTGAGTCTGTGAGATGTGGATCTGTCTGGCACAAGCGCCACCTAGTGGCCAGCCTGGGACTCTGGTGGTAATCTATCCCACATTTCAGCACTCAAAGTCTGTGTGGTCCGTGTAGGGTCGGATCCATACATGTAGAGCTCAAGGGTAAGCCCAAGAGTTCATGAGCAACTTTCAGGGGTTGCTCTCCCGAAGCCCTTCCTCATTGTAACCTGCCCAGTAGTGTCTGGGTCCCTGGGCTCTACCTTTTCAGCCCTCCAGCCAGCTTGGGTGGTTGAGGCTTGATTTACCCTACTCTCTGGTGCACTTGACTGAACCACGTCAGAGCTAAGCAGCGAGAAGCCAGAGAGAAAAAGCATGAAGGTTTCCCCACCCTCTGGGGACCTCAGACTCTCTGGTTGGAAAGGAAGTTTGCCTGGCCTGATGACTTTAATTATCTGCCATTTCTCACTAGGGCCACAAAATTTCTTGAGGTCTGGGGCACAGAGAAGAAAAAATTTTAGAAGAAAAAGAAAAAAAAAAAGGATAAATTAGAGATTTCCAGACTTTCTTAGAACGGTAGAGACCCCTTTCCTGCTTCTGTACCCGAGTTGGCTGGGCTTTTCCTGGAATTAGTGCCCACTCTGGGTTAGGAGCTGCATTGACTCCACACTGGGGAGACTGGAGGAAGGGAAGTGTCTCGCTCACCTCCAACTCTGTGGCACTTCCAACTGTGGTCTCCTTTCTGCATCAGCACCTCCAACTGTGATCCACCTTCCTGAGCCCGGTCGCTGCTGCCTGCACGCTGTCCAGGGGTCCCGGCTGCACCCAGTGGGACAGAGGGTGGCAGTGGTGAGTGCTCACTCACCTCACCCACTGCTGGGTCCTGCCTTTGGCTTTCACAGGTAAGAGGACTGTGGTTCCATTGTGTATGATGGATTATTTAAGGTGTCAAAGTTATTTGGGTGAAGATTTCTCTAAACCCAGTGTTTCAAAGAATGAAATATTTTTGTTGTAAGTCCTCAGAAAGATGTGTATTGGGAGGATGTCAGTAATGTAGGAATTTAGAGGGGAGATGTCTAAAGGGAAATAAATCCTCATGGTGGCAAAAGCTGAGCGGAAGGTACATGGTCCTCATTTGTAACTTCTTGTATTTTTATTTATTTCAAAAAAAAAGTTAAAAAAACACTGCAATGATGGGAATCACAGTACAGCAGAGGGAGGCCAATAAGAGAAAGGAGGAGCAGAGGCTGATCACAACCTTGGTAAACTGAGGCAAGTGAACACTGACCTGCCTCCAAACAGAAGAGGGTGGCCTTGCCTGTTCACCTGCTTCCTGTGTTACCAGATCAAAGTTGGGTCTGGCTCTCTGGCACAGCAAAGCCAAAAACTGGCGTCAAGACTGCAGTAAGAGAAAGTGAGACATTTATTTCAGGGCAGGAAGCCAGGAGAATTGGGCAGCTCATGTTTAAGCCCTGAATCCCCCAGTGCCATATAGGTAAGCGTTTTTACAGGCAGGAAGAGGCTGGGCGTGGTGGCTCATGCCTGTAATCCTAGCACTTTGGGAGGCCTAGGCTGGTGGATCACCTGAGGTCAGGAGTTCGAGACCAGCCTGGCTAACATGGTGAAACCCTGTCTCTCCTACAAATACAAAAATTAGCTGGGTGTGGTGGCATACACCTGTAATCCCAGCTACTCAGAAGGCTGAGGCAGGAGAATCGCTTAAACCCAGGAGGCGGAGGTTGTAGTGAGCTGAGATCGCACCATTACACTCCAGCCTGGAGACAGAGCGAGACTCCATCTTGAAAACATAATAATAATAAAATAAAGGCAGGGGGCAGAAGTTACAGGCAAAGATATAAATCAATACACGGAGGCTGTACATTGGTTTGACCTAAAAAGACAGGACATCTTGAACCAGATGTGGGGTGGAGGGCATAGGTCATAGGTAGATTTGAAGATTTTCTGATTTACAATGGGTTAAGGAGACGAAGCTTTGTCTGCAAATTTGTGATCAGGAGAAAAGAACGTTAGCTCTGGTCTCTGGGCATGACTTCCTCCAGGCCCCTCAGGAAGAAATTTAGAACAAAGAGTGGTGGTCCAAGCTCAGTCCTCAGTTTCCCCTGTCTGAGGTCTGCATGCCAGCAGATAGCACTTTTCATTTGTTGGTGTCCTGGTTTCTGGAAATCAGCTCAAGGACTTGTGTTAAAATGTTATCTTTAGTCTCTGTGGGAACTTTGATCTATTCTGTGACTTAAACTTCCCTGGCTATTGTTTTAAGTTATTCTTCCCTTCTTGCTTCAGTTGCTCATTTACTTCCCAGTGCTGGCTAGGTACCTGGAAATGCCTTTGAAGGAACTCAAGATTTCCTTTTATTTCCATGCTTGGGGGCAGGTGCCCGGCAGGCCCCTAAGAGGGGTCTCTGCTCCATCTCATCTTCATATCAGTCCCTTGCATGTCCCTGAAGTGGTTCTCCCAAACAAATTCAAGTCAGGTAACTCCATTTCCTCCAATTTTTCATACTCCGTCCCCATTACCTGCAAAATAAACTTCTCCACCTGGTACTCCAGCCCTTCAGCATCTAGTCCTATTCCGTCCCTCCCCTCATTACCTGAGGCATCTCTTCACCATCCCTTTCCCTGACTTGACACCCACCTCTGTGCTTCTGCCTCCGCCCATTGCTCCTGCTGCTCCTCCCCCTGCACACACTGCCTCCCTGTTGAAATTCAGCTCTCCCTCCACGATGGATCATGAACTCCCCGACAGCAAGGACCATACAAGGTTTTGTTCACTGTTTGCCCAACACCCAGCACGTATGAGTCCCTCAGTAGAGTGATCTATTAATAGCTGCTGAGGTGCAGTGATGAGCAGCCAGACAGAAATTGCCCACATGGAGACAGATGGAAATAAGTTATATAGTGTGTTAGCCATTAGTGCTGTGGAGATAACTAAGTCGGGGAGAAGGAAGCAGGTATGAGTGTGTACAGTTTTAAATTAGGGTTGTCAAGGAAGGCTTCACTTAAAAAAAATAGGATCTGAGCAAAGATTTGAGGAAGTGAGAAAGCAAGCCACGTGGATGTCTGGAGGAAGAAGTTTCTATGACGAGGTAAGGATTCACTGATAATTCCTTGCCCTCCTGTGGAACTTTGTGGACTTCTGCTGCAGCTTGTGTTTGGTTGTGCCTTATTTTATAATTCATCACATGCTTATCAAGCTGGATTTGCCCAGTCTTGAGCACATGCCACTGATTTAGCAGAATTCACGGCTCTGGCGTTTTCAAGTGTGTGCGATTAGAGGACTGCCATGGGCAAATCCCACACCCTTGAATGGGAACAAAAAGGTGGTCTAGGGACCATGAATCCTAAGCAGGAGTTAACACTCGACCACAAGGTGTGATGGCCCTTGGCCGGGGCTGGGACCATCAGTGGGTCTAGAAATACTGAAAGGAAACCGTTGGCTGCCCTTCCAAGTGTCCCGTTCCCACTAGAGAGAGCTCTGCCGTTAGACCAGACGTATTTGGGGAAAAAATGTCAAAAAAAATAAAAATAAACATCTCCAGATCAGAATTCTAAGATACTCCCTCTCGCCTGGCCTCATTCAGGAAGACACATTCTTCCTTTAGAGAGATGAGTGTATTTAAATACTCTTAAACAGACCCATTAAGACCATTTGCAGTGAGTTTCCTTGTGTCACGCTGATCAATTAAGTAGATCTTATTTCCTTCCTATTGGGGAAGCTTGTAACCCCCAGGTACCATCACTGGCCTATTTTGTTGGTTTTACTCAGAAGTCTGTGCCATTGTGGCTGCTTAAAATTAAACACTTTGGCCAGGCTTGGTGGCTCACGCCTGTAATCCCAGCACTTCGGGAGGCCAAGGCGGGCAGATCACGAGGTCAGGAGTTCGAGGCCAGCCTGACCAACATGGTGAAACCCTGTCTCTACTAAAAATACAAAAATTAGCCAGGCGTGGTGGTGCATACCTGTAATCCCAGCTACTCAAGAGGCTGAGGCAGGAGAATTGCTTGAACCCAGGAGGCAGAGGTTGCAGTGAGCCAAGATCACACCATTGTACTCCAGCCTGGGCAACAGAGTGAGACTCTGTCTCAAAAAAAAAAAACAAAAAAGAAAGAAAAAGAAAGAAGGAAAGAAAGGGAAAGGAAAGGAAGAGAGAGAGAGAAAGAGAGAAAGAAAGACACTTCCTCTCTGGAAAGCCAGCCGTATTCATCCCAGCGTCTTTCTTGGTGTCTGTGCATGGATAAAGCCTCCCCATTCCCCCGTGCCCCCCACCACTTTGTGTCCTTTCACTTTGCTTCACTTATGTGCCCACCACTCCAGGGCTCCCTGAGGTCCAGGAATTCCATGCCATTCCCTTTCACATGGCTGAGAGCCCCAGCCCTGTGGATGAGCTGTCCTGAGTGGGCACTCAGTAATGTGGGCGTAAGCTGAAGAGGGAAGGAGCAAAAAAACAACCAGAAGCCCTCAGATTCAGAGTCATGTCGTTAAACACTTTTTAAGATAAAAAATTGGCTGTGCGAACTGAAATCAATTTAAACTATTTTCTTTGATTAGGCAGGAAAGAGGAGGCTGCTGCATATTAAGAACTCCCACTTAAGCCAAACCTTCATGTTTCCAATCTCCAAGCAGGCGTTGAGGGCCTCTGGGCTGAGTGTGGGAGACCCAGGAAGAAAGAAGAGTAGGCCCTGCCTTCAAGGTCCTTCCTGCCTAAAGCAATCTATAGGCAGCTGTGTTCTAACAAAACTTTTATTTATAAAACAGGCAGCCAGCCAGCCTATGGGCAGTAGTTTGCCAACCTGTGCTGTAGATTAAAAAAGGCTTAAGAGATCTGTCAAACAGTGATAATGTATGCACATTATTTGAATACTGATTCCAACAAACTAAAAAAGAAAAATTATAAGACAATCTGGGAAATGTGAGCACTTAACATTTACTGGATATTTGATATTAAAGAATAACTACTTTTAGATATGATATTTTTATTATGATAGTGCTAAGAAAAATAAGATACATACTGACGTGGATGGATGAAGTAATATCATGCAGGGGTTTTCTGGGGACAGGCGAATGGGTGGGAGAGGAGATGAAACAATATTATCCATGAGTTGATTTTGATTAAACCTGGATAGTAGATGCAAACAGGTTTATTATAAGTGATGTACGAATGTTTCCATAATAAAAAGTTTTAAAACAGACAGCACCAGGAAACTTCCACTTCCAGCCAAGATGAAGTATCAGAATGTGGGTGTGCCCTCCTGCCTGAAAAAGAAAAAGACAAATATGATAAACAAGACACTGAACATTAGACAGTAAAGGACAGTAGTCCCCAAGAGATTGGAAACAAACAAGGTTAGTCCTGTAATTGCCCAGCTCACTGCCTTGAGAAAGTTTCTAATCCGTGGTACAGGGAGGGGGAACCCAGAGGAAGCTTGCCTGACTCCACAGTGGAAGGAGACAGAGCTTAGAGTCCCAGGAGTCCAGGAGGCTGGAGTCCACAGGTCAGAGCCTGAGAGCGGAGACAGCTACACAGAGAGAACTGCAGCGATTCACAGAGGGTTTGCCTCTGCCACTCAGCCAAGTGCCGATCAGTGCCTGTGTGTGAGGAAGCTGTGTGCAGCTGGGGAGAGAACCACCTGAGAGGATTAGAGGAAACAGTGCCTGGGGCTGATACAGAGCCATGGAAAGTGCCTGTGCTCACCAGCCAGGCTGGACAAGCACTGAATATAATACCTAGAAGGATCTTGCCTCAGTAATTGGGAATAATTAGCCCTGTAATGAAAACTTTTCTAGGGCTAGACACAGTAGCTCATACCTGTAATCCCAACACTTTGGGAGGCCAAGCCAGGAGGATCGCTTGAGGACAAGAGTTCAAGACCAGCCTGAACAACATAGCAAGACCTCTGTCTCTACAAAAATCTTCTAAAAATTAGCTGGGCATGGTGGCATATACCTGTGGTCCTGGCTACTCAGGAGGCTGAGTTGAGGAGATCACTTGAGCCCAAGAGTTCGAGGTTATGGTGAGCTATGATCACACTGCTGACTCCAGCCTAGGCAACACTAAGACCCTGACTCTAAAAAAATAAAAGTAAATAAATCACTCTGATCATACCTAATGAACCTTAAAAGCAAGAAGCAAGATCCACAAGGATCACAGTGAAATGGCCTCATTGCCTGATCCAAAGTTCTTGATCTCACAGCCAAGGAAGTCAAGGACACGGCCACACCAAGGGTGAGGTTAGAGCAGAAGCAGAAGTTTATTAGGCAAAAGAAAGATAACAGCTCTCTGCAGCAGAGAGGGATCCCCAAAAGCGTTGCCATTCAGCAGTGAAATGCAAGGGTTTTTATAAGCTAGCTAGTGGGGAGGTGAGGTGTTATCTTACCTACATAGGGTGTGAAAAACCCCAGGTGTGCCATCTGCGTAGAGCATGAATCTCTGGCATCCCCCACCCCACCCTTTTATTATACAGGCAGGTCTTTTGCCTGAGCTACTCCACGTTGCTTTCCTACTGTGTATGTGCTTCAAAGGGGGAGGTGGAGCCTCCATGGTGGACACACCTGGCCCCAGGTACCCCTTTCTGTCTGTGCAGCTGCAAGCATCCCCCCGTGCAAGCTCCAGCTTCCTTATCTGTTTGCAGCCCGGTCTTCCAGGCTGCTTTCTATTAGAAGAGGAGTGATTTCCTGGGCTGCTTTTTGTTAGAAGGGAAGTTCTGCCAAGGACTCTCTGCCCTAACTATCTGCCTAGCTGGTCTCTTTTTACCTCCTCTCTCAAAAGTATTTCCAAGAAATGTAACTTCATTCTACAACAAAGCTCAATAATATTTATAGAAATATAAACTTGTCCAGCACCAAATAATGTAAAAGTCTTGCTGTCTGGCACTCAATCAGAAGTTATCAGGAATGCAAAGTAGCAGGAACATAGGACCCATAATGAGGAGAAACTGTTCAATCAAAGTCAAACCAGAACTGCTAGAGATGTTAAAATTATCAGACAAGGGCACTAAAAGTTATTATAACTGTACTCTATAGAATAGAATAAGGTACATACTGACATGCTGTTCAGATGTTTAAGTAAAGTTATGGAAGATACTTTTTAAAGCCTGAGTTGAACTTCCAGAGATGAAGACTACATCTGAGATGAAAAAGTAACTCAGTGGAATTAACAGCACATTGCTTAATACAAAAAAAAGAGAAAGGTTAGTGAACATGAAGACATAGCAATGGAAAATATCCAAAATGAAACACAGAAAAAAATAGAAGTAAAGAAATATTAAAGGCATCAGTGAAAGCCAGGTGCAGTGGTGCATGCCCGCAATCCCAGCTACTTGGGAGGTTGAAGCAGAATTATTGCTTGAGCCCAGGAGTTTGAGGCTAGCCTGGGCTACATAATGAGACCCTCATCTCTAAAAAAGAAAAAATAATTAAAAATTAAAGCATCTGTGAGCTGTGGAAAAATGTAAGCAGCCTAAAATAAGTGTAATTGGAATCCTTGAAGGAGAGGCATGAACAATAGGAAAAAATGATTCAAGGAAACAGTACCTATAAGAAAATGTATAAGTTAAACACCTCTATTAGAAAAGAAGCAGGGCCTCAAATCAGTTACCTTAATTTTTATCTTGAAAACTAGAAAAAAAAAGAGCAAATTAAACCCAGACAGAAGAAATGAAATAATAAAGACCAGAACAAAAAACAGTGAAATAGTAAATGGAAAAATAGTAGAGAAAGTCAGTGAAACCAAAAGTGGGTTCTTTGAGATCAATAAAATTGATAAACCCATAGCCACATAATCAGAGGAAAAAGAAGATACAAATTAACAATATCAAGAATGAAAGAGATGACCTCAGTACAGATTCTCAAGATATTAAAAGGATTATAAAGGAATATTATAAACAATTCTATGCCAATAAATGCAGCAAGTTAAATGAAATTCACAAATTATTTGAAAGGTACAAAATACCAAAGCCTATGCAAGAAAAAAAAAAAATGATTTGAATAGGTCTATATTTATTAAAGAAATCTAAGTTGTAGTTGAAAACTTTCTCACAAAGATAACTGCAAGCATCTATAGCTTCATTGGTAAATTCTACCACACATATAAAGAAAAAATTATACCAGCTCTTCCAGGAAATTGAAAAGGGGTTATACTTCCCAACTCATTCATTCTTTGCGCCAGCATTACCCTAATACAAAACCAAGAAAGACTACAGACAAATATTCCTCATGAAGAAAAGTGTGAAAACACTGAAAAAGATTTTAGCAAATCGAATTTGGCAGCATATAAAAAGGATACTACCTCATGACCAAGTGGGTTTTATCCCAAGAATGCAAAACTAGTTTAACATTCAAAAATCAGTCAACATAATTTTCCATATTAACATACTGAGAAACAGAAGGTATACAATCATCTCAGTAAATGCAGAAAGAGCTTTTGGTAAAATCCACATTCGTCCTTGATTTTTAGAAAACACTCAGAAAACTAGGAATAGAAGAAAACTTCCTCAATCTTATATAAAGTATTTACAAAAAAGCCTACAGCTAACCTGACACCTAGTGATGAAAGAAAGCTTTTCCCCAAAGATCAAGAGGGAGATAAGAATGCGCCCTTTCACTACTTCTATCCAACATTTTCCTGGACATTCTGGCCAGTGCAGTCAAACAATAAATTATAATTAAAAAGCACCCAGATTGGAAAAGAAGAAGCAAACTATCTTTATTCACAGGTGACATGATGACATATGTAGAATATCTAATGGAATTTAAAAGCATTTTTTGGAACTAGTAAGTGAAGTTAGCAGTGTTGTAAGATACAAAACCAATATAGAGAAATCAATTGCATTTTTACAATTGCAATGAATAATTGCATTATTTTTTAAAATAAATTTTAAAAATACTTTATTCAGTAGCATCCAAAAATATAAAATATGAATAAATTTACAACTGAAACTTCAAAACATTGCTTAAAGAGATGAAAAACCTAAATAAAGGGTTAAATGTACCATATCCATGGGTCAAAAGACTCAATATTGTTGAGATGTTGGTTCTCCCTAGATTGCTTTAAATTCAGTATAATCTCAATAACAATCCAAGCCAGCTTTTTATGTAGAAATTAACAAGTTGACTTTAAAATTCATACATAAATCCCAGGACAGAGAATAAACAAAACAAACTTTGAAAAATTGGAATAAAGTTAGAAAGCATATTTGTTCTCACATTGCTATGAAGAAATACCCAAGACTGGGTAATTTATAAAGGAAAGAGGCTTAGTTGACTCACAGTTCCACATTACTGGGGAGGCCTCAGGAAACTTACAGTCATGGTGGAAGACAAAGGAGAAGCAGGCACCTTCTTCACAGGGCAGCAGGATGGAGTGAGTGCAAGCAGGGGAGAGGCCAGACACTTATAAAACCTTCACATCTCGTGAGACTCACTCATTATTCACAAGAACAGGATGGGGGAAACTGCCCCCATGATCCAATGACCTCCACCCACTCATGCCCTTGACACGTGGGGATTATGGGGATTTCAATTCAAAGTGAGATTTGGGTGGGGACATAGAGCCAAACTATATCAGAAGTCTGACAATACCTGATATTAAAACTCATAAGAGTACAGTAATCAAAACTGTGATGTTGATCAAATGTTCAACATGAAGACTATCATTAATAATATTGCATAGTGTACTAGAAAATTTGCTTTCAAGGCACACACACATACACACACACATACACACACATATGCACAAAGGGGTAACCGTGAAATGATGAATAAGCTAATGTGCTTGACTATAATAACCATTTCACTATGTATAAGTGTATCAGAACATCATATCATATACCTTAATATATACAATAAAGTAGTTTTTTTAATGTAGAGAATTAGATCAATGAAACAAATTGGAAAGTTAAGAAATAGTTCACATATGTGGACAACTGGTCTTCAATAAGCATACAAAAGTAATTCAGTGCAAAAAATAATCTTTTCAACAAATTGTGGGATAATTGGATTTTCATATGCAAAAGAAATGAACTTTGGTTTACATCTCACTCATATGCAAAAATTACCTTAAAATGGATGGTATCCCTAAATATAAAACCTAAAGCTAAAAAAGTCTTCTAGAAAAAAACACAGGAGAAAATCTTTTTATTTTATTTTTATTATTTTTTTTTATTTCCGTAGGTTATTGGGGTACAGGTGGTGTTTGGTTACATGAGTAAGTTCTTTAGTGGGGATTTGTGAGATTTTGGTGCACCCATCACCCGAGCAGTATACACTGAACCCTATTTGTAGTCTTTTATCCCTGAGTCCTCAAAGTCCATTGTGTCATTCTTCTGCCTTTGCATCCTCATAGCTTAGCTGCCACTTATAAGTCAGAACATACGATGTTTGGTTTTCCATTCCTGAGTTACTTCACTTAGAATAATAGTCTCCAGTCTCATCCAGGTCGCTCAAATGCCATTAATTCATGAGAAAATCTTTTTAACCTTGTCTTAGGAAAAGATTTTCTAGACATGATACCCCATGAACAATCCATAAAAGAAAAATTAATAAATTGGACTTCATTAAAAACTTAAACTGCTTTTTGAGGATAGTGTTAAGAGAATGAAAAGATAAACTGCAAGTTGGAAGAAAATACTGCAAATCATATATCTGGTAAAGTACTTGTTTCTAGAATATGTAAAGAGTTCTCATGACTCAATTATTTTTGTAAAAACTATCCAATTAAAAATAAGCAAAAGCTTTGAACAGACTTCACCAAAGAAGATACATGGATAGCAAATAAGCAGGTGAAAAGATGCTCAACATCATTAATCCTTAGGGAAATGTAACTTAAAGCCAGAATGAGATAGCACTACACACCTATGAGAATGACTAAAACCAACAATACTGAGCATACCAAATCTCAGCAAGGATGTGGAAAAACTGGTAAATTTGTACGCTGCTGGTTTTGAATGGAAAGTGGTGCAGCCACTTTAGAAAACAATTCAGCAAGTTCTTCAAAATTAGACATGTACCTAGTGTACAATCCAGCAAATTTTACTCCTATTTATTTACTTAAGAAAACCGAAAGCCTTTGCCCATAGCAAAGCTTGTACACAGATGTTTTTGGCATTCTTAGTGAGGGCTAAAAAACTGGAAGCAACCTAAATACCCATCACAGGTAAACGGGTAAACAAATGGTGGTAGATACATACACTGGAATGCTACTCGGCTCTCAATCCAAAGGAGTGAATTATTGATAACGTGCAACAACAGAGATGACTCTCAAAATAATTACATGAAGTGAAAGAAGTGAGACAAAAAAAAACTACATATTGTGCAATTCCACTTATGTAAAGTCTAGGAAATGCATAGTGATCTATAGCGATGGAATGCAGGTCAGTGATTGCCTCAGACAGGGCTGAGGGCAGCAGTGAGCAGTGGGGATTACAAAGCAGCTGAGGAATCTTTTTTTTTTTTAGACAGAGGCTGGAGTGCGGTGGCGCGAGCTCGTCTCACTGCAAGCTCTGCCTCCCGGGTTCACGCCATTCTCCTGCCTCAGCCTCCCGAGTAGCTGCGACTACAGGCACCCGCCACCATGGCTGGCTAATTTTTTGTATTTTTAGTAGAGATGGGGTTTCACCGTGTTAGCCGGGATGGTCTCGATCTCCTGACCTCATGATTTGCCTACCTCGGCCTCCCAAAGCGCTGGGATTATAGGCGTGAGCGACCGCACCTGGCCTGAGGAATCTTTTGAGAGTGGTATATATGTATGGTATCTTGCAGTGATAACAGACCTCAGAGGTATTGCAGATTCAGTTCCAGACCACTGCAATAAATATAGCAATAAAGCAAGTCACATGAATTTTTTGGTTTTCTAGTGCATATAGAAATTATGTTGGCTAAGCACAGTGGCTCACACCTGTAGTCCCAGCACTTTGAGAGCCAAGGAGGACGGATAGCTTGAGCCCAGAGTTCCAGACCAGCTTGGGCAGCATGGTGAGACCTCGTCTCTATTGAAAAAAAAAAAAACAAAAACCTACAAAAATCAGCCTGGTTTGGTGGTGCATGCCTGTCGTCCCAGCTACTGGGGAGGCTGAGGTGGGAGGATTGCTTGAGTCGAGGAGACAGAGGTTGCAGTGAGTGGAAATCACGCCACTCTACTCCAGTCTGGGTGACAGAGCAAGACCCTGTCTCAAAAAAAAAAAAAAAAAAAGTTATCTTTATACTATTCTGTAGTCTACTAAGTGTTCAATAGCATTATATCTAAAAAATGTACATAACTTAATTTGAAAAAATACTTTATTGCCAAAAATGCTAACAATCATCTGAGCCTTCAGTGAGTCATAATCTTTTTGCTGGTGGAGGGTCTTGCCTCAATGTTTATGGCTGCTAACTGATCAGGGTGGTGATTGCTGAAGGTTGGGGTGGCTGTGACAATTTCTTAAAATAAGACAATCGTGAAGTTTGATGCATTTAATTGACTCTTCCTCTCATGAAAGATTTCTCTGTAGCATGTGTGATGCTATTTGATAGCATTTTACCCACAGTGGAACTTCTTTCAAAATTGAAGTCAGTCCTCTGAAACCTTGCTGCTGCTTTATCAAATGCATTTTGTAATTTCTAAATCCTTTTTGTCATTTCAGCAGTGTTCACAGCATCTTTACCAGGAGCAGATTCCATCTCAAGAAACCACTTTCCTTGCTCATCCATAAGAAGCAACTCCCCAACTTGAGATTGTAGCAATTTAGTCACATCTTCAGACTCCACTTCTAATTCCAGTTCTCTTCCACCACATCTGCAGTTAATTCTTCCACTGAAGTCTTGGACCCCACAAAGTCATCCATGAGAGTTGGAATCCATTTCTTACAAACTCCTGTTAATGTTGATAATTTGACCACCTCCCATGAATCACAGATGTTCTTATTGACTTCTAGAGTTGTGAATCCTTTCCAGAAGGTTTTCAATGTACTTTGCCCAGATCTATCAGAGGAATCACTATCTATGGCAGTTATAGCCTTATAAAATGTATTTCTTAAGTAATAAGAGTTGCAAGTCAAAATTGCTCCTTGATCCGTGGAGTACAGAATGGATGTTGTATTAGCAGACGTGAAAACATTGATCTTGTACATCTTCATCAGAGCTCTTGGGTAACTAGGTGCATTGTCAAATGAGCAGTAATATTTTGAAAGAAATCTTTCTTTCTGAGCAGCATGTCTCAGCAATGAGCTTAAAATATTCAGTAAACCAAGGTATCAACAGATGTGCTGTGCCCAGGCTTCTTTGTTCCTATAGAGCACAGGAAGAGTAGATTTAGTGTCATTCTTAAGGGCACTAGAACTTTCAGAATGATAAATGAGCATTGGTTTCAACTTAAAGTCACCAGCTACAATTGTCCCTGTCTGTAGAAGCTTTGAAGCCAGGCAGAGACTTATTCTCATCTAGCCTAGATAACATCTTCTTCCAATAGAGGGCTGTGTTGTCTACATTGAACATCTGTTGTATAGTGTAGCCACCTTAATCAGCGATGTTAGCTAGATCTTCTAAGATCTAGAGATCTTGCTGCAGCTTCTCCATCAGCACTTGCCACTTCCCCAGTGCAATAACATGAAACTTTTATGTTATTGAAGATGGCTTTTTTCCTTAAACCTCATGAACCAGCCTCTGCTAGCTTCTAACTTTTCTTCTGTAGCTTCCTCACCTCTCTTAGCCTCCGTAGAATTGAAGAGAGTTAGGGTCTTGCTCTGGATTAGGCTTTGGCTTAAGGGAATATTGTAACTGGTTTGATCTATCCAGACCACAGACCACTGAAACTTTCTCCGTATCGGCAATAAGACTGTTTCACTTTCTTATCATTTGTGTATTCACTGGAGTAGCACTACTAATTTCTTTCAATAATTATTCCTTTGCATTCAAAAGTTAGTTAACTGTTTAGTGTAAGAGGCCTAGCTTTTGGCCCATCTTAGCTTTTAAAATGCCTTCCTCACTAAGCTTAACCATTCCTAGCTTTTGATTTAAAGTGAAACATGAAATTCTTTTTTTTTTCCATTTGAACAACTTGACATTTTAGGGTTGTTAATAGCCTAACTTTAATATGTTGTGTCTCAGGGAATAGGGAGGCCTGAGGAGAGGGAGACAGGAGAATCACTGGTCAGTGGAGCAGTCAGAACACACACAACGTTTATTAAGTTCATCGGTATGTGTGGGTGTGGTTCGTGGTGCCCCAGAACCAGAACTGTTGTAATTACAACAGTAACATCAAAGATCACTGAGCACAGATCACTATAACAGATATAATCCTAATGGAAAAGTTTGAAATACTGTGAGAATTCCCAAAATGTGACACAGAGATGCACAGTGAGTGCATGCTGTTTGAAAAATGATGCCAATAAACTTGCTCAGCACAGGGTTGCCACAAACCTTTAATTTGTAAAAAGAAAATGCAGTATCTTCAAAGGGCAATACAGTAAAGCACAGTAAAATGAGGTGTGTCTGTATGGACACGTGTCAGCTTCTCAAATTATAAACTTAAATATGTGCATTTTATTTGGTGTCAATTGTATAAAGCGATTAAATTTTTAAAAGGACTGATGCAGACAGCACCTGGCGTCTGGGATAAGGTGTATCATTTTCCTCTTTATGGCAGGAACTGCCACGCCCCCTGTTTTCATGCTGCCGGAGACCAGCTGGCAAGTGGGGGGCAGTGGCTCTCCTTGCCAATCCTGGGCATGCAGGTGACAGTGCAGGGAGAGTGCCCTTCCCACATGGCCCCCGTTTGTAGCCACAGCTGTCCCTACAAAAACTGGGCAGCCTGAAGTGAATTAACAAGACAGTTTTCAGATCTTCACTTGCTTGTGGGTTTCACATGTCACATTTAACCTCCAGTTACATCGACTTTTTCAAACCCCACTTAGGCATCTTAGAATTTTATCATTTGCATTCTTTTATGTTGAATAAGAGAGTTGTAGTACATGCCCCACTGTCTGCTTTCTAAAACATCCAGGTTGGAGTTAGCGCCTTCATACACCCTCCCTGGAAGCACCAGGTGCCATCCTCAGTGCAGCGGCAAGGCAGTGTCGGGGCTCTCTGCCCCCAGGTCTCTCCCCGCCTGGTTCCATTGGCTGCTGGGAAGGATGCTTGGATGGGAGGTCTTTGTGTTTTCAGGCAGGAAATATTATTTGCTCCGCTAGCCCTAGGTCTTACTAATTTACTGTGCAATCTTCAACAAGTTTCTTGATCTTCTTGCTCTGTTTTCTCATCTGTAAAATTGAGGGCAGTGAGCAAGGTGACCTGTAGGTCCCAGGAGCACCAAGGTAGTGCCGTATTTAGTACCAGGTTTTCCTAAGAGGAAATGGGGGCTACTTGGGGTCAAAACAAAGGAGAGTCTTTCTAGATAGGGAAGGACTAGCAGTGGGTCAAAACTTGCCAAGAAGGACTATGAATGGAGCTTTGCTTGGGGTTTAAAAGCTTCAGTCACAGACTTGGAGGGGCTCAAACCCCTTGCTTTAGAAGGCAGAAACCAAGAACCACTAAGGACCTAGGACTTGCTGATGGTGTCTTTGGAGTTTAAGGTGGAACTGAAGTTAGAGCTGATTTCCTTCCTGTCACATCCAGTAAGACTGGGAATGGTTGGGTGCCAGAGGCAGGTTCCAGAAGGTGGGAAGAGTCCTGTCTGCGTCCCCAGGGTCCCAACCTTGAGGAAAGCTTGCTGTCCTTCTGTCCTGCTTCACACTCCCTTTGGTTAAAGGTTTCAGTCAGAGCCCGATAGAAACCTTCAGGAAAAAAGGGCCCCAGACTGAGGCGAGGACACTGGGGAAGCCTTGGGCGGTTTCTGTGTGGGGCAGCCCCTGCTCTGTGAAGCACAGGGGAACGGGACTCCATCGCTGTCATCGGCACTCATGCCCTGGTGCAGACCTGCAGGAACATTGCCTGCTGTATACAGGGCAGATGGGCACTGTGCCGGGAGAAGCCTGTAGGAAGGGAGGCCTTGAGGGATAAGGAGGGAACTCCGGCCATGAGCATGCACAGAGCTCCGTGAAGGAAGGCCTTGACAGACAGAGGCATGGTGGGTGGAGACGGGTGGAGAACATCCCGGCAGAACACAGAGCACGTGCTGTGGCTTGCTGGCAGGGACATGTATGCTGTGTAAAGGCAGGGAGTAGGTCCAGGTGCCCTGGGAAGAGTGTGTGTAGAGAAACGTCGTGGAAGAGGAGACACCCAACGCGAGGTCATGGCTGGTTTGCTTGCTGTGTTTAAACTGCCATAGACTGGCTTTTGTCAGCAGTGGCAGAGAGAGGGGGTTGCATTTTTCTCTTTTTAGTTTGCTTTTGAGGTCTCCCTCTCTCTGTAGAGTGGCTGTGAAGTCCAGCCCTGCCCTGACGGGGCTCCAGGGGAGGTGGTTGTGCATGTTTATGATGTGCCTTCACGGGGTACTTCTTTATCCTGGTGGATGGCAGAATCCCTGTGTCTGACCTGTGCCCAGGTCTCTCCTGGGAGACTTGTTTACCCTCTTAGACACCCTTGAGTCTCTTGTCTGTGTCTGGTGTATTTATTTATTTAGCCTACCAAGATAGCCACTCTTTAGGACAGTTCTGAATTTGGAAAGAAGTTAGGTTCAGGTGTGTCGGTCGAGTGAGACACAGAGGAGGCCACTCAACAAAACCTATGAAATACCAGAAGCAGTGAGTTCCTCGCAGGTCCGGAGAGAAGAGGGCAGCACGCTGGACTAGGGGAGCCGTCAGGACCTGTGTGCTCGCTAGCGGGTGGGGAGCAAGATAGATGGAGTGTGGGCTCTGAGGGCTGAAGCCTTTATGGGGTCCAGGCCATCACCCCAGCAGGTTCCCCACAAGGAGTTGTAATTCGTTGGGTTAGAGCAGGTAGGCACAAGTTACAGGAGGCCATGCTGTGAGTGAAGGGTGGTCATGGCAGCATATCTGAGCAGTCCATGCTGGGTGTGAGGGTCTGCAGGGTGGGTCAAGTAGGTTGCATCTAGCTGTCCCTTAGGGACTTGGTCACCAGGAGGCAGCTATATAAGGCACATCTCTGGATCGACCATTTTGAGGGCCTGGGAAGAGGTGGAGACCTGGAAACTTTCAAGGATGACTAAGCCCTGCTTCTGGTATGAGAAAGTCCAACATACATTCAAAATAGGTACCAAGAAAGCATAACATTATAAGAATTCACTGCAGAGGATCATCTGAAAGGTCTAAGGTGAGAAATGAATATCTAGTGTAGAAGTTGGAGAGGCATCCATAGGAATGATCTCTAATGAACTGGATCTCCCTCCAAGATAGAGATCAAAATTGGTTTAAAACAAATACAGGGGGGTGGAGCCAAGATGGCCAAATACGAACAGCTCTGGTCTACAGCTTCCAGCGTGAGCAACACAGAAGACGGGTGATTTCTGCATTTCCATCTGAGGTACCAGGCTCATCTCACTAGGGAGTGCCACACAGTGGGTGCAGGACAGTGGGTGCAGCGCACTGTGCGTGGGCCGAAGCAGGGCAAGGCATTGCCTCACTCGGGAAGCTCAAGGGGTCAGGGAATTCCCTTTCCTAGTCAAAGAAAGGGGTGACAGACGGCACCTGGAAAATCGGTTCACTCCAACCTGAATACTGTGCTTTTCCAACGGGCTTAAAAAACGGCACACCAGGAGATTATATCCCGCATCTGGCTCGGAGGGTCCTACGCCCACGGAGTCTCCCTGATTGCTAGCACAGCAGTCTGAGATCAAACTGCAAGGTGGCAGTGAGGCTGGGGGAGGGGCGCCTGCCATTGCCCAGGCTTGATTAGGCAAACAAAGCAGCCGGGAAGCTCGAACTGGGTGGAGCCCACCACAGCTCAAGGAGGCCTGCCTGCCTCTGTAGGCTCCACCTCTGGGGGCAGGGCACAGACAAACAAAAAGACAGCAGTAACCTCTGCAAACTTAAATGTCCCTGTCTGACAGCTTTGAAGAGAGTAGTGGTTCTCCCAGCACACAGCTGGAGATCTGAGAACGGGCAGACTGCCTCCTCAAGTGGGTCCTTGACCCCCGAGCAGCCTAACTGGGAGGCACCCCCAAGTGGGGGCAGACTGACACCTCACACGGCCAGGTACTCCTCTGAGACAAAACTTCCAGAGGAAAGATCAGGCAGCAGCATCTGTGGTTCACCAAGATCTGCTGTTCTACAGCCACCGCTGTTCTACAGGCACCGCTGTTCTGCAGCCACCGCTGCTGATACTGAGGCAAACAGAGTCTGGAGTGGACCTCTAGCAAACTCCAACAGACCTGCAGCTGAGGGTCCTGTCTGTTAGAAGGAAAACTAACAAACAGAAAGGACATCCACACCAAAAACCCTTCTGTACGTCACCATCATCAAAGACCAAAAGTAGATAAAGCCACAAAGATGGGGAAAAAACAGAGCAGAAAAACTGGAAACACTAAAAAGCAGAGCACCTCTCCTCCTCCAAAGGAACGCACCTTCTCACCAGCAACGGAACAAAGCTGGACGGAGAATGACTTTGACGAGCTGAGAGAAGAAGGCTTCAGACGATCAAACTACTCTGAGATACAGGAGGAAATTCAAACCAATGGCAAAGAAGTTAAAAACTTTGAAAAAAAACTAGATGAATGGATAACTAGAATAATCAACGCAGAGAAGTCCTTAAAGGAGCTGATGGAGCTGAAAGCCAAGGCTCAAGAATTACGTGAAGAATGCAGAAGCCTCAGGAGCCGATGCAATCAACTGGAAGAAAGGGTATCAGTGATGGAAGATGAAATGAATGAAATGAAGCGAGAAGGGAAGATTAGAGAAAAAAGAATAAAAAGAAATGAACAAAGCCTCCAAGAAATATGGGACTATGTGAAAAGACCAAATTTACGTCTGATTGGTGTACCTGAAAGTGATGGGGAGAATGGAACCAAGTTGGAAAACACTCTGCAGGATATTTTCCAGGAGAACTTCCCCAATCTAGCAAGGCAGGCAAACATTCAGATTCAGGAAATACAGAGAACGCCACAAAGATACTCCTCGAGAAGAGCAGCTCCAAGACACATAATTATCAGATTCACCAAAGTTGAAATGCAGGAAAAAATGTTAAGCGCAGACAGAGAGAAAGGTCGGGTAACCCACAAAGGGAAACCCATCAGACTAACAGCTGATCTCACGGCAGAAACTCTACAAGCCAGAAGAGAGTTGGGGCCAATATTCAACATTCTTAAAGAAAAGAATTTTCAACCCAGAATTTCATATCCAGCCAAACTAAGCTTCATAAGTGAAGGAGAAATAAAATACTTTACAGACAAGCAAATGCTGAGAGATTTTGTCACCACCAGGTCTGCCCTAAAAGAGCTCTTAAAGGAAGAACTTAACATGGAAAGGAACAACTGGTACCAGCCACTGCAAAAACATGCCAAAATGTAAAGACCATCAAGGCTAGGAAGAAAACTGCATCAACTAACGATCAAAATAACCAGCTAACATCATAATGACAGGACCAAATACACACATAACAATATTAACTTTAAATGTCAGTGGGCTAAATGCTCCAATTAAAAGACACAGACTGGCAAATTGGATAAAGAGTCAAGACCCATCAGTGTGCTGTATTCAGGAAACCCATCTCATGTGCAGAGACACACATAGGCTCAAAATAAAGGGATGGAGGAAGATCTACCAAGCAAATGGAAAACAAAAAAAGGCAGGGGTTGCAATCCTAGTCTCTGATAAAACAGACTTTAAACCAGCAAAGATCAAAAGAGACAAAGAAGGCCATTACATAATGGTAAAGGGATCAATTCAACAAGAAGAGCTAACTATCCTAAATATATATGCACCCAATACAGGAGCACCAAGATTCATAAAGCAAGTCCTGAGTGACCTACAAAGAGACTTAGACTCCCACACATTAATAATGGGAGACTTTAACACCCCACTGTCAATGTTAGACAGATCAACGACACAGAAAGTTAACAAGGATACCCAGGAAATGAACTCAGCTCTGCAGCAGGCAGACCTAATAGACATCTACAGAACTCTCCACCCCAAATCAACAGAATATACATTTTTTTCAGCACCACACCTATTCCAAAATTGACCACATAGTTGGAAGTAAAGCACTCCTCAGCAAATGTAAAAGAACAGAAATTATAACAAACTGTCTCTCAGACCACAGTGCAATCAAACTAGAACTCAGGACTAAGAAACTCACTGAAAACCACTCAACTACATGGAAACTGAACAACCTGCTCCTGAATGACTACTGGGTACATCACGAAATGAAGGCAGAAATAAAGATGTTCTTTGAAACCAACGAGAACAAAGACACAACATACCAGAATCTCTGGGACACATTCAAAGCGGTGTGTGGAGGGAAATTTATAGCACTAAATGCCCACAAGAGAAAGCAGGAAAGATCCAAAATCGACACCCTAACGTCACAGTTAAAAGAACTAGAAAAGCAAGAGCAAACACATTCAAAAGCTAGCAGAAGGCAAGAAATAACTAAAATCAGAGCAGAACTGAAGGAAATAGAGACACAAAAAACCCTTCAAAAAATTAATGAATCCAGGAGCTGGTTTTTTGAAAGGATCAACAAAATTGATAGACTGCTAGCAAGACTAATAAAGAAGAAAGAGAGAAGAATCAAATAGACACAATAAAAAATGATAAAGGGGATA
Organism: Homo sapiens; assembly: GCF_000001405.40. Classification (NCBI taxonomy): domain Eukaryota; kingdom Metazoa; phylum Chordata; class Mammalia; order Primates; family Hominidae; genus Homo; species Homo sapiens. Next base: position 31,629,936 of record NC_000015.10, on the reverse strand, counting down.
TCACCACTGATCCCACAGAAATACAAACTACCATCAGAGAATACTACAAACACTTCTACACAAATAAACTAGAAAATCTAGAAGAAATGGATAAATTCCTGGACACATACACCCTCCCAAGACTAAACCAGGAAGAAGTTGAATCTCTGAATAGACCAATAACGAGCTCTGAAATTTTAGCAATAATCAATAGCTTACCAACCAAAAACGTCCAGGACCAGATGGATTCACAGCCGAATTCTACCAGAGGTAAAAGGAGGAGCTGGTACCATTCCTTCTGAAACTATTCCAATCAATAGAAAAAGAGGGAATCCTCCCTAACTCATTTTATGAGGCCAGCATCATCCTGATACCAAAGCCTGGCAGAGACACACACAAAAAAGAGAATTTTAGCTGAATATCCTTGATGAACATTGATGCAAAAATCCTCAATAAAATACTGGCAGACCGAATCCAGCAGCACCTCAAAAAGCTTATCCACCATGATCAAGTGGGCTTCATCCCTGGGATGCAAGGCTGGTTAAATGTACACAAATCAATAGATGTAATCCAGCATATAAACAGAACCAATGACAAAAACCACATGATTATCTCAATGGATGCAGAAAAGGCCTTTGACAAAATTCAACAACCCTTGATGCTAAAAACTCTCAATAAATTAGGTATTGATTGGACATATCTCAAAATATTAAGAGCTATCTATGACAAACCCACAGCCAATATCATACTGAATGGGCAAAAACTGGAAGCATTCCCTTTGAAAACTGGCATAAGACAGGGATGCCCTCTCTCACCACTCCGATTCAACATAGTGTTGGAAGTTCTGGCCAGGGCAATTAGGCAGGAGAAGGAAATAAAGGGTATTCAATTAGGAAAAGAGGAAGTCAAATTGTCCCTGTTTGCAGATGACATGATTGTATATCTAGAAAACCCCATTGTCTCAGCCCAAAATCTCCTTAAGCTGATAAGCAACTTCAACAAAGTCTCAGGATACAAAATCAATGTGTAAAAATCACAAGCATTCTTATGCACCAATAACAGACAAACAGAGAGCCAAATCATGAGTGAACTCCCATTCACAATTGCTTCAAAGAGAATAAATACTTAGGAATCCAACTTACAAGGGATGTGAAGGACCTCTTCAAGGAGAACTACAAACCACTGCTCAATGAAATTAAAGAGGATACAAACAAATGGAAGAACATTCCATGCTCATGGGTAGGAAGAATCAATATCGTGAAAATGGCCATACTGCCCAAGGTAATTTATAGATTCAATGCCATCCCCATCAAGCTACCAATGACTTTCTTCACAGAATTGGAAAAAACTACTTTAAAGTTGATATGGAACCAAAAAAGAGCCCGCATTGCCAAGTCAATCCTAAGCCAAAAGAACAAAGCTGGAGGCATCACCCTACCTGACTTCAAACTATACTACAAGGCTACAGTAACCAAAACAGCATGGTACTGGTACCAAAACAGAGATATAGATCAATGGAACAGAAGAGAGCCCTCAGAAATAATGCCACATATCTACAACCATCTGATCTTCGACAAACCTGACAGAAACAAGCAATGGGGAAAGGATTCCCTATTTAATAAATGGTGCTGGGAAAACTGGCTGGCCATATGTAGAAAGCTGAAACTGGATCCCTTCTTTACACCCTTTACAAAAATTAATTCAAGATAGACTAAAGACTTAAACATTAGACCTAAAACCATAAAAACCCTAGAAGAAAACCTAGGCAATACCATTCAGGACATAGGCACGGGCAAGGACTTCATGTCTAAAACACCAAAAGCAATGGCAACAAAAGCCAACATTGACAAATGGGATCTAATTAAGCTAAAGAGCTTCTGCACAGCAAAAGAAACTACCATCAGAGTGAACAGGCAGCCTACAAAATGGGAGAAAATTTTTGCAACCTACTCATCTGACAAAGGGCTAGTATCCAGAATCTACAATGAACTCAAACAAATTTAAAAGAAAAAAAACAAACAACCCCATCAACAAGTGGGTGAAGGATATGAACAGACACTTCTCAAAAGAAGACATTTATGCAGCCAAAAAACACATGAAAAAATGCTCATCATCACTGACCATCAGAGAAATGCAAATCGAAACCACAATGAGATACCATCTCACACCACTTAGAATGGCGATCATTAAAAAGTCAGGAAACAACAGGTGCTGGAGAGGATGTGGAAAAGTAGGAACACTTTTACACTGTTGGTGGGAGTGTAAACTAGTTCAACCATTGTGGAAGTCAGTGTGGCGATTCCTCAGGGATCTAGAACTAGAAATATCATTTGACCCAGCCATCCCATTACTGGGTACATACCCAAAGGATTATAAATCATGCTGCTATAAAGACACATGCACACGTATGTTTATTGCAGCACTATTCACAATAGCAAAGACTTGGAACCAACCCAAATGTCCAACAACCATAGACTGGATTAAGAAAATGTGGTACATATACACCATGGAATACTATGCAGCCATAAAAAATGGTGAGTTCATGTCCTTTGTAGGGACATGGATGAAACTGGAAACCATCATTCTCAGCAAACTATCTCAAGGACAAAAAACCAAACACTGCATGTTCTCACTCATAGGTGGGAATTGAACAATGAGAACACATGGACACAGGAAGGGGAACATCACACTCCGGGGACTGTTGTGGGGTGGGGGGAGGGGGGAGGGATAGCATTAGGAGATATACCTAATGCTAAATGACGAGTTAATGGGTGCAGCACACCAGCATGGCACATGCATACATGTGTAACAAACCTGCACATTGTGCACATGTACCCTAAAACTTAAAAGTATAATAATAATAATAAAAGAAGTTGCCATAGCCACCCTAACCTTCAGCAACTACCAGCCTGATCAATCAGATGCCATCAACGTGGAGGAGAGACCCCCCATTAGCAAGATTACAACTTGCTGAGGGCTCAGATGATTGTTAGCACTTTTTTTTTTAACAATAAAGTAATCTTTAAGGTGTAAAAAAGAAACCATAAAAACAAAAAAACAAAACAAAAAAAAAACAAATATAGGCCGGGTGCAGTGGCTCACACCTGTAATTCCAGCACTTTGGGAGGCCAAGGCAGGAGAATCACTTGAGGCGAGGAGTTGGAGCCCAGCCTGGGCAATATAGTACAACCCTGTCTTTACTAAAAATACAAAAATTAACCAGGTATGGTGGCACACACCTGTAGTCCTGGCAACTGAGGAGGCTGAGGCAGGAGAATCATTTGAACCCAGGAGGTCAAGGCTGCAGTGAGCTATGATTGCACCACTGCAATCCAACTTGGGCAACACAGTGAGACCCTGCCTCAAAAAAAATTATATTCTGATTTTCTGAGTCCATGAACACATTGTCCAAATGGATTTTTCTAGCTCCTCCAAGTTACAGATAGTTCCATGCACACACAGAACCCACCACTCTCAAATATTTTCCCCACTAGTATACTATTAAATTTTTCAAACATGCAAAAGATGAAAGAATTGCTCAATGAACACCATGTACCCACCACCTAGATTCTACAATTAACATTTTACCCTACTTTCTTTGTCACATATATGTACCTATCCATCTACCCATTCTTCCATGAATCCATCAATTCATCTAATTTTTTGTATATTTCAAGGTAAGTTGTAGATACGTAGCTTACATTTCACCTTAAATGTTTCCGCCTGGCTATTATTAACTGGAGTGCAATATGTTTTTGGTTCTTTATGGTAAAATCTATGTGCAATGAAATGCACAAGCCTTAGGTATGCCATTAATAGGTATTGACGAATAGACACACCTTGTGTCTGAAACTGTAATAAAAAAATCAAACACTACCTTCCTTTCAAAAAGTTTCCTCACTTCTTTTCTTGGTCAAAACCCCTCCCCACCTCAGCCCACCCCTCAGCAACCATTGTTCTCAATTTTTTTTTGCATTCCTAGATTGATTTTGCTTGTTCCATAACCTCGTATAAATGAAAGTGTACAGTGTGCAAGGTTTGTGTCTGGTTTTTCCACCAAGCACATTTCTGAAATTCATCTATGTTGAGTATATTAGCAGTTCATTTCTTTTGAAGAAAGAATGAAGTGTGCTAAGTAGTGTTTCATTGTGTGGCTATACCACAGTTTGTTTTTTTATCCATCACTATTTAATGGGTATCTGGGTGGTTTCTGGCTTTGGCTACTATCAGTAAAGCTACTACAGACATTTCTGTAGAAGTCTTTTTATGGAGATGTGGCTTTGCTTTTCTTGGGTAAACACCTATGAGTGAACTCTCTGGATCCCAGGTAGATGTAGCTAGGTCATAGGCAGATGTATGTTGAGTATTACAGAAACTGCTAGACCTTTTCAATTGTGTTCATATTGTTTTATACTCCCACTGTAACAACATACGAGAGTCCTGCTTGCTCCATCATCTTTGATGTTTAGTGTTGTCAGTCTTTTTAACTTTAGCCATTCTGGTGCATTTGTATGTCATTCCATTGCAGTTCTTTTTTTTTTTTTTTAAATCAGGAATGTTTAGTCGAAGTCTGATATTGTGGTGTACTAGTCATCTATTGCCGCATACAAAAATCATCCCAAAATTTAGCAGCCTAAGATAACCATCATATATTTCTTACACCATTTCTGAGGCTCATAAATCCAAGCGTGGTGTAACTGGCTCAGGGTCCTTCTCGAGGCTACAGTCTAGCTGGGGCTGCAGGACCTTCTTCCATCCCCACTCGCAGGGCTGCTGGTGGCCTCAATTCTTCACTGGCGGTCAGCAGGAGACCTCAGAGCCTCACCACAGCCTCTTCCCTGGCTGCCTGGGCAACCTTGTAAAGCATCAGTTGACTTCCCTCAGAGTGAGTGATGAGGGAGAGATAAAGCGACAGCTTATGGTGGAAGCCACAGTGTGTCATGGAGTAATCTCGGAAGTGACATCCCATCACATAGGCTATAATCCATCGGTCATACAGACTAACCCTAGTACAAAGTGGAGGGGGCCACACAGAGGGATCCTTGGGGGCTATCTTGGAGGGTGGCCACCCCGTGGGGAGAAGGTGGAAGCAGCCACCTCAGGGAGGCAGATTGTAATCAGGACCCATAGGAGCAGCATGGAGCCCATGTGTTTCTGTGCAGTTTGCTGAAGCCAGTCAGAACATCCTGAGTCTGACTTATCACCCTTCTCTGGCCTGCTGGGGTTCCTGAACCAAGTAGTTTAACTTGCCAAGCCTTAGTTTCTGCAGTTATAAAATGGTGGTATGAATGAATGAAACAAGGTATCCGCAACACTGAAATGGAACATAATAGGGCCTGAACAGAGGACAGTTATGAATATTTCCATACAAAATGCAATTTTATGCCCTTCATCAATGGTCATTTTCTCTCATTTTACTTTTGAGGACTAGATTTGCCAAAGTCCCTCTGGGGCCAACCCAGTACACCACTGAGAAGCCCTTTGAAAAAGCCAGCTTTATCATCGTTTTGTTTTTATTTCTTGATATTTGGAAAGTTTTCTTCCTTCTGTTTCTATGTGTCCTCTGCCTAACTAGTCATGGTGACTCCTTGGATAGTATTCTCCATGGTTTCTTGTGAAATATTAATGCTTACCTTGCAATCTTGCAGCTTTTAGCATGAATTATTTTGCTGATTATAATCAGGCCTCTAGGATAAGTACCACTGATTTTAATTTAATGTTAAATTTGTACTGAGTGAATCATAATGGTCAGACTAATCTAAATGGTGCAGGTATATAAAACTACATGCCCATGTGCTCAGTTCCTGCTTGTTGATGTTTTGTTATAAAGTAACAGCTTTTTAACATCAAATGTATTCCAAGTAGCCACTTTACAGTGACACTGCAAAACCTACTACAAAGCAAAGCCAATAAGACAAAGTCAAAATATTTCAAAGTTTCTTATTGAAGTATTGCATACCTCTAGAAATTACAACATAACTGTACAACTTAATGAATTCTCAGAAAATGTAGCATCAGTGCAAATATCATTGAAATCAAATCGGTGGGGCAGTTCCAAGTTGGCCGAATAGGAACAGCTCCAGTCTACAGCTCCCAGCGTGAGCGATGCAGAAGACAGGTGATTTCTGCATTTCCAACTGAGGTACCGGGTTCATCTCACTGGGGCTTGTCAGACAGTGGGTGCAGGACAGTGGGTGCAGCGCACCGAGCATGAGCCGAAGCATGGTGAGGCATCACCTCACCCGGGAAGTGCAAGGGGTCAGGGAATTCCCTTTCCTAGACAAGCAAAGCTGTCACAGATGGCACCTGGAAAATCAGGTCACTCCCACCCTAATACTGCGCTTTTCCAATGGTCTTAGCAAATGGAACACCAGGAGATTATATCCCACGCCTGGCTCGGAGGGTCCCACGCCCACGGAGCCTCGCTCATTGCTAGCACAGCAGTCTGAGATCAAACTGCAAGGCGGCAGTGAGGCTGGGGGAGGGGCGCCCGCCATTGCTCAGGCTTGAGTAGGTAAACAAAGCGGCCAGGAAGCTCAAACTGGGTGGAGCCCACTGCAGCTCAACGAGGCCTGCCTGCCTCTGTAGACTCCACCTCTGGGGACAGGGCATAGCTGAACAAAAGGCAGCACAAACCTCTGCAGACTTAAATGTCCCAGTCTGACAGCTTTGAAGAGAGTAGTGGTTCTCCCAGCACGGAGTTTGAGATCTGAGAACAGACAGACTGCTTTCTCAAGTGGGTCCCTGACCTCTGAGTAGCCTAACTGGAAGGCACCCCCGAAGTAGGGGCAGACTGACACCTCACACGGCTGGGTACCCCTCTGAGACGAAACTTCCAGAGGAAAGATCAGGCAGCAACATTCGCTGTTCAGCAATATTCGCTGTTCTGCAGCCTCTGCTGCTGATACCCAGGCAAACAGGTTCTGGAGTGGACCTCCAGCAAACTCCAACAGACCTGCAGCTGAGGGTCCTGACTATTAGAAGGAAAACTAACAAACAGAAAGGACATCCACACCAAAACCCCATCTGTACGTCACCATCATCAAAGACCAGAGGTAGATAAAACCACAAAGATGGGGAAAAAACAGAGCAGAAAAACTGAAAATTCTAAAAATCAGAGTGCCTCTCCTCCTCCAAAGGAACGAAGCTCCTCACCAGCAATGGAACAAAGCTGGACGGAGAATGACTTTGACGAGTTGAGAGAAGAAGGCTTCAGACGATCAAACTTTTCTGAGCTAAAGGAGGAAGTTAGAACCCATCACAAAGAAGTTAAAAACCTTGAAAAAAGATTAGACGAATGGCTAGCTAGAATAACCAATGCAGAGAAGTCCTTAAATGACCTGATGGAGCTGAAAACCATGGCATGAGAACTACGCGACGAATGCACAAGCTTCAGTAGCCAATTCCATCAACTGGAAGAAAGGGTATCAGTGATTGAAGATCAAATGAATGATATGAAGCAAGAAGAGAAGTTTAGAGAAAAAAGAATAAAAAGAAACAAACAAAGCCTCCAAGAAATATGGGACTATGTGAAAAGACCAAATCCACGTCTGATTGGTGTACCTGAAAGTGAGGGGGCGAATGGAACCAAGTTGGAAAACACTCTGCAGGATATTATCCAGGAGAACTTCCCCAACCTAGCAAGGCAGGCCAACATTCACATTCAGGAAATACAGAGAACACCACAAAGATACTCCTTGAGAAGAGCAACTCCAAGACACATAATTGTCAGATTCACCAAAGTTGAAATGAAGGAAAAAATGTTAAGGGCAACCAGAAAGAAAAGTCGGGTTACCTACAAAGGGAAGCCCATCAGACTAACAGCTGATCTCTCGGCAGAAACTCCACAAGCCAGAAGAGAGTGGGGGCCAATATTCAACATTGTTAAAGAAAAGAATTTTCAACCCAGAATTTCATATCCAGCCAAACTAAGCTTCATAAGTGAAGGAGAAATAAATCCTTTACAGACAAGCCAATGCTGAGAGATTTTGCCACCACCAGACCTGCCCTACAAGAGCTCCTGAAGGAAGCACTAAATGTGGAAAGGAACAACTGGTACAGCCACTGCAAAAACATGCCAAATTGAAAAGACCATCGATGCTAGGAAGAAACTGCATCAACTAACGAGCAAAATAACCAGCTAACATCATAATGGCAGTATCAGATTCACACATAACAATATTAACCTTAAATGTAAATGGGCTAAATGCTCCAATTAAAAGACACGGACTGGCAAATAGGATAAAGAGTCAAGAGACATCAGTGTGCTGTATTCAGGAAATCCATCTCACATGCAGAGACACAAATAGGCTCAAAATAAAGGGATGGAGGAAGATCTACCAAGCAAATGGAAAACAAAAAAAAAGGTAGGGGTTGCAATCCTAGTCTCTGATAAAACAGACTTTAAACCAACAAAGATCAAAAGAGACAAGGCCATTACATAATGGTAAAGGGATCAATTCAGCAAGAAAAGCTAACTATCCTAAATATATATGCACCCAATACAGGAGCACCCAGATTCATAAAGCAAGTCCTTAGAGACCTACAAAGAGACTTAGACTCCCACACAATAATAATGGGAGACTTTAACACCCCACTGTCAACGATAGACAGATCAACGAAACAGAAAGTTAACTAGGATATCCAGGAATTGAACTCAGCTCTGCAGCAGGCAGACCTAGTAGACATCTACAGAACTTTCCACCCCAAATCGACAGAATATACATTCTTCTCAGCACCACGTCACACTTATTCCAAAATTGACCACGTAATTGGAAGTAAAACACTCCTCAGCAAATGTAAAAAAACAGAAATTATAGCAAACTGTTTCTCAGACCACAGTGCAATCAAACTAGTACTCAGGACTAAGAAACTCTCTCAAAACCGCTCAACTACATGGAAACTGAACAACCTGCTCCTGAATGACTACTGGGTACATCACGAAATGAAGGCAGAAATAAAGATGTTCTTTGAAACCAACGAGAACAAAGACACAACATACCAGAATCTCTGGGACACATTCAAAGCGGTGTGTGGAGGGAAATTTATAGCACTAAATGCCCACAAGAGAAAGCAGGAAAGATCCAAAATCGACACCCTAACGTCACAGTTAAAAGAACTAGAAAAGCAAGAGCAAACACATTCAAAAGCTAGCAGAAGGCAAGAAATAACTAAAATCAGAGCAGAACTGAAGGAAATAGAGACACAAAAAACCCTTCAAAAAATTAATGAATCCAGGAGCTGGTTTTTTGAAAGGATCAACAAAATTGATAGACTGCTAGCAAGACTAATAAAGAAGAAAGAGAGAAGAATCAAATAGACACAATAAAAAATGATAAAGGGGATATCACCACCGATCCCACAGAAATACAAACTACCATCAGAGAATACTATAAACACCTCTACACAAATAAACTAGAAAATCTAGAAGAAATGGATAAATTCCTGGACACATACACCCTCCCAAGACTAAACCAGGAAGAAGTTGAATCTCTGAATAGACCAATAACAGTCTCTGAAATTGAGGCAATAATGAATAGCCTACCAACCAAAAAAAGTCCAGGACCAGACAGATTCACAGCCGAATTCTACCAGAGGTAAAAGGAGGAGCTGGTACCATTCCTTCTGAAACTATTCCAATCAATAGAAAAAGAGGGAATCCTTCCTAACTCATTTTATGAGGCCAGCATCATCCTGATACCAAAGCCTGGCAGAGACACACACAAAAAAGAGAATTTTAGACTAATATCCCTGATGAACATCGATGCAAAAATCCTCAATAAAATACTGGCAGACCGAATCCAGCAGCACCTCAAAAAGCTTGTCCACCATGATCAAGTGGGCTTCATCCCTGGGATGCAAGGCTGGTTCAACATACACAAATCAATAAATGTAATCCAGCATATAAACAGAACCAAAGACAAAAACCATGTGATTATCTCAATAGATGCAGAAAAGGCCTTTGACAAAATTCAACAACCCTTGATGCTAAAAACTCTCAATAAATTAGGTATTGATGGGACATATCTCGAAATAATAAGAGCTATCTATTACAGACCCACAGCCAATATCATACTGAATGGGCAAAAACTGGAAGCATTCCCTTTGAAAACTGGCACAGACAGGGATGCCCTCTCTCACCATTCCTATTCAACATAGTGTTGGAAGTTCTGGCCAGGGCAGTCAGGCAGGAGAAAGAAATAAAGGGTATTCAATTAGGAAAAGAGGAAGTCAAATTGTCCCTGTTTGCAGATGACATGATTGTATATCTAGAAAACCCCATTGTCTCAGCCCAAAATCTCCTTAAGCTGATAAGCAACTTCAGCAAAGTCTCAGGATACAAAATCAATGTGTAAAAATCACAAGCATTCTTATGCACCAATAACAGACAGAGAGCCAAATCATGAGTGAACTCCCATTCACAATTGCTTCAAAGAGAATAAAATACCTAGGAATCCAACTTACAAGGGATGTGAAGGACCTCTTCAGGGAGAACTACAAACCACTCAATGAAATAAAAGAGGATACAAACAAATGGAAGAACATTCCATGCTCATGGATAGGAAGAATCAATATCGTCAAATGGCCATACTGCCCAAGGTAATTTATAGATTCAATGCCATCCCCATCAAGCTACCAGTGACTTTCTTCACAGAATTGGAAAAAACTACTTTAAAGTTGATATGGAACCAAAAAAGAGCCCGCATTGCCAAGTCAATCCTAAGCCAAAAGAACAAAGCTGGAGGCATCACCCTACCTGACTTCAAACCATACTACAAGGTTGCAGTAACCAAAACAGCATGGTACTGGTACCAAAACAGAGATATAGATCAATGGAGCAGAACAGAGCCCTCAGAAATAATACCACACATCTACAACCATCTGATCTTTGACAAGCCTGACAAAAACAAGAAATGGGGAAAGGATTCCCTATTTAACAAATGGTGCTGGGAAAACTGGCTAGCCATATGTAGAAAGCTGAAACTGGATCTCTTCCTTACACCTTATACAAAAATTAATTCAAGATGGATTAAAGACTTAAACATTAGACCTAAAACCATAAAAACCCTAGAAGAAAACCTAGGCAATACCATTCAGGACATAGGCATGGGCAAGGACTCATCTCTAAAACACCAAAAGCAATGGCAACAAAAGCCAACATTGACAAATGGGATCTAATTAAACTAAAGGGCTTCTGCACAGCAAAAGAAACTACCATCAGAGTGAACAGGCAACATACAGATTGGGAGAAAATTTTTGCAATTTACTTATCTGACAAAGGGCTAATATCCAGAATCTACAAAGAACTCGAACAAATTTAAAAGAAAAAAACAACCCCATCAACAAGTGGGCAAAGGATATGAACAGACGCTTCTCAAAAGAAGACATTTATGCAGCCAACAGACACATGAAAAAATGCTCATCATCATTGGCCATCAGAGAAATGCAAATCAAAACCACAACGAGATACCATCTCACACCAGTTAGAATGGCAATCATTAAAAAGTCAGGAAACAACAGATGCTGGAGAGGATGTGGAGAAATAGGAACACTTTTACATTGTTGGTTGGACTGTAAACTAGTTCAACCATTGTGGAAGACAGTGTGGCGATTCCTCAGGTATTTAGAACTGGAAATACCATTTGACCTAGCCATCCCATTACTGGGTATATACCCAAAGGATTATAAATCATGCTGCTATAAAGACACATGCACATGTATGTTTATTGAGGCACTATTCACAATAGCAAAGACTTGGAACCAACCCAAATGTCCATCAATGATAGACTGGATTAAGAAAATGTGGCACATATACACCATGGAATACTATGCAGCCATAAAAAATGATGAGTTCATGTCCTTTGTAGGGACATGGATGAAACTGGAAACCATCATTCTCAGCAAACTATCACAAGAACAAAAAACCAAACACCGCATGTTCTCACTCATAGGTGGGAATTGAACAATGAGAACACTTGGACACAGGAAGGGGAACATCACACACCAGGGCCTGTTTTGGGGTGGGCGGAGGGGGCAGGGATAGCATTAGGAGATATGCGTAATGTGAATGACGAATTAATGGGTGCAGCACACCAACATGGCACATGTATACATATGTAACAAACCTGCATGTTGTGCACATGTACCCTAGAACTTAAAGTATAATAAAAAAATTAAAAAATAATAAAATAAAAATAAAAAAGGAAATCAAATCAAACTGTGACTATCAGCAGCCAGAAATCTCTTTCCTTCCCTCTTCCTATCACTGCACCTTCTTTCTCCCCAGAGGTAACTAGAACTACAGTCATGACTTCTAACACCTTAGGTTAGTCTTTCCTGTGCTTAAGCTTTGTATACATGGAATCATGCAGTATATATTCCTGTGTATCTGCCTTCTTTTGCACATAGACACATAGATATAAATGTATATAAGTCTTGCCAGAGTTATCAGTTATCTTTTTTTCTTTTTTTTTTGACATGGAGTCTCACTCTGTCACCAGGGGAGTGCAGTGGCACAGTCTGGGCTCACTGCAACCTCTGTCTCCCGGGTTCAAGCAATTCTTCTGCCTCAGCCTCCCAAGTAGCTGGGACTACAGGCACCTGCCACCACGGCCAGCTAATTTTTGTATTTTTAGTAGAGACGGGGTTTCACCATGTTGGTCAGGATGGTCTCAATCTCTTGACCTCGTGATCCATCCACCTCGGCCTCCCAAAGTGCTGGGATTACAGGCGTGAGCCACTGCACCCGGCCAAGTTATCGATTATTCTAAGTCTTTCCAAAGAACCATTTTTTGGCTTCATCGATTCTCTTTATCATTTGTCGTCTGTTCCATTAAAATCTGATGTTATCCTCATAAATGTTTGATATATTTGGTTGTAGATCTACCCTCTCAGCATTTGTGAGTTCTTTTCTTGGTCTTGTTGTTTCTCCTTTTTTCCTTCTTTATTTGTTGGTTAAATTTGCTATTTCTTAAAACTGTTTGAGATCGGTACTCAGATCAGGGGTTGGCAAACTTCTTTCCATGGCAGGACAGATAGTAAGTACTTTGGGCTTTGCAAGCTACACATGCTTCCTGTCACATATTCTTTCTTTTAAACTTAAAATGTAAAAGCTGGTTGGGCACGGTGGCTCATGCCTGTAATCCCAGCACTTTGGGAGGCCGAGGTGGGCAGATCACCTGAGGTCAGGAGTTCAAGACCAGCCTGGCCAACAAGGTGAAACCCCGTCTCTACTGAAAATACAAAAATTAGCCAGGCACAGTGGTGGTTGTCTGTAATCCCAGTACTCGGGAGGCTGAGGCAGGAGAATCGCTTGAGCCTGGGAGGTGGAGGTTTCAGTGAGCCAAGATTGCGCCACTGCACTCCAGCTTGGAGACAGAGCAAGACTCTGTCTCAAATAAATGAATAAAAGTAAAATGTAAAAGCTATTCTTAGTTTATGCATTGTACAAAAACAGGGGCAGAGTGGAATTGGCCCATGGGTCATAATTTGCAAACCCCCAACTTAGATTGTTGAGGCCCAGCCTCTTCTTTTCACATATATATATAAATGGTTATACATTTCCAGTTAATTCCTCAGCATGTAAGGATTTTCCACTTCTCTTTCTGTTATTGATTTCTGTCAAGCGCACACACCAGACAAGGCAAGAGCAAGGTCTGCCTGATTCAACCAGTAAGGATGCGACAGGCCAGTTTTAGATGCAGACGGTTTATTACTTACATAGACAGCAAAGGAGAGAGTAGCCAAGGTGCCAGCTCCCAGGTCCTTGTTTCACATGCCAGAAAGCATGACACTGAAACAAAAGGGATGGAGTGCTGCATGAGTTGTGCAAGACCCCATTGCTGGGGAGCCTGTTCTGCGCTGCAGCTAAGAGGTTTCACCGCTTTATTACAGTTTTATTTTCATTCATGTCTACCATCCTGAGGGGGTGGGAGAAGAAAGGCCCATACCTCATCAGAACAGTGAGGCCAGGTGGAGCTGTCTGATGACTGCCTTGCAGGGGAGAGAGAAGGTGAGGGAGAGATGTCCTCAGAGCAGTGCCTGACAGACCTCCCATCTGCCCCTGTGCCAGAAGGATCCCAAGGCATTCTGCCAAGACTCAGACCGCGGTTGAAGCCTGTGCCTGTGGGGTCTCTGTTGGTACCTGGAAGGTCACCTGGGCACGGTGGCACAGCCAGTCCCCTACAATTCCCTGTCCTCTTCCAGTTGGTCAGAGAAGAGAGTCTGAATGATTTCAGCCTTTTGAAATTTGGGACTTGCTTTATGGCCTAGCATATGATCAATTTTGGTAAACGTTCCATGTTCACAAAGAAACAAAAAGTGGATTTTGTGATTCTTGGTGCAGTGATCTGTATATGTTAATTGGATCGTATTTTTCATGTGATTTAAATCCATACTGATTATTTTTGTCTGCTTGTTCTATCAGCTACTGACAGCACTTTGTTAAAACCTCCAACTATGATCGTGGACTTGTATATTTCTCTTTATTTTCTGTCGATTTTTCCTTTATATAATTTGAAGTTAAGAATAGACTTGTCATAGCTTCCTGTAGGACTGATATTTTATTATAAACTTTTTTCTGTCATTACTAAAGTTTTATTTTCATTAACGTCAACTTGTCTGACATTGGTTTTTCTACATTAGCTCTTTTGATTAGTGTTTGCATGATATATTTTTAAAATCATTCTACTTTCAACCTTTGTGACAGTTTGTGATTCAGATGTAAGCAATGTAAAATTAAGGTTTTTTAAATCCAGTCTGATCATCTGTTTTTTACTTGAAGCATTTTAGTTTACCTACATTGGATGTGATAACTGATCTAGTTGGTTATAGATCTAACATCTCATTATTTGCTTTTGTTTGCCCTGTCATTTCCTTTTTCATCTTTCCTGCATAATTTTGTATAAATCAAAGTATTTATTAATGTTCTATTCTATTAGCTTCTTCCCGGTACATTCCTTTACTATTCTTTTGGTAGTTACGATAGAGGTTACGATATACATCCTTGACTATCGAGTTTCCCTTAAAATAGTACTTGTACCATACTTTGGACAATTCAAGGAACTTAGTACTTCTGAACACCATTTAGCCCCTTCTGCCTTGTATATTAATATTGTCCCATAATTTGATTCTCTTTCAAATTCCGTAGGGCAACGTTATTTTCTATAGGGTCAATACCCACTTGGCTATAATGATTTTCCGTTGTTCTTTATTTTTTCCTGTAGCTCTGAGCTTCAATCTGAGATTATTTCCTTCTACCTAAAGAACACCTTTTAGTATTTTCTATAGTGTGGTCCCCTGGTGATAAGTGTCTGAAATTTTTTTTTATTTTGCATCTGCTTTTAAAGAATAATTTTACAAGATATAGGACTGTAGACTGGCATTTATGTATGTATTTACTTATTTTTGAACTCTGAAGATATTCCATTTTCTTCTGGCCTTTATTATTTCCATTTAAAAGTCAAGGTAGTCTTTTTTCTTATACTGTTTCTAAAATATTTTCCTTTATCATAGGTTTTCAGCAGTTTTATTATAACATGCAGACTTGCATTTTTCTTATATTTATGCTCCTTGGGGTTCATACCACTTCTGGATCTGTGGCTTGATATCTTTCACTAATTTTAGAAAATTCTCAGTCATTGTCTTTTTTTTTCTATTTTTCCATAGGTTATTGGGGTGCAGGTCGTGTTCGGTTACATGAGTAAGTTCTTTAGTGGTGATCTGTGAGATTTTGGTGCACCCATCACCTGAGCAGTAATACACTGCACCCTATTTGTAGTCTTTTTTCCCTTGCCCTCCTCCCATTCTTCCCCCAAGTCCACAAGTCCATTGTATCATTCCTATGCCTTTGTGTCCTCTTAGCTTAGCTCCTACATATCAGTGAGAACATATGATGTTTGGTTTTTCATTCCTGAGTTACTTCACTTAGAGTAATAGTCTCCAATCTTATCCAGGTTGCTGCGAATGCCTTTGATTCATTCCCTTTTATGGCTGAGTAATATTCCATTGTGTATACATATATATATACACCACAGTTTCTTTATCTACTCATTGATTGATGGACATTTGGGTTGGTTCCACGATTTTGCAGTTGTGAATTGTGCAGCCACAAACATGCATGTACAAGTGTCTTTTTCATATAATAACTTCTTTTCCTCTAGGTGGATACCCAGTAGTGAGATTGCTAGATCAAATGGTAGTTCTAGTTCTTTAAGGAATCTCCATACTGTTTTCCATAGTGGTTGTACTAGTTTACATTCCCACCAGCAGTAGAAGTGTTCCCTGATCACTGCATCCATGCCTCAATCTACTGTTTTTTGATTTTTTTATTATGGCCATTCTTACAGGAGTAAGGTGGTATCACATTGTGGTTTTGATTTCCATTTCCCTGATCATTAATGATGTAGAGCATTTTTTCATATGTTTGTTGGCCATTTGTATATCTTCTTTTGAGAATTGTCTGTTCATGTCCTTAGCCCACTTTTTGACGGGATTGTTTGTTTTTTTCTTGCTGATTTGTTTGAGTTTGGGTTCTAGATTCTGGATATTAGTCCTTTCTCAAATGTATAGATTGTGAAGATTTTCTCCCACTCTGGAGGTTGTCTGTTTACTCTGCTGGCTGTTCCTTTTACCATGCAAAAGCTCTTTAGTTTAATTAAGTTCCAGCTATTTATCTTTGTTTTTATTGCATTTGCTTTTGGGTTCTTGCTCATGAAATCCTTGCCTAAGCCAATGTCTAGAAGGGGTTTTCCAATGTTATCTTCTAGAATTTTTATAGTTTCAGGTCTTATATATAAGTCATTAATCCCTCTTGAGTTGATTTTTGTAAAAGGTGAGAGATGAGGATCCTGTTTCATTCTCCTACATGTGGCTAGCCAGTTATCGCAGCACCATTTGTTGAAAAGGGTGTCCTTTCCCCACTTTATGTTTTTGTTTGCTTTGTCAAAGATCAGTTGGCTGTAAGTATTTGGGCTTATTGCTGGGTACTCTATTCTGTTCCATTGGTCTATGTGCCTACTTTTGTACCAGTACCATGCTGTTTTGGTGACTATGGCCTTAAAGTATAGTTTGAAATCAGGTAGTGTGATGCCTCCAGATTTGTTCTTTTTGCTTAGTCTTACTTTGGCTATGCAGGCTCTTTTTTGGTTCCATATGAATTTTAGAATTGTTTTTTCTAATTCTGTGAAGAATGACGATGGTATTTTGATGGGAATTGTGTTGAATTTGTAGATTGCTTTTGGCAGTATGGTCATTTTCTCAATATTGAGTCTACCTATCCATGAGCATGGGACGTGTTTCCATTTGTTTGTGTCATCTATGATTTATTTCACCAGGGTTTTGTAGTTTTCTTTGTAGAGGTCTTTCTCCTCCTCAGTTAGGTATATTCCTAGGTATTTTATTTTTTTGCAGCTATTGTAAAAGGGGTTGAGTTCTTGATTTGATTATCCGCTTGGTCACTCTTGGTATATAGAAGAGTTACCAATTTGTGTACATTAATCTTGTATCCAGAAACTGGTGAATTCTTTTAGCAGTTCTAGGAGCTTTCTGGAGGAGTCTTCAGGGTTTTCAAGGTAAACAATCATATTGTTAGCCAACATTGACAGTTTGACTTCCTCATCACCGATTTGGATGCCTTTTATTTCTTTCTCTTGTCTGATTGCCCTGGCTAGGACTTCCAGTACTATGTTGAAGAAGAGTAGTGAGAGTGGGCATCCTTGTCTTGTTCCAGTTCTCAGAGGGAATGCTTTCAACTTTTCCCATTCAGTATTATGTTGGCTGTGGGTTTGTCATAGATGGCTTTTATTACATTGAGGTATGTCTCTTGTTGCTGATTTTGCCAAGAGTTTTAATCTTAAAGGATGCTGGATTTGTCAAATGCTTTTTCTGCATCTATTGAAATGATCACATGATTTTTGTTTTTAATTCTGTTTATGTGGTGTATCACATTTATCAACTTGCATATGTTAAATCGTTTCTGCATTCCTGGTATGAAACCCACTTGATCATGGTGGATTATCTTTTTGATATGTTGTTGGATTTGGTTAGCTAGTATTTTGTTAAGGATTTTAGCATCTTTGTTCAGCAAGGATATCGGTCTATAGTTTTTCTTTTTTGGTTATGTCCTTCCCTGGTTTTGGTATTAGGGTGATGCTGGCTTCATAGAATGCATCAGGGAGGGTCCCTTCTTTCTCTATCTTGTGGAATAGTGTCAAAAGAATTGGTACCAATTCTTTGTCTGGTAGAATTCTGCTGTGAATCCGTCTGGTCCTGGACTTTTTTTTGTTGGTAATTTTTAAATTACCATTTCAATCTCCCTGCTTGTTATTGGTCTGTTCAGGGTATCTAATTCTTCCTGATTTAAGCTGAGGGTTGTATTTTTCCAGGAATTTATCCATCTCTTCTATGTTTTCTAGTATGTGAGTAAAGATGTTCATAGTAGCCTTGAATGATCATTTGTATTTCTGTGGTGTCAGTTGTAATATCTCCCATTTCATTTCTTAATGAGGTTATTTGGATTTTCTCTCTTCTTTTCTTGGTTAATCTTACTAATGGTCTGTCAATTTTATTTATCTTTTCAAAGAACCAGCTTTTTGTTTCATTTATCTTTTGTATTTGTTTGTTTGTTTGTTTCAGCTTCATTTAGTTCTGCTCTGATCTTGGTTATTTCCTTTATTCTGCTGGGTTTGGCTTTGGTTTGTTCTTGTTTCTCTAGTTCCTTGAGGTGTGACCTGAGAATGTCAGTTTGTGCTCTTTCAGTCTTTTTGATGTAGGCGTGTAGGGCTATGAAGTTTCCTCTTAGCACCTCCTTTGCTATATCCCAGAGATTTTGATAGGTTGTGTCGTTATTGTCATTCAGCTTGAAGAATTTTTTAATTTCCATCTTGATTTCATTTTTGACCCAATGATCATTCAGGAATAGGTTACTTAATTTCCATGTGTTTGCATGGTTTTGAAGGTTCCTTTTGGAGTTGATTTCCAGTTTGATTCCAGGGTGGTCTGACAGAGTGCTTAATATAATTTCATTTTTCTGGCCGGGCATGGTGGCTCACGCCTGTAATCCCAGCACTTTGGGAGTCCGAGGCAGGCAGATCACGAGGTCAGGAGATCGAGACCATCCTGGCTAACACGGTGAAACCCCGCCTCTACTAAAAATCCAAAAATACAAAAAATTAGCCAGGCGTGGTGGCGGGCGCCTGTAGTCCCAGCTACTTGGGAGGCTGAGGCAGGAGAATGGCGTGAACCTGGGAGGCGGAGCTTGCAGTGAGCCAAGGTTGCGCCATTGCATTCCAGCCTGGGCAACAGAGTGAGACTCCGTCTCAAAAAAAAAAAAAAAAAAAAAATATATATATATATATATATATATAATTTCATTTTTCTTAAATTTATTGAGGCTTGTTTTGTGGCCTATCATATGGTCTATCTTGGAGAAAGTCCCATGTGCTGTTGAATAGAATGTGTATTCTACAGTTCTTGGATGAAATGTTCTGTATATATCTGTTAAGTCCATTTGTTCTAAGGTATAGTTTAAATCCATTGTTTCTTTGTTGACTTTTCTGTCTTGATGACCTGTCTAGCGCTGTCAGTGGAGTATTAAAGTTCCCCACTCTTATTGTGTTGCCATCTATCTCATTTCTTAGATCTATTAGTACCTGTTGTATAGATTTGGGAGCTCCGGTGTTAGGTGCATATATGGTTAGGATTGTGATGTTTTCCAGGACAAGGCTTTTTAGCATTATATAATACCCCTCCTCCATGTCTCTTTTAACTGCTGTTGCTTTAAAGTTTGTTTTGTCTGATATAAGAACAGCTACTTCTGCTTTTGTTTTATCACATTAGCAGAGCTGATTTTCTGGTTCCTTCTCATTTGGTAGGCTCTGTCAGAGGGAAGGTCTAGAGCTGAAGGCTGTTCAGATTCTTTTGTCCCACAGGGTGTTCCCTTGATGTAGTATTCTCCCCCTTTCCTGTGAGCTGAGCTGCAGTGATTGCTATCTCTCTTCTGGGTCTAGC
Organism: Homo sapiens; assembly: GCF_000001405.40. Taxonomy (NCBI): domain Eukaryota; kingdom Metazoa; phylum Chordata; class Mammalia; order Primates; family Hominidae; genus Homo; species Homo sapiens. Next base: position 31,609,950 of record NC_000015.10, on the reverse strand, counting down.
CATCCAGCAAGTCTGCCCGGCTCTGGGCTGGTACTGGGGGTTGTCTGCACAAAGTCCTGTGATGTGAAGCATCTATGGGTCTCTCAGCGATGGATGCCAGCACCTGTTCCAGTGGAGGTGGCAGGGGGGTGAAATGGACTCTGTGAGCGTTCTTAGCTTTGGTGGTTTAATGTTCTGTTTTTGTGCCGGTTGGCCTCCTGACGGGAGGTAGCGCTTTCGAGAGAGCATCAGCTGTGCTAGTATGGAGAGGGACCAGCAGTGGGTGGGACCCTAGAACTCCCAAGAGTATATGCCCTTTGTCCTCAGCTACCAGAGGAGGTAGGGAAGGACCATCAATGGGGGGCAGGGCTAGGCGTGTCTGAGCTCAGACTCTCCGTTGGGTCTTGCTGTGCTGCGGCTGCTGTAGGGAATGGGGGTGAGGTTCCCAGGTCAATGGAGTTGTGTTCCTGGGAGGATTATGGCTGCCTCTGCTGAGTCATGCAGGCTGTCAGGGAAGTGGGGCAATTCGGTAGTCACAGGCCTCACCCAGCTCCCACACAATCTGAAGGGCCAGTCTCACTTCCACCGTGTGCCTGCTAACGGCACCAAGTTTGTTTCCTGGCAGTGGGCAAGCAAAGCTGAGAACTTACCCCAGGCTATCCACCTCCCAGATGCAAAAGAAAAGGGCTTTAGTTCCTCCCCATCCTGTGGAGGCTACACGTCAGATTCGCGCCTTCCCCTGAGTTCTGGCCAGGAGGCTCTTGCCCAGTTCAAATTGTTAAAAAGTTCAGCTTGAGACTTCCTTTTCCTTTGCCTCTGACTGCCCCCCGATCCCTGTGGTGACAGGCAAGAATGGCCTGCTTGGGGACCCAGTGAGCTCCCAGGGCCTTTCCCGCTGCCTCCTCTACCCCTGTATTTCGCTCAGCTCTCTAAATTGACTCTGCTCCAGGTAAGGTCAGAAACTTCTCCCACAAACTAGACCTTCAGTTTCCCCAGTGAGAGTGTGTGTTTGGGGGCAGAGGATTTCCCTTTCCTGCTTCTGCAGTTTGGGCACTCCCAGTATTTGGGGCATCTACCAGGTCCTGCAGGAGCAGTCTGCTTCTTTCAGAGGGTCTATAGATTCCTGGTTTATTCCTGCAGTCATTCTGGATCTAAAATTCATGATGCGAGCCTCCGCACGCTGCTCTGTTCTTCCAAGTTGGAGCTACAGTCTAGTCCTGCCTCATGTCCACCATTATCTTTTAAAATATTGCTTCTATCCCATCCTGTATATTCTTCCTTTCTGGAACTCAGCTACAGCTGGTCACTGACTTATGATAGTTCAACTTACGATTTTTCAACTTTATAATAGGCACTTACAGTATTTTTGATTTAGGATGGGTTTGTTGGGACATAACTCCATGGCAAGTTGAGGAGCTTCTGTGCACATGTGTCAAAAAGCCCCTTTCCCATGCTTATGTGTATGGTCTTGTGCTTTTAGCTCTCATTCCACACCTCCACCTCCCACTGTGTGTCTGTGTGTCTGCATGTCTGTAAGTCTGCTTCAAACAATATTTTCTTCTGAACTTATCTTTCACTTTATTTATTCTCTTTTCTTGATTGCCCAGTCAGCTCTTAACCATATGCACCGAGTTCTTATTTTTAGTTCATCTATTTTTCAGTTCTAGACTGGACTTATTTTTATGTTTCTCAATTCAATTCCCTGCCAAAATTCTTTTTTTTTCTTCTTTGAGATGGAGTCTCAGTCTCCAGGCTGGAGTGCAGTGCCACAATCTCAGCTCACTGCAACCTCCGTCTCCCGGGTTCAAGCGATTCTCCTGCCTCAGCCTCCCAAGTAGCTGGGACTACAGGCATGTGCCACCATGCGCAGCTAATTTTTGTATTTTTAGTAGAGACGGGGTTTCACCATGTTGGCCAGGATGGTCTCGATCTCCTGACCTCATGATCCGCCTGCCTCAGCCTCCCAAGGTGCTGGGATTACAGGCATGAGCCACTGCACCCAGCCCAAAATTCTTTAACATCTACCATATTAAATATAATTATTTTAGACTACAGTCATGCATCACTTAATGATGAGATACATTCTAAGAAATGCATTGTTAGGCAACTTCCCCATTGTGCAAACATCACAGAGTTCATTTACACAAACCTAGATGGTGCAGCCTACTACACACCTAGGCTATATGGTATAGCCTACTGTTCCTAGGCTACAAACCTGTACAGCATGTTACTGCACTCAGTACCGTAGGTAATTGTAACACAATACTAAGTATTTGTGCATGTAATCCTATATAAATATAGAAAAGGTAATACATTGCACTAGAACATTATGTCACCTTCAACATCACTAGGCAATAGGAATTTTTCAGCTCCATTTTAATCTTAAGGGACCACTGGTAATTTTAATTGGGTCTTGGATATTATATATTAAGATTTTGAGATATAATTTTAGGCTATGGGTGATTTTATTTTTTTTCCTGAGAAAGTGAAGTTTGCTTATTTTAGGCAACTGGGGTGAGGACATTAGTAATCCAAGGCCACTTTAAGCCAATCAGGTATTTAAGTAATTTGAAGCTGGCCTTGATTCCCTACTATGGCTAGTTTGTTTTTAGTTTACTCTCACTCTTGGGGTATAGCCCTTCAAGTTCCCAGCCAAAAGCCTGGGGTGTTGGCCAAGGTTTGTTCTTCATTGAGGGCCCTGAGTACTAGTTTCTATCTGCCCAGATCCATAAGACTTGTTAAAAGCTCTCTTCAGCTCCTCAGCCTCTCAGCCACTGCTTTTGTCACTGGCAATATTCCCAATGGGGAAAGTAACTCCAAATGCTAGTTTATCTCTCTTGTCTCTAATCCTCTCCTAGTTCTCAGCTTAACATTCCTCACTGCCTTTATACTCTCTGATGTCATCAAACAGATCTCTTTCTTATATTTTGCCATGTTTCCTAGTTATTCCAGTGTCAGTATTGTTGTAAAACAACCTACTCCACCATTTCCAGAAGCGAAACTCCCCAGGGCAGTTTGAATTTGTTTACTGTGCTATCACTGATAAACACTTACTTCATTGCTGGAATAAGCGGACAGTAGTAGTTTTGTGTATGAAAATTTTTATGAAAGAATTCTAAACTGATTTATATGATATATAATGTCAGCATTATATAACTAATCTTGAAATAAAATGTTATTACTTAACTCACACATGAAAAAAAGTGTTTGTAAATATTACCCATTTAATGCCTAGAGGGTATCTGGTTTTGCCAATTGAATAAAGGGCTGCTGACTTCCAAAACAGAAGTCGTGCGTTAGACAGTTAATGTGACAGATGTTGACATCAGCTTTGTAGTGTTACAGTTTACACAGATGAATTTGGTGCAGGATGTGTAATTCCATTACTGTCTGACTTAGTACATATTTGCAGTATAGGGATTTTTTTCAACGTCATGAACACAGATGATCTGCTATTGTTTACATTTTACTAGTCATACTAAAAAATCCAGTTAACTTTGTTATTCATCCATTTCTGACTAATTTATTTTAAACAACTCCAAAAGCCACCAATACTAAGAAGTGACTCCCATGTTGGGAATGTAACATTTTTCAAGCTACTAACTCTGTGCACGGTCACGTGTGTGTTCATAACGGAGGCCTCTGAAACCTACCTCAGTTCTGCACCACTTCGTCTCTCCCTCCCCTGAGGCTAAAGCATACCTGCCAGAGCTTTGCACATGAAGATGGTAAAATAGTTAAACAAAGTTTCACAACAACCCTGCATATCTAGCAAGAGTTGTTTATGTGAAATATAGGTTATTCTGCATTTACACTGAGCTAAAAATTGCAAGCAAAGAGCAACTATGATGGGGATGTGAGGCCACATGCAGATCACTGGATCCAAACCAGAGACATTGGTTGAAGGTCATCTAGCTGTTTAATTTTGGTTGTGGTAAATTAGGTTTGTTTTTAATAATGTTCTTCTAAAATGGAAACTGGACTCCAAGAGTATACAGAAAGGCCTGTTGATGTTGGCATTTGTGGTTTCCCCACAGGCTCCAGCAGAAATGGTTCACTGGTTAGAATGGGAGCTCTGTCCTTTGTCACTCCCTGTCCACGGGCACAGTGGCACAGTCTCCCCGGTGGCTGGAGAGAGGGCGTGGAAAGAGCAGAGTCTGCTCAGGAGTAGAGAGGCCAGCTTTTGCATGCAGCACTGTAGCGATGTCACAGGAATGCAGTCACTGGAGTTGCTTACGTAACCAACAGTCTGTGTGGCCTGAGGCATAGATTAAGCCATTTAAGAAAATGAGTCTGAAAAAATAACTGATTGTTCTCTGCTTTAATCGATTTGTTCCATGATTGCAGGCTACATTGGAAAGTGAGCACGGAGGCGCCCCCTAATGGCTTTGCCCAATAGGAAGCCCCTCACAGCCAGGGAAGTTTCCATGCTGTTAGTTGGAGCCACTCCTTGCCCTACCCAGTTAGGATGCAGGCCCAGAGGCCACCAAGGAGAATCAGCCGTCCACCCACCCCAGAGGGCCCAGGGTGATGTTTCAGAGGAGAGAACTCAGGTGCCAAATGCCTGTGGTCCCATGTGACCAGATGCGTGGCCACTGTCCCCAGCACACCCCTGTGTGTCCAGAGTGGCCCCCACATTCCTTTGATGCAGGGTCCTTGATGTCTGTGGCTGCGATAGAGGGAGCCAGAATGATGGAGAGCCTCAGGCTGTGCACACATAACCCAACACACACCTGCCACACACATGCCACATAACATATTTACCACCCATTCCCCCTGCACACCCACACGCACCGATTCTACACAGCACAGAGAGAGTAAGTTCTAACTCCCACCCAAAATGCAAATTATCTCATCAAAAGCAAACTAAAATCAAATACAAAAGCAAAGAAACAAACAGCTGTGGAAGGCCCTACTTTCTCCTGGCCTGGCCATGCGTCCTAGCCACACTGCACCCAGAGCAGAGCCTTTGTTCCGCCCTGTGCCTCCCGGGCTGCTCTGCTCGTCGTGCCTCTTGCTTGTAGAAGCTTCTGGCTCCCTGGTGGCTCAGTTAGACCCGGAGTCTCATGCAGGACCTCCTTTCCAGTCCAATAGCCAGTCTGGACTCCAGGGCACAGAGGTGAGGGGCACAGCTTTGCCACAAGCCCTGAGCACACTTGCCCATCTTGTTGAGCTTCTCACCCCACCCTGCCCTGGAAGTCCTCCCCTGGGCTCCTGAGTGGGAGCCACAGGTTGTCCTCTGACCCACTTCTCTGGCCACATGCATGAGCCAGTTACTAACTTAATGCACTTTATGTAAAGGCACTGCTCTAGCAGCTATTTGCAAGTATTTTTGTGAAGCAGCTGAATATAGTTTTCTTTCTTTTTTTGTTATACTTTAAGCTCTGGGGTACATGTGCAGAATGTGCAGAATGTGCAGTTGTGTTACACAGGTATACACGTGCCATGGTGGTTTGCTGCACCCATCAACCCGTCATCTACATTAGGTATTTCTCCTAATGCTATCCCTCCCTTGGCCCCCCACCCCTCAACAGGCCCCGATGTGTGATGTTCCCCTCTGTGTGTCCATGTGTTCTCATTGTTCAACTCCCACTTATGAGTGAGAAAATGCGGTGTTTGGTTTTCTGTTCTTGTGTTAGTTTGCTGATAATGATGGTTTCCGGCTTCATCCATGTCCCTGCAAAGGACATGAACTCATCCTTTTGTATGGCTGCATAGTATTCCATGATGTATATGTGCCACATTTTCTTTATCCAGTCTATCATTGGTGGACATTTGGGCTGGTTCCAAGTCTTTGCTATTGTGAATAGTGCCACAATAAACATATGTGTCCATGTGTCTTTATAGTAGAATGATTTATAATCCTTTGGGTATATACCCAGTAATGGGATTGCTGGGTCAAATGGTATTTCTAGTTATAGATCCTTGAGGAATCGCCACACTGTCTTCCACAATGGTTGAACTAATTTACACTCCCACCAACAGTGTAAAAGTATTCCTGTTTCTCCACATCCTCTCCAGCATCTGTTGTTTCCTGATTTTTTAATGATCGCCATTCTAACTGGTGTGAGATGGTATCTCATTGTGGTTTTGATTTGCATTTCTCTAATGAGCAGTGATGATGAGCTTTTTTTCATATGTCTGTTGGCCACATAAATGTCTTCTTTTGAGAAGTGTCTGTTCATATAATTTGCCCACTTTTTGGTGGGGTTGTTTGTTTTTTCTTGTAAATTTGTATAAGTTCTTTGTAGATTCTAGATATTAGCCCATTGTTAGATGGAAAGATTACAAAAATGTTCTCCCATTCTGTAGGTTGCCTGTTCACTCTAATGATAGTTTCTTTTGCTGTGCAGAAGCTGTTTAGTTTAATTAGATCCCATTTGTCAATTTTGGCTTTTGTTGCCATTACTTTTGGTGTTTTAGACCTGAAGTCTTTGCCCGTGCCTATGTCCTGAATGGTATTCCCTAGGTTTTCTTCTAGGATTTTTATGGTTTTAGGTCTTACGTTTAAGTCTTTAATTCATCTTGAGTTAATTTTTGTGTAAGGTGTAAGGAAGGGGTCCAGTTTCAGTTTTCTGCATATGGCTAGCCAGTTTTCCCAACACTATTTATTAAATAGGGAATCCTTTCCCCATTGCTTGTTTATGTCTGGTTTGTCAAAGATCAGATGGTTGTAGAAGTGTGGTGTTAACTTCTGAGGTTTCTGTTCTCTTCCATTGGTCTATATATCTGTTTTGGTACCAGTGCCATGCTGTTTTGGTTATTGTAGCCTTGTAGTACAGTTTGAAGTCAGGTAGCGTGATGCCCCCAGCTTTGTTCTTTTTGTTTAGGATTGTCTTGGCTATGTGGGCTCTTTTTTGGTTCCATATGAAGTTTAAAGTAGTTTTTTCCAATTCTGTGAAGAAAGTCAGTGGTAGCTTGATAGGGATAGCATTGAATCTATAAATTACTTTGGGCAGTATGGCCATTTTCATGATATTGTTTCTTCCTATCCATGAGCATGGAATGTTTTTCCATTTATTTGTGTCCTCTCTTATTACCTTGAGCAGTGGTTTGTACTTCTCCTTGAAGAGGTCCTTCACATCCCTTGTAAGTTGTGTTACTAGATATTTTATTCCCTTAGTAGCAATTGTGAATGGGAGTTCACTCATGATTTGGCTATTATTGGTGTATAGGAATGCTTGTGATTTTTGCACATTGATTTTGTATCCCGAGATTTCGCTGAAGTTACTTATCAGCTTAAGGAGATTTAGGGCTGAAATGGTGGGGTTTTCTAAATATACAATCATGTTATCTACAAACAGAGACAATTTGACTTCCTCTTTTCCTATTTGAATACCCTTTATTTCTTTCTCTTGCCTGATTACCCTGGCTAGAACTTCCAATACTATGTTGAATAGGAATGGTGAAGAGGGCATCCTTGTCTTGTGCTGGTTTTCAAAGGGAATGCTTCCAGTTTTTGCCCATTCAGTATGATGTTAGCTCTGGGTTTGTCATAAATAGCTCTTAATATTTTGAGATATGTTCCATTGATACCTAGTTTATTGAGAGTTTTTACCATGAAGGGGTGTTGAATTTTGTCGAAGGCCTTTTCTGCATCCATTGAGATAATCATGTGGTTTTTGTCATTGGTTCTGTTTATGTGATGCATTACATTTCTTGATTTGCGTATGTTGAACCAGCCTTGCATCCCAGGGATGAAGCCCACTTGATCATGGTGGATAAGCTTTTTGATGTGCTGCTGGATTCGGTTTGCCAGTATTTTATTGAGGATTTTTTCATTGATGTTCATCAGAGATATTGCCCTGAAATTTTCTTTTTTTGTTGTGTCTTTGCCAGGTTTTGGTATCAGGATGATGCTGGCCTCATAAAATGAGTTAGAGAGGACTCTCTCTTTTTCTATTGATTGGAATAGTTTCAGAAGGAATGGTACCAGCTCCTCTTTGTACCTTTGGTAGAATTCGGCTGTGAATCTATCTGTTCCTGGACTTTTTTTGGTTGGTAGGCTATTAATTACTGCCTCAATTTCAGAACTTGTTATTGGTCTATTCAGGGATTTGACTTCTTCCTGGCTTAGACTTGGGAGGGTGTATATGTCCAGGAATTTATCCGTTTCTTCTAGATTTTCTACTTTATTTGCATAGGAGTGTTTATAGTATTCTCTGGTAGTTTGTATTTCTGTGGGATCAGTGGTGATATCCCCTTTATCATTTTCCATTGTGTGTATTTGAGTCTTCTCTCTTTTCTTCTTTATTAGTCTGGCTAGCGGTCTATTTTGTTGATCTTTTCAAAAAACTAGCTCCTGGATTCATTGATTTTTTTTAAAGGGTTTTTTGTGTCTCTATCTCCTTCAGTTCTGCTCTGATCTTAGTTTTTTCTTGTCTTCTGCTAGCTTTTGAATTTGTTTGCTCTTACTTCTCTAGTTCTTTTAATTGTGATGTTAGGGTGTCGATTTTAGATCTTTCCTGCTTTCTCTTGTGGGCATTTAGTGCTATAAATTTCCCTCTACACACTGCATTAAATGTGTCCCAGAGATTCTGGTACGTTGCGTCTGTTCTCATTGGTTTCAAAGGACATCTTTATGTCTGCCTTCATTTCATTATTTACCCAGGAGTCATTCAGGAGCAGGTTGTTCAGTTTCCATGTTGTTGTGCAGTTTTGGGTGAGTTTCTTAATCCTGAGTTCTAATTTGATTGCACTGTAGTATGAGAGACTGTTTGTTATGATTTCCATTGTTTTGCATTTGCTGAGGAGTGTTTTACTTCCAATTATGTGGTCAGTTTTAGAAAAAGTGCGATGTGGTGCCGAGAAGAATGTATATTCTGTCGATTTGGGGTGGAGAGTTCTGTATGTGTCTATTAGGTCTGCTTGGTCCGGAGCTGAGTTCAAGTCCTGAATGTCCTTGTTAATTTTCTGTCTCAGTGATCTGTCTAATATTGGCAGTGGGTTGTTAAGGTCTCCCACTGTTATTGTGTGGGAGTCTGAGTCTCTTTGTAGGTCTCTAAGAACTTGCTTTGTGAATCTGAGTGCTCCTGTATTAGGTGCATATATATTTAGGATAGTTAGCTCTTCTTGTTGCCTTGATCACTTTACCACTATGTAATGCCCTTCTTTGTCTCTTTTGATCTTTGTTGGTTTAAAGTCTGTTTTATCAGAGACTAGGATTGCAACCCCTGCTTTTTTTTGCTTTCCATTTGTTGATAAATATTCCTCCATCCCTTTATTTTGAGTCTGTGTGTGTCTTTGCATGTGAGATGGGTCTTCTGAATACAGCACACTGATGGGTCTTGACTCTTTATCCAATTTGCCAGCCTGTGTCTTTTAATTAGGGCATTTAGCCCATTTACATTTAAAGTTCATATTGTTATGTGTGAATTTGATCCTGTCATTATGATGCTAGCTGGTTATTTTGCTCGTTGGTTGCTGCAGTTTCTTCATAGTGTTGATGGTCTTTACAATTTGGTATGTTTTTGCAGTGGCTGGTACCGGCTGTTCCTTTCCATGTTTAGTGCTTCCTTCAGGAGCTCTTGTAAGGCAGGCCTGGTGGTCACAAAATCTCTCAGCATTTGCCTGTCTGTAAAGGATTTTATTTCTCCTTCACTTATGAAGCTTAGTTGGGCTGGATATGAAATTCTGGGTTGTGTTGAGTAGGGTTTCTGCAGAAAGATCCACTGTTAGTCTGATGGGCTTCCCTTTGTGGGTAACCTGGCCTTTCTCTCTGGCTGCCCTTAACAGTTTTTCCTGCATTTCAACCTTGGTGAATCTGACGATTATGTATCTTGGGATTATGTGTCTTGGGGATGCTCTTCTCGAGGAGTATCTTTGTGGTGTTCTCTGTATTTCCTGAATTTGAATGTTGGCCTGCCTTGCTAGGTTGGGGAAGTTCTCCTAGATAATATCCTGAAGAGTGTTTTCCATCTTGGTTCCATTCTCCCCATCACTTTCAGGTATATCAGTCAAATGTAGATTTGGTCTTTTCACATAACCCCATATTTCTTGGAGGCTTTGTTCATTCCTTTTCATTCTTTTTTCTCTAATCCTGTCTTCTTGCTTTATTTCATTAATTTGATCTTCAATCTCTGATATCCTTTCTTCCGCTTGATCGACTCGGCTATTGATATTTGTGTATGCTTCACGAAGTTCTTGTGCTGTGTTTTTCAACTCCATCAGGTCATTTATGTTCTTCTCTAAACCAGTTATTCTAGTTAGCAATTCGTCTAACCTTTTTTCAAGGTTCTTAGCTTCCTTGCATTGGGTTAGAATATGTTCCTTTAGCTCAGAGGGGTTTGTTATTACCCACTTTCTGAAGCCTACCTCTGTCAATTTGCCAAACTCATTCTCTGTCCAGTTTTGTTCCCTTGCTGGCGAGGAGTTGTGATCCTTTGGAGGAGAAGAGGCGTTCTGGTTTTTGGAATTTTCAGCCTTTTTGCGCTGGTTTCTCCCCATCTTCATGGATTTATCTACCTTTGGTCTTTGATGTTGGTGACCTTTGGATGGGATCTCTGAGTGAATGTGCTATTCCTTTCTGTTTGTTAGTTTTCCTTCTGACAGTCAGGCCCCTCTGCTGCAGGCCTGCTGGAGTTTGCTGGAGGTCCACTCCAGACCCTGTTTGCCTGGGTATTACCAGCAGAGGCTGCAGAATAGCAAAGATTGCTGCCTGTTCTTTCCTTTGGAAGCTTCCTCCCAGAGGGGCATCCACCAGATGCCAGCCAGAGCTCTCCTGTATGAGGTGTCTGTTGGCCCCTCCTGGGAGGTGTCTCCCAGTCAGGATACACAGGGGTCAGGGACCCACTTGAAGAGGCAGTCTGACCCTTAGCAGAACTCAAACGCTGTGCTGGGAGGTCCACTGCTCTCTTCAGAGCCGTCAGGCAGGGATATTTAAGTCTGCTGAAGCTGCGCCCACAGCCACCCCTTCCCCCAGGTGCTCTGTCCCAGGGAGATGGGAGTTTTATCTATAAGTCCCTGACTGGGGCTGCTGCCTTTTTTTTTAGAGATGCCCTGCCCAGAGAGGAGGAGTCCAGAGGCAGTCTGGCCACGGCGGCCTTGCTGAGCTGTGATGGGCTCCACCCAGTTCGAACTTCCCTGCGGCTTTGTTTACACTGTGAGGGTAAAACCACCTACTCAAGCCTCAGCAATGGCAGACGCCCCTCCCCCTACCAAGCTCAAGTGCCCCAGGTCGACCTCAGACTGCTGTGCTAGCAGCGAGAATTTCAAGCCAGTGCATCTTAGTTTGCTGGGCTCCATGGGGGTGGGACCCACTGAGCCAGACCACTTGGCTTCCTGACTTCAGCCCCATCTCCAGGAGAGTGAACTGTTCTGTCTCTCTGGTGTTCCAGGCACCACTGGGGTATGGAAAAAAAAACCTCCTGCAACTAGTTTGGTGTCTGCCTGAACGGCTGCCCAGTTTTGTGCTTGAAACCCAGGGCCCTGGTGACATAGGCACTGGAAGGAATCTCCTGGTCTGCAGGTTGCAAAGACCATGGGAAAAGTGCAGTATCTGGGCCGGAGTGTGCATAGTTCCTCAGGCTCAGTCCCTCACGGCTTCCCTTGGGTAGGGGAGAGAATTCCCCGACCCCTTGTACTTCCTGGGTGAGGCGACGCCCTGCCCTGCTTCGGCTCGCCCTCTGTGGGCTGCACCCACTGTCCAACCAGTCCCAATGAGATGAACCTGTACCTCAGTTGGAAATGCAGAAATCACCTGCCTTCTGCGTCGATCTCACTGGGAACTGCACACTGGAGTTGTTCTTATTCAACCATCTTGCCATCAATCTGAATATAGTTTTCAACTGAAATCTTAGGGCGTGCCCACATGTCAAATAGGTGGAACTTCGCTGGCTGACTGCGAGCGGAGAGCCAGAGCCTCCCCTAACCTAGGGGCAACATCACCACCACAGAACTCCCAGGCTCTCCCGGACCAGGCTCCCTTGGCCATCATATAAACCTCCAGGGCCACTCAGCCCATCTCAGCCCTGGCCACAGGGGACTGGAAACACGCTGCTCTTCCTGTCTGAAAACTCGAAAGTTCCCACTGCTTTTACTCACACCCACAGCCGGTCATCAGAAATCCTGCTGGCTCCCCTCAGAAGCCCAGCAGCCCCTCTATGGGGGTCCACAGCCCAGGCTCTATGCCCCTTGCCTTGCCCACTGCTTCTACTTTTCAGACAGCAGCCAGAGCCAAATATAAAATAGAAGTCATTCAGTTTCTCCAAAAACAAGAAGGGCTGGGCAGGGTGGGGTACTGCTGGAAGCTGATTGGGGTTGTACTGAATCTCTGAGGACCTAGGGGAGGACAGTCCTCCAGAAGAGAGCTGGAGGGCTTGCAGGCCCTGACTTCCAGCTAAAGTGATTGGGTAATATGAGCATACACAGAGACCGTGTATCCCAGAACAGGATGGAGTCCAGAGAGAGGCCTGCACCAAGGGCAAGGGGAAGAAAGGAAAGTCTTTTCAACAAAGGTGCTGAAACAACTGTAAAATGGTATGTTAAAAAAAAAAAAAGGAGGGCCTTGACGCTCTGCCTCCTACCATGCATACGAATTACTTCAAGGCAGGTTAGGCCTAAATGTAAAAACAAAACCTAAAAAGCTTCTAGAAGAAGGCATGGAGGGAAAATCTTCATGAACTTGGAGTTGGCAAACATGTTTTAGAGAGGCCAAAAAAGGGCTATGGAAAGGAAGACAAATGATGAATTGAATTTCACCAAAACAAAAAATTTTGGTTCATCAAAAGACACTTAAAATAAATAGGCTGGGTACAGTGGCTCACACCTATAATCCCAGCACTTTCAGAGGCCAAGGCCGGCAGATTACTTGAGCTTAGGAATTCCAGACCAGCCTGGGCAACATGGCAAAACTCTGTCTCTACAAAAAAAAGAAAAAAAACTAGCCAGGTATGATAGCATGCACCTGTGGTCCCAGCTACTTGGGAGGCTGAGGCAGGAGGATTACTTGAGCCCGGGAAGCAGAGGTTTCAGTGAGCTAAGATCATGCCACTGCACTCCAGCCTGGGTAATAGAGTAAAACCATGTCTTAATAAATAAAATAAAATAAATAGGTAAGCCACAAACTGGGAAATAATATTCATAAAACATGTATCTGATAGAGCACTTGTATCTAGAATGAATAAATTACAACCACAAATTAATTATAAAAATACAAACAATAGAAAAGTGAGCAAAAGACTTAAAAACAGAAAAGAAGAAGATACATGAATTACCAGTAAGCACATGAGGAAATTTTCATATTAGTCATCAGGCAAATAGAAATTAGAACCACAATGAGATATCACTGCACACCCACCAAAACAAAAAAAAATTAAGAATGCTGACAATACGAAGTATTAGAATGATGTGGAAAAATAGAACTTTCCAATGTTACAAAGGCAAAATAATAAAACCACTTTGGGAAACAGTTTGGTGGTTTCTTACAAAATTAAAAATACATTTAAGCCCTTAACCCAGCAATTCTACTCTTGGATATTAACTAAAGAAAAATGAAAACATATGTCCACAAAAAGACTTACTGGAATGTTCGTAGCAGCTTTACTTATAATCACACAAACCTAGAAGTAACGCACATATCCCTCAGCGAGTGAATAGGTGAATTCACTGCAGCGCATCCGCACAGTAGATAGTACTCAATGGTTAAAAGCAGTGAACTACTGATGCATGCTGCAACACAGATGAAACTAGAGACCTTATTCTGAGCACACCAGGAGAGACACGGAAGACACTTACTGCATGATTCCATTTATATGGAGCTCAAGAGCACAGGGGCCATGTAGAAGACAAGATTCTACAGATGTCCCTCAAGATTCCTGTTCCCTGACATTCAGCCAAACACTGCTCTGGTTACCACTGCGAAGGGACTTTGCAGATGGAATTCAGGTCGCTAATCAGGTGACTTTAAAATAGATTATCCTGGATTATCTAGGTGGGCCCAAGGTAATATCAAGGGCTTTTAGAAGCAAAAGAGGAAGACACAGGGCCCTGAGAGAAGAGGAAGAAGAGGTCACCGAGACTTGAAGTATAAAGGGGACTCCATCAGTCATTGCTGGCTTGGGGATGGAGAAAGGGGCCACAAGCCAAGGAACATAGGTGGTGTCTGGACACTGACAGTGACCTCCAGCTGACAGCCTGCAAGGAAACAGGGACTCAGTGCTACAGCCAGCCACCTGGAACAGGGTCCTGGCACACCTGAAGGAGGCTGGAAGCCAATTCTCTTTCAAGCCTCCAGGAGGGACCACGGCTCTGCTGACACCTCTTCAGCCTTGTAAGACTCAGAGCAGAGAAGCCAGCTGAGCCTACTGGACATCCAGCCTACAAAACTGTGAGATAGTAAATTTGCACTGTTTTAAGCTACTATGTGTGTGATACTTTGTAGGAAATGATGCCAGAGGGATTGGCTGGGAGGGGCATGGGGCCATCTGATGTGATGAACTTGATGTAGCCGTGATCTACTTGATCATGCTAGTGGTTACAGTGATGTGCACACTTGAAGAAGTTCACCCAGCTGGGCACAGCTCTGGGCATTCATTCTACCATGTACAAATTATCCAGACATAAAAGAGAATAAAACCCTGTCATTTGCAGCAACGTGTGTGGAACTGGAGGTAATTGTGTAAGTGAAACAAGCCAAGCACAGAAAGATACATTTTAAAACTTTTAATTAAATGAAAGACTGTGAGAACATTTCTGCAGCTAAGAATCTGCCAATGGTCTGGTCTCTTCCAAGGTAAAATCTTGCGTCCTTACCATGGCCCCATGCTGCACACTCCAGGCACAGGCTTCCCTGTCCAACTCATCGATAGACTCTACAGCCACACAGGCCCAGGGCACAGTTTGACCGTGATGTTCTAATGACCAAGAATGCTGCCCTCCAAATAGCCACATCACTCCCTTCCTCATTTCTTCAGATGTCTGTCCTGAAGTCATCTTATTAGGGAACTGTTTGGTGCCTGAGTATTAAAACAGCACACAGTAGGTGCCCCCTGAATCTCTGATGAATGCTTGAACATGGTTCCTGGGTGGACACAGTCCCCCTGATGCATGCAGGTCACTGAGGGATGCAGTCTCCTGGGAAGACAAGTGCTCCTGGGTGGACAGGGCCTCCCAGCCCTCAGGCTCACACAGCACAGTGGGTTCTGCACCTGCACCCATCCCTGTCACCACCCTCATCTGCTTCTCCTGGGTACCCAGCCTTCTGCACCAGGCAACCTGGGAAGAGCGGGGCAGGCACTGCTCACCCAAATTCTGATCCCTCCATGAGTGGGGGCTCATTATTTTGTAGACATAGAGATCCAGCAGGATTTCATTGAATCTGAACAAGCAGGAAATTTCCTAGGACAAGCAGCCTTTTTCTGTCATTTGTGTAGGCTGGTTGGCCACCCACGCCAGCTCTCTAACTGTGCTCTGGGCTTGATGACCTGGCCAGGGTGTGAGGCCTGGACCCTGGTGGCTTGCAGCAGACTCCACTGCTAACCCTGGCATACACAGACACTGTGGGAAGGAAGCGAGTGGACTTCCTGGTAAAATAAGATGGAAAGAGCTAGAAGGCTTTCTTTAGAAGTGACAAATTAAGCTCCTCCTGGAAGCCAGATTGGAAAACACTCAAGAGACATGAAGTGATTTATTTCTCATGTCTTTGGGATTTAGTTTTATTTCAGTTTTAAAAAGGTGCCTCGGGAATTTTTAACTGAAACGATTTAACTGAAAGGAATGGATTTCTTTCTTAAGTACCGTGCAGATCTCAGAACCAGGGTGCAGAGTGCCTGGTAAATCCCACATGAGAAGGCTGCTGTCACTCTCAGCAAGCATACTTTAATTTTTAGGACTGAATTCATTTTGACAGTTGGCTTCACTGTCTTTGATATTTTTATGAAAATCAGTATTTCAATTCCTTTTTAAGAACCATTTTAAGGTTAAAGGCCAGGAGACCTTACTTTGGTGAATGAAGTTAACGGTGTTGCTGATTTCAGTAAGTAGCTTTTTAGGCTGTCTAGAAAGATGATTGGGCTCAGTGAGAAGATTGACTTGCAAGTTAACTCTGGCTTTCTGCAGCATGACGTTTTATTCCAACAGGTTCCCACCTGCACTGAGGCAATAGTAGAAACACTGTTGCTTACACATCGGGGGAATGGCAGAGAGTGGGGCTGAGTAGAAATGAATATAGCCACTGAATTCATTTATTTCTCTTTAAAATCAACTTATATGTTTTTTAAAAATTCATCTGACACTTTGAAATGAAATTATATATTTTCTAAAAGTCCCCCCCGCTGGACTATCATTTTGGTCCTCTCTGGTCCCGCCCTACAGCCCAGCCCCGCTGACCTCCTGTTGTATACATGAGCCAGAGGTGGCCTCCATGTCCTGGCCCCTAGGCTGGTGGACCCATTCACTGCAGACCCATTTGCTGAAAGTCTGCCCGCCCCAAATTCAAGTTTTTACATATCCAGTTGTTTTAAACATAGGCCAATTATAAGCAGAGTTTTCGCCACGGAGAGCCTGCCAGCTTTGCATCCAGCATGAAACCTCCCCAGCATCCACTGCCCACTGGTAAGATAGAGCCTTGTGTCTATAAAGCCCCGAGATGCTGCTGCCCTCAGAGCTCTGACCCCGAGACCCCACTTCTGAGTGACATCACCTGGGCACGTGTCTCAGTCTAGGCTCTCTGGTGAAACAGAACCAATAGGAGATGTAGGTCCTGTGTGCAGTCATGTGCCACATAATGACTTTGAAGTCAATGATCGACTGCATATTCCATGGTGGTCCCATAAGGTTACAGTGGAGCTGAAAAATTCCTATCACCGAATGACATTGTAGCTGTCATGTATTTGCAGGGATGCTGCAAATAAATCTACTGTGCTGCCATTTGTATAAAAGTCTAGCACATACAACTATGTACAGTACATAATACTTGATAACAAATGACTATGTAATGGGTTTATGTATTTACTATGCTATACTTTTTATCATCATTTTAGAGTGCATGCCTTCTATATATATATATATACATATATATATACACGTGTATATATACATATATATATATATATATATATATATATATATTTTTTTTTTTTTTTTTTTTTTTTTTGAGACAGAGCCTTGCTCTGTCACCCAGGCTGGAGCGCAGGGGCACGATCTCGGCTCACTGCAAGCGCCGCCTCCTGGGTTCACGCCATTCTCCTGCCTCAGCCTTGCAAGTAGCTGGGACTACAGGCGCTCATCACCAAGCATGGCTAATTTTTTGTATTTTTAGTAGAGATGGGGTTTCACCATGTTAGCCAGGATGTTCTCGATCTCCTGACCTCGTGATCTGCCCGCCTCAGCCTCCCAAAATGCTGGGATTACAGGCGTGAGCCACCGCGCGGCCCTACTTATATATTTTTTTAAAGTTAATGTAAAATGGCCTCAGGCAGGTCCTTCAGGAAGTGTTCCAGAAGAAGACATTGTTATAAGAGATGGCAGCTCCATGCATGTCACTGCCCCTGAAGACCTACCAGTGGGACAGGATGTGGAGGTGGAGACACTGATACGGATGATCCTGACCCTGTGTGGGCCTAGGCTAAGAAAAAATGTTTAATTTTTTTTTTAAAAAAAGATTATAGAATAAGGATATAAAGAAAGAAAATATTTTTGTGCTGTTGTACATATGTTTGTATTTTAGTCTAAGTGTTAGTAACACTTTGTAATACAGGAGTCAAAAAGTTTTAAAAATTTATAAAATAAAGTAAGCTAAGTTTAATGTATTGTTGAGAAAGAAAAAATTAAATTAGTATAGCCTACTTGTACAGTGTTTCTGAAGTCTACAGTAGTGTACAGTAATGTCCTGGCCTTCACATTCACTCACCTCTCACTCACTGACTCATCCAGGGTAACTCCCAGTCCTGTAAGCTCCATTCATGGTAAGTGCCCTGTGCAGGTGTACCATTTTTTATTTTTTATACCATATTTTTACTGTACTTTTTTATTTTTAGACATGTTTAGATGCACAAATACTTACCATTATGTTACAGTTGCCTACAGTATTCAGTACAGTTATATGCTGTGCAGGTTTGTAGCCTAGGAGCAGTAGGCTGTACACAGAGCCTAGGTGTGTAGTAGTCTATGCCATCTAGGTTTGTGTAAGTGCCTTGGTGATGTTCGTTCGCACAATGATGAAATCGCCTAGTGATGCATTTCTCAGTAGGTATTTCCATTGTTAAGTGGCACATGAATGTGCAGTATGCACACATATCCATACATGTTTGTGTGTGAGTGTGCATGTACATGTATATTATAGAGAGAGTGGGGGAGAGAGACAGACCTATTATAAGGAATTGACCCATGAGGTTATGGAAGCTGAGAAGTCTCACGACCTGCAGTCAGCATGCTGGAGAACTGGGAGAGCTGGGGGTGTAAGTTCCAGCTGAGTCCAAGGCCAGCTCGATGACAGTCAGGCAGAGAGAGTGAGTTTCCTCTTATTTAGCCTTTTGTTCTACTCAGCCCTTCCGTGGATTAGATGAGGCCCATCCATGTTGGGGAGGGCAATGTGCGTTGCCCAGTTTACAAATCAAAATTAAATGTTCATCTCATCCAGAAATACCCTCACAGATACACCTCGAGTAATGTCTGAGCAAATGTCTTGTCTAGGTAAGCTCCTGCTCTGAGGATGTGCCCCTTCCCCATGTATCCGCTGCAGACCACTCCAAGCTCTCCCAGTTAAGCTTGTGCATGCCGCTGCCTGCTTGTGGTCTCATCTCTTTTCCTTGTTAAGCCACCAAATCTCTCAAACTCCCAACACCTCTATGCAGATGGTGGTTTTGCAAGCCTCTGAGCCTTTCTATGTTCTATGCCCCATATTGCCCTCCCTCTTCCTCTCCCGGGAAGCTTCCACTCCTCGCTCACAAATAGCAGGATGTGTCAGCCCTTGTGCAGACCCCCTGGCTCCTCTGCAATACCTCTCAGTCATCCCAGTCCATGACAGTTGTTCCCATGTCTGTCTTACCTCTTACTCTGTTAGCCTCTTAAGAAGCACATACGCATCTTTATTCATATCCATGCTATCAGCACCCAAGGATGCCTGCACGTACAGGGAGCCTCGTGGGGGTATGCTCAGTGAATCCATGGCCACAAGCCAGCCAGCCTTCCCTAAGGCACAGCATGGAGCACTTCCTTTTCTGTAGCTATAGGCTGTTCAGTTTAGCTATTTCTTCAGCTGCCATGAAAACGCTTTTACCATATATTTGCATCATTGTTTAGATTAATTGTATTCTGAGTACAGAGAACCCAAGCATCTGGAAATACTTAAGAATTCACTTTGTTTATAAGATATGGAGTGTGTGAAGCCCAAAAGTAGAATTTATCAGGCTGTAAGTACATATTCTTTTATCTATTCATACAACAATAAGATAATTTCGTCTGTGGAATAAGTCAACAATGAATTAATGCCTGCTATGTATGTATGTGTGTGTGTAAGGTATTTCCATCACGTGATGAATGATGATATATGTGTGTTTAATTTATTATTGTATATGTGTATATACACATACACCAAATTACACTATGCACATACTATATACATACACACATATACAATAATAAACACACACATATATAGTCATTCATCACTGAATGACAGAAATACCTTATGAGACATGTGATTGGTAATTTCATCATTGCACAAATATTAAAGTTCACTTCCATGAAGTAGATGGCATAGCCTACTACATACCTAGGCTCTAGGCTATAACCTATTGATCGTAAGCTACAAAACTATAGGCAATTGTAACACAGTGGTGAGTATTTGTATATCTAAACATAGAAAAGGTATGTGTTGCACTATGAAGTTACAAAAGCTGTGATGTCACTAGGTAATAGGAATTTTTCAGCTCCACTATACTCTTGTGAGAATACCATTGTATGTGGTCTGTCATTGACGGAATTGTCATATAGCACATGATGGTGTGTGTATGTATGTGTGTGTATAATTATAACTTGCTCTTCTTTCACTCAGTTGATATATATATAACCAAATTGAAAGGTTTTTTTCCCAAAATTATTATCCTTTTATCATAAGAATATACTAATTATATTTTACATTACCATGAGATTGATAGTTTCAATACTAATCTTACAGAGTAACACAAAATAGTTATCATTCAGTACTAAAACTGAATGATTTACTTTTCTACATTATTTAGCCAGTTGTTTGAAATAGTTGAGTACACAATTTAGTTTAGCTTTTGGATGTCTGCATATTCATTAAAAATAACCAAAAGGAGCCAGTTAGTTACCCAAACAATCACATCCGCCAGGCATTTAGGTAAACTGAGGCCCTGAGGATATTAGTATAAATTCATTGAAAAAATGCAAACAAAATGAGAAAATACAGGTGGGCATGGTAGCTCACACCTGTAATCCCAGCATTTTGGGAGGCCGAGGTAGGCAGATCCCTTGAGCCCAGGAGTTGGAGACTAGCCTAGGCAACATGGCAAAACCCCGTCTCTACAGAAAAAAAAAAAAAAAAAACAAGCCCAGGACAGTGGACACCTGTAGTCCCAGCTACTCGGGAGGCTAAGGTGGGAGGATTGCTTGAACCTGGGAGGCAGAGGTTGCAGTGAGCCAAGATCATGTCACTACACGCCAGCCTGTGTGACAGAGTAAGACCCTGTCTCAAAAAAAAAAAAAACCCAGAAAAACAAAATGAGAAAATAAAAGTCACTCCTGATCCTACTCTTTAAAGAGAATCCCAAGGCTATTTTGATATCTCTTCTTTCAGTTCTCCATACACATATCCATATACACACGTGTGTGTAGATGTAATATGCGTGTATGTATATGTATACATACACAGGATTTGTAGCATACATCTTTTTCAAATGTTTGAGGTAGAAGCAACTAGCTGTTTCCAAAACCCATCTTTCCTTCTGCCTAAGCAGGCTACGAGGCCTCATGTCCCAGTCTCCCTTGCACTTCAATGTGGCCATGTCACCCACCCCACAGTGGAACAACAGAAAGTGTGCCATGTGCCCTTCTAGGCTGGCCCATCATAGGCTGCCTGAGGAGGTGAAGTTTGAGGAGAGTCTGCAGTGAAGCCAAGAGGAAGAGGCCCTCCTCCCCTCTGAGTAGCAATCCCTGCCCTCCAGGCTGCCATAGTCCCTGGAAAAGCAGTCTCGGCTGTGAGGGACTTCCCCTGTCCCTGCTGGTTGAGTGGGCTGCTGCCGCCCAGGCAGCCTTGGAAGCCACGTGTGGAAGATGGTACCTGGATCCCTGGATGAGTGTGTGGAGCGGAACCATCAGAGGCCTGGACTCCACCCTGGACTGCTGTGTGCAGAAAGGAATAGGCCTTTTGTGTTTAAGCTCCTGATGGGAGGCAGGAGGCTCTACTGATTGCCACAGTTTAACCTACCCTGATTCATTATTTCTGTTAAATATTGAGGTGGTACAAAATTAATTTATCAGAATTCATTATGAAAATACCCAGCTTAGAAAGGGTGAGGGGCATGGAATTTGTCATTAACTTTGAAATCCCTTTGTGTTTCTTGCTAACCCATCATGTTGCCTCCCCCTGGGAAACGACCACTCACCTGAAGTTTGTGTTTACCTTTCCCTTGCTTTCCCTTAGCGTGTTGCCATGCATGTCTGCACCTGTAGTCAATATGTTGCTTAGTATTGCAAGCTTTGGCCTTCAAATAAATGGAGCCAGACTGCATGAATATTTAGGAACTTTCTCCTTTCCTACAACAAGATATTCCTGAGACTCCTCTGTATTGTTGTATGGAATTAAATTGCTTTTTCATTGCCACATAGCATTCCATTGTTTGAATAAACCAAATGTATTTGTTCATTCTACTTTTGATGAACATTTGACTTGTTTCTCTTTTGTGCTGTTATGAACAGGGCTGCTGTATGCATCTTTAGTGGCTCTATGTGCATATGGCAGATGTACGGGCATTTCTGTAGGGATTATACCAACAAGTGGGATTGCTGGATGCCAGGACACAGGGTATTTTAGATAAAAAGGTCAGGGAGAGCCTTTCTGATGAGGTGATAGCTCAGGAGAGACCACAATGAAGTGAGGGAGAAAGAGTGCAGATATTTTGAGAATGCATAATCCAAGCAGAAGGAACAGTGAGCGTTAGGGCCCTATGGCAGAAAGCCCTGGCCCAGGTCAGAGTGGCTGGAGCCCAAAGAGGGACAGCAGGCGAAGTCACTTGGTGCCCGGGGCCAGATTGCCAAGGGCCTGGAGGCCATGGGGAAGACTCCGAAGTTATTTGGAAAGTGATTGAAAGTCCCTGGGGTTTCAAAGGAGAGGAACATGATAAGATTTACATTTTCTTTTTTTTTTTTTTTGAAATGGAGTCTCAGTCTGTTTCCCAGGCTGGAGTGCAGTGGCACAATCTCAGCTCACTGCAACCTCTCCCCCTGGGTTCAAGCAATTCTCCTGCCTCAGCCTCCCGAGTAGCTGGGATTACAGACGCCTGCCACCACACCTGGCTAATTTTTGTATTTTTTTTTTAGTAGAGACGGGGTTTCACCATCTTGGCCAGGCTGGTCTTGAACTCCTGACCTCGTGATCCACCTGCCTCAGCCTCCCAGAGTGCTGGGATTACAGGCGTGAGCCACCGCGCCCGGCCAAGATTTACATTTTCAAAGGGCCACTCTGGCTGTCCTGTGGAGAACAGGTGACAGGGCACACTGGGGTGGAAGTAAGGAGAGGAACCAGAAGCCTCTGGCAATAATCCAAGCAAGAGATGCAGCCAACCTAGGGTGGCAATGGTAGAGATTTTGATTATGATTAGATCAAGAATGCATATTTTAAGGTGAAGCTGCAAGGACTTGCTGATGTCGGGTGTGAGGGTAAGAACAGAGTCAAGCATGATGCATGGATCTTTGGCTTAGGCTGTGTTAGGCTTGGGATGCTCTTAGATAGCCGAGCAGAGGTGTTGAGTCAGGAGCTGGATGTGTGAGTCAAGAGTTAGCCTGAGGACAAAACTCCAGGAGTCATCAGTATTTAGATGGCACTCACAGCGAGCAGCCCTGGCGGGCAATGTGGGTGGAGAAGAGCAGTGGTCCTGGGGCTGGAGCCCTTCAGCAAGCAGAGGCCAGGAGGAGGAGGAGGACCCAGCAGGGGAGACCCAGCTGAGCAGTAGTGGAGAGGGGGCAAGCCAAGGGAATGTGGCATCCCAGATGCCAAGAAGAACATGGCTAAGGGAGTGGCTAGCTCTCAGTGTTCCTGGGGTTGGCAAAGTGCAGGCCATCAGTGCTAGGGACATGGGTGGTGTAAGGGGAGTGGTGGGAGTCGGGGAATGAGAGGAAAATGAGGAGAGTGGGCCAATCGTGTTGTTTTTAACTTTCAGACTCTTCAGACTTACACTGCCCCTTAGAGATGAATCTCAACCATCTCTCCTTAACATTGCCAAAACTGGGACTCAAAGAGGAGGCAGAAGTTGCCCAAAGTCACAAGGCAAGCTCACAGCAGGGCTGTGGCCAAAATCTGGCCCCTGACACTCCCCGCTCTTCTGACTCCCACCCCTGAGTGAATGCCTGTGGTACCCACAGCCCTGGGGGGCTGCTGTGCAGAAAACCCTACCCTCAGTCCTTCTAGGACTTGCTATCTAACACACCATAGCCATGTTGTAAATTGATAGGTATGTGAGCTATTCACACTGTATGTATGGAATTTAGACTTTCATTTAAATTCAGGGTAAATTCATTTAAAGAAATTGACTATAAAAGCTGAGGCTAAGCCTCCCACCCACCACATCTGCGCTGTCTGCAGAGTCTTTATGTTCTGCCTGCATTTCCCTTCTTTGGTCATTCTATCCTGGAGGAAAGAAACCAGATAAATGGATTCACTCCTAGAGTAATAGGAAGGGTTAATAGTAATCGTAACTGGCAGGAGCCTTTCTCCATAGGGTGAACCAGCGTAGCCTCACCTTCAGAATTCCTGCTGAGGGACCATCCTGACCCTACCTGCCTTTCTTCTATTTTAATGTATACATTTATATTCACATGCATATGTCATTTTGCATGAATGGTATCATAACATATATATCATTTGTTTCTAGAAAAAGTCTTCTTTGTTGCTTGGCTCATCCCAATCCCTCCTTCCTCTCTCTATTGATGTCATTACAACTCCCGGAAACCCATGTGAGCAAGCTAGTATGTGTTCTTCCATATTTTTCTCCAAGCTCAAATAGTGGTCTGTAGACACCTATGTACATATACATCTTTATGTATACACATATATGTATACACATATGAATACAGCCGGGGCTCTTTCTGGAGCACATAAGAATCTGGAGGTTGCAAGTGAGAAGGATTTTCAGACCACCACTTAGAGGCTTGCACCCCAGCTGGAAGGGTAGAGGAGTGAAGGGCAGGGAAGCCGCAGATAGAAACACATAACTCAAAGGTCAAGCTCTCAACCCTGGGGATGCCGGGTGGGGACGCACTGTGCTGTCACAGCCTACTGCCCCAGAGCACCGAAGCAGCTCACCTGTAGGTATTCTCCTGGGTGCAGCATGACTCACAGGCAGAGCCACTGTCACCATCTGGGCTGCTGAGGATGAGATTCCCCAGAGCTGGGCCAGAAGCTGTCTGTTTCTGCTCGCAGCTAACCTCAGTATTCGAAGACTTCTCCTGCTGCCTTCCACGCCTCGCATGAATGTTTGTCATTTGAGAACCTAGAGCTTGTCTGGAAAGCAGTTCTGGGAAGTGCCATTCCAGGCTGTTCCCAAATTACGCAGAGGAGAATGAAGGGAGGGGAAAGGTTGAGCACAGGCTCTCCAGCACCATCCACCCCTTTTGTCAAATCCTCACCCATCCATATCCTTTGGCCCATATCTAACCAGCAAGCAACAGCAGTAACATCGTGCCCTGCTAATTTTACTCTTCTTCATTCCACTGGAAATGTGCATGCATCTCACCAACAAAGGGAGGCGCAATGTCCTCCAAGTCACCAAACCCATCTTGAGTTTTGTTCATTTGCCATCTAGCTCACTCACAACCCATTTGTGATAAACTATACCTTAAAGACTGAATTAAGAGTTTAATTTCTCCTCATCAATAGGTCTTATGGCATATGACAAGGAAGCAAGAGGGCACATAGGATTTCTATACTCCACTAGATAAATCACCAAACCGGAGAGAAATAGGCAGGCCATCATGATCTTGAACACTGCACCTTGCAGACTCCAGCTGACGTGTCTGTGACCCTTTTCCACTGCATCTATTGGGCACCCCTTGTCTGCAGCAAGCACCCAGACTTTCATATCCAAAGAGCTCAGCATTAGTTGCTGCTGGTGACATGTTCCTATGTACTTTCTTCAGATTTCTACTGGCAACAATCTTGCGATTCTTTGGATGTGTATGGTATATCCTCCCAGGCTGTCTTCGTAGTTAAGAATCTGATTCCAAAACAAGCTGGGTTTTAAGGTGACGTAGGCATCCCCCTGTAACTTGTCTGCTCAGGCAAGGTCATTAGCAGGTCTTCAGACAAGGAGAAGCTTCTCTCAGTCAAGTGAGCAGAGGCTGCTTTGTTGAGCCCAGGGCGGGTCAGTTGATGTTGATGTTGGATTTCAAGGCCCTCTGGTTTGTCAAAAACCACTTAAGTGTTCTCAGGATCCCATCCAGCTCCAAAGCCCCAGTCTTGTGATCACTGCCATACTATGTTCTTAGGAGGTCTAGCAAGGCTTTCAATTAAACTTGTGTAATTCATCAGTGTGCAGTGTCAGAAAGGTCTGGCTCTTTGGATCAATGCCTCCATGGCTATAAGAGCTAAGAGGTTCCTTAAAGGAACTGGGAGCTGTGACTCCACAGCTATACCTGGAGCTGAGAATTAAAGCTTCCCTTGTGTTCCTGTTGCTCTCTAGATAAGTCATGAAGGGTCAGCCCACCCTGCTGTCTTTGTGCTCTTTCTTTTCATCAGAGTTGTCAATCTATACCAGCTGTTGATTTGCCTGCACTGACAGAGACCTCATCTCATCTCTGTGCTCTGTTTTCCTGGAACCATTTCCAGTATGAAATTCTGTATCCATCAACATTTGCTTAAGGAGACAGAAGCTGTTCTAGGTATTCCAAGTAGGAAGGGGAACTAGAGGTTTACACAACCAGTGCAACTGCATGAAATCAGAGAAGCGTTGCTAACTACGGGAGGTTCAGCAGGGTTCCCTGGAGGTCATGGACACCTCATGAGTCCCAGGGAGCATCACACAGTCCATTTTCACACTGCTGATAAAGACATATCTGAGACTGGGTAATTTATAAAGAAAAAGAAGTTTAATGGACTCACAGTTCCACATGGCTGGGGAGGCCTCACAATCATGGTGGAAGGCAAAAGTCATGTCTTACATGGTGGCAGGCAAGAGAGAGAATGAGAACCAAGCAGAAGGGGCTTCCCCTGATAAAACCACCAAATCTCATGAGACTTATTCACTACCATGAGAACAGTATGGGGGAAACCACCCCCATGATTCAATTGTCTCCCACTGGCTCCTTCCTACAACGTACGGGAATTATGGGAGCTACAATTCAAGATGAGATTTGGGTGGGGACACAGCCAAACCATATCAGCATCTCTGCCACTACCCTTCTCAGTGGCCTGGATTTACAAAGCAGGTGCTTCACAGGAGCTTCCCTGGCAGCTGCAGCAAATCTCATGTCTGCCTCTGCCATGCATCTGTGCAACTGCATCCATAGAAAAGTGGCCTGGCTTCATCTTCCACCTTGCATGAATGCCTCTTGCTAGAGACTATCACTAGACTGCACCAGAAAGAGAGTTCTGGGAAAAGTCCTGCAAGCTTCTCTCCTGCAGTGCTGCAGGGATGGAGAAAGGCAGTGGTGGTGCAGAACTGACACTGACCTTGGACAGTAAGGCACAACATGGACCAGGCAAGGACGCTGTTGCTTTATTTTGCCAAACTGGGTTGCATTGAACACACTTTCCAGCATACTGCTTTTCTCACTCAACAATCCTTCACTGAAATCCCTCAAATCATATGTACATGCAACTTCCTTCTTTTTAATGCTGATTAATACTCCAGATGTGGCTTTCAGTAATTCAGCCAGCCAAGTAGATCATGAACACTTCCTTTTCCCTCCCTTCTCCCTCCAGTTGGTCACCAAGCACTGCAGATTCTGCCCTCATTACCTCTCCAACCCTCCACTTCTTCATCCTCATCATCCCTCATTGACATTGCTGTGGTATTGATATGGTTTTGCTATGTTCCCACCCAAATCTCACCTTGAATTGTAATAATTCCCATGGGTCAAGGGCAGGGCCAGGTGGAGATAATTGAATCATGAGGGCAGTTTTCCCCATACTGTTCTTGTGGTAGTGAATAAGTCTCATGAGATCTGATGGTTATATAAATGAGAGTTCCCCTACACGAGCTCTCTTGCCTGCTGCCATGTAAGACTTGACTTTGCTCCTCATTCACCTTCCACCATGATTGTGAGGCCTCCCCAGCATGTGTAACTGTGAGCCAATTAAATCTGTTTCCTCTACAAATTACCCAGTCTCTGGTATGTCTTTATTAGCAGGATGAGAACAGACTAATAAATTGGTAGTGGTAGAATGGGGTGGTGCTGTAAAGATACCTGAGAATGTGGAAGCAACTTTGGAACTGGGTAACAGGCAGAGGTTAGAACAGTTTGGAGGGCTTAGAAGAAGACAGGAAAATGTGGGAAAGTTTGGAACTTCCTAGAGACTTGCTGAATGGCTTTGACCAAAATGCTGATAATTATATGGACCATAAAGTTCAGGCTGAGGTGGTCTCAGATAGAGATGAAGAACTTGTTGCTAACTGGAGCGAAGGTGACTCTTGCTATGTTTTAGCAGAGACTGGTAGCTTTTTGCCCGTGCACTAGAGATTTGTGGAAGTTTGAACTTGAGAGAGATGATTTAGGGCATCTGGCAGACGAAATTTCTGAGTAGCAAAGCATTCAAGAGGTGACTTGGGTGCTCTTAAAAGCATGTTGTTTTGTGTATTCACAAAGATATGGTTTGGAATAGGAGCTTATGTTGAAAAGGGAAGCAGAGCATAACAGTTTGGAAAATTTGCAGTCTGATAATGCAGTAGAAAAGAAAAACCCATTATCTGGGGGGAAACTCAAGCCAGCTGCAGAAATTTCCGTAAGTAATGAGGCATCACATTTTAATTGCCAGGACAATGGGGAAAATGTCTCCAGGCATGTCAGTGGTCTTCACAGCAGCCTCTCCCATCACAGGAGGCCTGGAGGCCTAAGAGGAAAAAATGGTTTCATGGGCCAGGCCCAGGGCCTTGCTGCTTTGTGCAGTCTCAAATCCCAGCCATGGCTAAAAAGGGCCCATGTAGAGCTCAGGCCACTGCTTCAGAGGGTGCAAGTCCCAAGCCTTGGCAGCTTCCACATGGTGTTAAGCCTGCAGGTGCACAGAAGTCAAGAAGTGAGGTTTGGGAACCTCCACCTAGATTTCAGAGGATGTATGGAAATGCATGGGTGTCCATGCAAAAGTTTACTGCAGGAGCAGAACCCTCATGGAGAACCTCTGCTAGTGCAGTGTGGAAGGGAAATGTGGGATGGGAGCCCCTACACAGAGTCCCTACTGGGGCACTGCCCAGTGGAGCTGTGAGAAGAGGGCCACCATCCTCCAGACCCCAAAATGATAGATCCACCAACAGCTTGCACTGTGCACCTGGAAAAGCTGTAGACACTCAATGCCAGCCTGTGAAAGCAACTAGGAGGAGGGCTGTACCCTGCAAAGCCACAGGGTGGAGCTGCCCAAGACCATGGGAACCCACCTCTTGCATCAGCATAACCTGGAAGTGGCATGGAGTCAAAGGAGATCATTTTGGAGCTTTAAGATTTGACTGCCCTGCTGGATTTTGAACTTGCATGGGGCCTGTAGCCCCTTCCTTTTGGCCAAGTGTTTACCCATTGCATGTACCCCCATTGTATCTCGGAAGTAACCAACTTGCTATTGATTTTACAGGCTCGTAGGTGGAAGGGACTTGCCTTGCCTCGAGACTTTGGACTGTGGAGTTTTGAGTTAATGCTAAAATGAGTTAAGACTTTGGGGGACTGTTGGGAAGGGATGATAATTTTTGAAATGTGAGGACATGAAATTTGGGAGGGGCCGGGGGTGGAATTATATGGTTTGGCTGTGTCCTCACCCAAATCTCACCTTGAATTGTAATAATCCCCATGTGTCAAGGGCAGGGTCAGGTAGAGATAGTTGAATCATGGGGACAGTTTCCCCCATACTGTTCTCATGGTAGTAAATAAGTCTCACAAGATCTGATGGTTATATAAATGTGAGTTCTCCTGCACAAGCTCTTGCCTGCCACCATGTAAGACATGACTTTACTCCTCATTCACCTTCCACCATGATTGTCAGGCCTCCCCAGCCATGTGTAACTGTGAGTCAATTAAACCTCTTTCCTTTATAAATTAGACAGCCTTTGGTATGTCTTTACTAGCAGCATGAGAACAGACTAATACAGGTGTCCACCTAGCATTCATTTTGCACCAGTATTGCGCAAATGCAAATGCAGTCTCTGCTATGCAACCAGAGTAATTTTTCTTAAATGCAAATACTTTATTTTCTAAATTAAAAATCTCATCAAGTTTCACCCCTATTGAAAATGCCTCAGTGACTCATCTTTGCCTTTGAGGTCAAATCTAAACCCCACTGTACAATTCCTGCAGGGCATCTCTCTCCTGGCATCTCATCCTCCCTGCCGCCCTGCTACCATCATCCTAACCAGACCTCTCCTCCTGCTGCCCTCCACTTCATCCACACTTAATGACCTCAGTACCTTGAATGTACTTGCCCATTCTACTTTCAGGTTTATCCAGACGCAACTTTCTGTCCAGTAACACCCCTCTCCCTGCTCACCCTGCTGGATTCTTTGCCAAGACAACTTTTACTCTTCTTTTTGATCTCAGACTAAAATGACACTTCTCCCAGGGAGCCCCTTGGATCCCAAATTATAGTGGTTCTTTCCTAGATATCCTGGTGGAATCTGTACTTCTACATAGCACATAGTTTTCACTGCCATTGTTTGTTCTCTGTATTTTTCCCTACATTATTTAGGAATGCGTTGGGCTCCAAGTAATGGAAAACACAAAACAGTGGATTGTGTGGTACAGATATGCACACGTGCACTCGCACACATAATATATATAGTGTGTATGAGTGCACATATATACTATCTAGAGAGAGTATATATGTATTGAAACTGTGGATTAGGGGAGCTATTGTATGTGTGTGCATGTGTATACATGTGCATATATACATATATACATACACACATGCACATACATACAATAGCCCCCCTTATCCACGGTTTCACTTTTAAAGGTTTCAGTTTTACCTGTGGTCAATCACGATCTGAAAATACTAAATGGAAAATTCCAGAAATCATAAGTTTTAAATCATGCACCATTCTGAGTAGCATGATGAAATCTCACTCTGATGTGAATCATCCCTTTGTCCAGTGGGTCCAGGCTGAACATGTCACCCACCCGTTCATCACTAAGTGGCCATCTCGGTTATCAGATCAGCTATTCTGGCATCACAGTGCCTGTGTTCAAGTAACCCTTCTTTTACTTAATAGTGGCCCCAAAGTACAAGAACAGTGATACTGGCAATTTGGATAAGACAAAGAGAAGCCATAGTGTGCTTCCTTTAAGTGAAAAGGTGAAAGTTCCTGACTTAAAGAAAAAGATATTTTTTATTACAGTATTTGTTACAATATACTGCACCTGCACTGTGGGCCTGCTGCTTTTTCTGCCCAATCCCCTTACAAACTTCCTGCCTCATGTTTTTTCCTCAGATTTTTCCAGGACCTGACCTTCTTCAGATACAAACCTCTTGTATGTGATATGAGTTGCAAACATTTTCCCAAATCGACAACTGTCTTTTAACATTTTGTGCATATTTGATTCTCTTTGGGGCTTTTTCATTGTTAACGAAAAGAGTCAAACTCTGAAATATTTGGAGAGACATTTGGAGCCAAATATGAGTGACCATGGCCCATGACACAGGTCTCGGAGATCCTAATAACATGTGCCCAAGGTGGTTGGGGCACAGCTTGGTTTTACACATTTTAGGGAGACATGAGACATCAGTCAAATACATTTAAGATGTACACTGGGGCCAGGCACAGTGGCCCATGGCTGTAATCCCAGTGCTTTGGGAGGCCAAGGCAGCAGATCACCTGAGGTCAGGAGTTTGAGACCAGCCTGACCAACATGGGGAAACCCCACCTCTACTAAAAATACAAAAAGTAGCTGGGCGTAGTGGCAGGCGCCTGTAGTCCCAGCTACTTGGGAGGCTGAAGCAGGAGAATTGCTTGAACCTGGGAGGCAGAGATTGCAGTGAGCTGAAATTGCACCACGGCACTCCAGCCTGGGTGACAAAGTGAGACTCTGTCTCAAAAAAAAAAAAAGGACATTGGTTTGGTCTGGAAATGTGAAACAGTGCAAAGTGGGGGCTTCCAGATTATAGGTAGATTTAAAATTTTTCTAATTGGCAGTTGGTTGAAAGAGTTATTAATAGAAAGGAATGTCTGGTTTGTGATAAAGAGGTTGTTGAGACCAAAGTTTTATTATGCAGATGAAGCCTTCAGGTAGCAGGCTTCAGAGAGAATAGATTTTAAATGTTTCTTATCAGACTTAAGTCCAATTAGATGTTAAATGCTGGATGTTAAATGTGGATGTTAAATGCTGGTCAGCTTTTAAATGCTGGATATTAAATGTGGATATTTAAATGTTAAATGCTGGATGTTAAATGCTGGTCAGCTTTTCCTGCATTCCAAAAAAGAGGAGGGCATAATGAGGCCTGTCTGACTCCTACTTCCCACCTTGGCCTGAACCAGTCTTTCAGGTTAAATTTTAGGGTACCCTGGCCAAGGAGGGAGCCTATTTAGATGGTTGTCGGGGGGCCTTCAAATTTTATTTTTGGTTTACACTATTATGTTCCATTGTTGAGTCTGATCAGAGACTAGTCATTGAGGCAGTAGAGTTCATGCCAGTGTCTCAGAGTGCTCCTTCCTTCTCTTTGTACTTACTTTTCAGAGTTTCTCTGGTTATTCTTGCTTATTTTTTGATGTGAATTTAAAATCAGCTTGTCCGATTCCAAGGAAGGAAAACAAAACCTGCTTCTGTGTTGTTTTTTTTTTTTTTTACTGGAATCAAATCAAATGTATAAGTTAGAGGAATAAATTACAACATTAAGTCTCCTAAACTAGGAACATAGTATTGTTGATGGAAAAACCAAATTCTGTAAAATATATATATATTTTTTGAGACGGAGTCTTGCTCTGTCGCCCTTCTGAGCCAGTACGAATGACCATGACCCAGGGAACAGTCTTAAGAGATCCTGAGAACAAGCGCCCAAGGTGATCAGGTTACAGTTTTGTTTTATACATTTTAGGGAGACAGAAGTTACAAGCAAAGACATGGATCAATACATGTAAGGTATACATTGGTTCAGCTTAAAAAGGTGGGACGTCTCAAAGATGCTTAGAAAGGCAAGGAGTGGGGATGGTCACAGGTCATAGGTGGATTCAGAGAGATTTTCTAATTGGCAATTTGTTGA
The DNA here is from genome assembly GCF_000001405.40 of Homo sapiens. Classification (NCBI taxonomy): domain Eukaryota; kingdom Metazoa; phylum Chordata; class Mammalia; order Primates; family Hominidae; genus Homo; species Homo sapiens. The sequence goes on along the minus strand of NC_000015.10, from coordinate 31,577,405 downwards.
AAGAGTTCAGCTTTGCCTAAAGATTTGAAGTCAGTAGAAAGAAATGCTTGAGTTAAGATAAGGGGATTGTGGAAGCCGAGGCTCTTGTTTTGTAGAGGAAGTCTCCAGCTAGCAGCCTTCAGAGAGAATACATCGCAAATGTTTCAGACCTTACAACGTGTCAGACTCTTAGTTAATCTTTCCTGAATCCAGGAAAGTGCTAGCTGCGTTAATGGAGAGTCTCTACAGATGCAAATTTCCCCCACAAAGATAGCTTTGCAGAGCCATTTAAAAATATTTCAAAGAAATATATTTTGGAGTAAAATATATTTGATTTCCTTTAGAGTCTGCTATCTGTCATGTGATGCTTACCAGAGTCAGGTTGGAATTTGGTATCTCATTGCTACACAGTCTGTTTGGTGATCTCTATTTTATGATCTCTATTTTAATGTTAATGCTGGTCTGTTGTGTCTAAACTCCAAAAGAAAGGCGGTATTACAAGGTGTGTCTGACCTCCCTTCCAGCCATGTCCAGGAATTCAGTTTTTCAGGCATCTCTGAGGTCCTCTTGGCCCAGAGAGGGTTCATTTGGTTAGTTGGTGGGGATTAGGATTTTATTTTCAGTTTACGATATACACAGTTTAACTTTTATGCCCTTCAGGAATATTCTAAGTTTTCCACATTTATGTTGTTGTTGACAAAAAGATTCAAGCTCTGTAAGACATTTGAAGATATTTATTCTGAGCCAAATATGAGTGACCAATGGTCCATGACATAGCCCTCAGGAGATCCTGAGTGCATGTACCCAAGGTGGTCAGGGCACAGTGGGGTTTTATACACTTTAGGGAGACATGAGACATCAATCAATATGTGTAAGACGTACATTTGTTTTGTCTGGGAAGGTGGGACAACTTGACCTGGGGGCTTCCAGGTCATAGGTAGATAAGAGATAAAAGTTTGCATTCTTTTATGTCTTTGATCAGCCTTTCACTGAATACACAATTTACATGTGAGAGGCAGGTAGAGGAATAATCACTTATGCCTTAGTCTGACTCAGTAAATCTGAATTTTTACATAAACAATAGGGCAGAGGAAGCAACCAGATATGCATTTGTCTCAGGTGAGCAGAGAGATGACTTAGAGTTCTGTCTGTCCTTTGTCCCACACCTGTGGGATAAGCTATCAATTTACATTGCCAGGGTAAAATGCCACAGAACTGTTTTAGGGCTCTGAGTCCCTAAAGAAAGATCTTGAGGCCCATAAGGAATTTCCTGGTGAGCAAATTGTGAGGGAGGTATGTAGTGTTTTTTATCTTTTTAGCTATCTTATTTAGGAATAAAATGGGAGGCAGGTTTGCCTGACACCCTTTGGCTTAGTGATTTTGGGGTCTTGAGATTTATTTTTCTTTCACATTGTGTACATTTCTTTTAAATATATCCCTCAGTACTTTATCATTTTAGTTGCAATTGTGTATGGAATATTCTTCCATTATGTCTTCTAACATGTTTTTCTTCACAGATTAAGGCTATTTATTTATGTGTGTTCATTTCACATCCCGTGTATTCAGCACTAATGCCCTTCACGGACTATGTCCAGCTCTCTGCCTCCCGCTTGTGGGCACATGGGAGGATGTAGTTCCTGGGCCCCGTGTTTGGAGGGAGCCTGTGGCTAGTTCTTGCCATGGATTGTAACAGAGGTGAGATATCACCTCTGGACCAGAGTATTTGATTTTTGATGGGAGATGCTCCTGGCTTTTTATCCTTCTTCCACAGTCATAGGCTTATAGTGGCTGCTCTATAAGCCTGAATCCTGGAATGACAAGCTATGTCACAGAGTTCAGTCAACCCATGGTGGATGTGTGGAACAAGCAAAAAGTAAACCTGTGTTGTTATGACCTCTAGGATTTGGAGGCTGTTTGTTACCATGTTATAGTCACTCCTGCTGTTTATGGTACGCTCTAGGTAATTGTGGTGTCAGTGTAGTGTGTTTCATGGTAGTTTCCACTTTATAAAGTTTCTGCCTTTTAATTTCCTATGCAGATATTCATACCTCTTATATCTTCTGTTTTCATATGTACTTTGGATTTGTTTTAATCAGGTATGCAGATATGGAAATTATTGTTATAAAGGAAGAAGTTTGTTACTCACAATTCCCTGGAAGCAGGGTGTACAACATACCACACAGGGCTACATGGGGAAGCCCTGTTTCTGTATTTCTGTTTTAGGTTGGCTACTTGACTTATTTTTCATTTTTATCATTCCTACTGTGCTATCTGTAGTCTGTTTTCTCTTTTCTCCCTTATAATTTAACTTCATTTCTAAAACAGTTTGACTCCTTTTCCCCCCTGAGTTTAATCAGTTTCTGTTTCACAGTCAGGAGGCAGAGTGAGTAGGAGGAAAACCAGAGCAAGAGCCTTTGTTGCAGTTTCCATGGGAAGGATTGGGCAGGGCACGGCAAGCAGGCTAAGCTGGTTGAGGGTTGGCTAGTCTGAGTAATTCCAGCAGGCCCAAAGTGGAGGGGCTGTCCTGAGTTATCTGGTACCTGGCCCTGGGCTGATTAGAGGAGGGGAATATTGGCCTGCAGTGTAGGAAAGGCTGTGGTTGAGGGGTCTGGGCTTTGGATTAATGGGTTTATATATGAAAGGCAGGCTTGCAGAAAAGTAGTTTGTCATCTCTAGGAATTTGCTAGCCCAAGGAGATGCAGCTTCTCCCAGGTCACAAAGGCCCCAAGATGTCAAAGCGTCATAAAATACAAAGAATAAAAAACATGATTAATATACTTCATTGCCAATTGAACAGTTTTGCCTTATAAAGTGGTTTTCCTCATATTACTTAATGCTTTTTGGCCTGAATTCTACCTTGTTTGATACAAGATCATAATCTCAGTTTTGTTGTTACTGTTGTTTTGTCTTTGTCTTGTGTACCTGATAAACTATTATCTATCTGTTTTAGTTGTGACCTTTATAAATCACTTTGCTCTAGGTGTGTCTCTTATATACAGCAAATGATTCATCTTTCTTTTTAGAGATAATGTAAAAATCCTTTTCTTTAAATAGTTGCATTAAGCCTACTTAAATTTATTGCTCTCACAGATACGGTTGGTTTTAGTTCTGTCATAGTTTCTATTTTTCTGTGTAAATATTTTAAATGTCTTTCACTATGTTATCTTAGCTTTTTATTTTAGAATATTTTTTCTGATATTTTAAAAAACTATGTTAATGGTTACTTTTTTAACCACTAGTATAACAATACAATTATGTTTATAACTAGTGGTTATATAAGTTTGCCTTTATGTAATATCCTATATCCCTTTTTCTTTAGACAATATCAGTTTATTCCCTATATGCCTCAATAAAACAAGCTTCTATCTTCTTCCTTCATTCTCCCCTCTCTCTTCTACCATCTAATTTAACCAATAGTATATCTTTTGTCTGTTCTTATTGTTTGCCCTTCTACTATTAAATATGCTTACATATACATATTTGACCTGTCAACTGTAGTTTTGTTTTTTTTGTTGTTGTTATGTTTGAGACGGAGTCTTGCTCTGTCGCCCAGGCTGGCATGCAGTGGTGCAATCTCAGCTCACTGCAACCTCCACCTCCCAGGTTCAAGCAATGCTTGTACCTCAGCCTTCTGAGCAGCTGGGACTACAGGCGTGTCCCACCATGTCCAGGTAATTTTTGTATTTTTGGTAGAGACAGGGTTTCGCCATGTTGGCCAGGCTAGTCTCAAACTCCTGACCTCAAGTGATCTGCCTACTTTGGCCTCCCAAAGTACTGGGATTACAGGTGTGAAACACTGCACCTGGCCTGATCTGTCAACTGTAAACATTATCTTTGCAGTCTCATGTATAACAGCTGAGGCATTGCAAATTTATTCTGCTTTCTAAATTCTACCATTTTTGTTGATTGTGTCATTTTCATTTTGACAGAATATTGATATTCTTCTTCATCACTTGTATCTCTACCTTTGCTTTTCCTTAGATGTGCAGTTAAATAAACTTACTGCTGCCTGACTGCTCCTTTGCCAGACTCTTATTCATCTCTTGATTGGCTGGAGTTCATCCTCTATTAATTTTCTCAAAAAGTGTCCATTTGAGAAATGTTTTCTGAACGATTCATGTTTAAAATGGTTTGTCTACAGCCTTTATACAGAAAAGAGTAGACTGGATGGGCATAAAGCTTTCTTAGCTCATATTGCTTTCTTTCCTTCAGTATCTTGTAGATGTGGCCCTATTGTCTTTTGGCATTGACTGTTGCTGCCAAGAAGTATGTTGCTAACCTGATTTTCTTTCTTTTTTGCTTACATATTTAAAAAATTCTCTTTATCTTTAAAAGAGGATAATTTTAAAATATGTTGGTATTGGCTATACTAGAACAGTTTCCTTATATACAGTGTGCCCTTTAAATGTGTAAAATCAAATATTTCAAAAAGTTTGCTTTTTTAATTAAAGTCTTTAAATTCTTTTTTTTTCCTTTCCATTATTTCAGGTTTTTTATTTGGGGCTCAAATTATGAGTATGTTGGATTTTTTTACCTATACTCGGTATCTAACATTTTTCTTTAACCCTGTGTTTCTTTATTTCTGTTTTGTCTACTTTACTTTTCATTTTTATCATTCTTACTATGCTATCTGCAGTCTGTTTTCTCTTTTCTCCCTTATAATTTAACTTCATTCCTAAAACAGTTTGACTCCTTTTTCCCCTGAGTTTAGTCAGTTTCTGTTTCACCTCCTCCTGTGAGTTCATGTATATCTGATTTATAGTTTTTCTTCAGAGCTGTGATACTTTTGTACTAAATTAAAGCAGCTCATCCCTCTCTGAGTGCCAAAATACATATGTTAAGTTTAACTTGAAATCCACTGCCTCTTAAGACAATGAAAAAAAATCAAATGATTTAGGAGTTTAAGGCATAAACATTTTCAGCAGTAAACTGTACTAGAGGTTGTAGTTCTTACCATGAAATCTGTGTCTACTAGTAATCCAATAACTTGCTTTTTGGTGATAATCAGAAATTGAGGCATCCTGGAAGAAAAACTTCACAGGAAGCTTCCTCAGTCTTTGAATTATTTTGGTTAAGGTCTTCTTCCATACAGCTATACTGTCTTGCTGCTTGGAGGAACTATTCCTGGAAGAAGAAACAGAGTAAGCAAATACAGAAAGATAGGACAACAGGAATACAGTTTGAAGATCTGCAGGAGAAAATGAATATTTTCAGCTGTGTGTATTGCTATCCAAAATAAATTAGAATTCTGAACATATAGAATTAGATAAGGAGACTAGAAATTGGATAGTCAGCTAATATCTCCCATAGTCAAATATTTGGCTTTAAAACTTAGGATGTAAGTTGTAACTAGAATTAAGCTTATTCTCATAGAGATGGAATTAATCTTCAAAGGAGGGTATAAATTAAGAGAAAAGAAGAGCAAGAAGAAAAATTAGGGGAATCCATGTGTTTTAAGGGCAGGAAGAGGCAAAGGAAACAGTGAAGGGACCATAGAGTGTCCCAGGGTGCAGAAGAGGAAGTGTGAAAATATCCATGTTAGAATTAGGCTTCTACTGCCCTCCCATGGACTTTATGGCCTCAGTGTGTTTGGGAGATGGCATTAGTAACAGTTGAATGAGAAACTCACGGAGTATAGATAAGTCCGTGTATTTGAATCTCAGCTCCGTTGCTTACTAGCTGGCTTTTAACTCTGAGTGCTGGAAGTTAAACATAAAACAGAAACCTATAATTAATGAGAATAATGGTAACTACCATGTATTAGTGCTTTCCATAAAGGAAGAACTTTACAAACACTATCTCCTTTTCTCATTTAACCCTCATAAGAATTCTCATTAGATGGATTGTGTTATCCTAATTGTACAGGAAGGAATGCAAGGCCTTGGGTGATGAAATGATATATTCACCATCAGAGAATTAGTTAGAAGGTGGAACCAGGGCTCAAAACCAGGCCCTAGAACCTGTGTTCTTGACTGTTCTTCTGGGTTGCATTCCTTCATCAGGGACATGTAGCCTGTGGCTGCCCCAGTCTTCCAGCCTCAGGTTTCACCATGGGCCTCTGCGCCTTTCCTTCTCATCCTTACTTGATGTGACATCTGTTGGGGTTCCCAGTAACTTAAAATGGAAAAGATGAGAAGAGAGCTTATTTTTATTTGCTCCTTAAAATTAAGGCTAAGTTTTTAATTCTTTGATTTCTTTTTAAAATTTTTTAATTTTTAATTGTTATGGATACATAATAGTTGTATGTATTGATATATACATACATCAATATGTATATTGATGGGGCAGATGTGATATTTTGATACCAGCCTACAATGTATAATGATCAAATCTGGCTAATTGGGATATCCATCACCTCAAACATGCATCATTTCTTTTGTGTTGGGAACATTCCAAATCTACATTTCTAGTTATTTTGAAATATACATTAAGTTATTGTTAACTATAGTTGCCCAATCGTGCTATAGGATGATGCCTAACTGAATCGGGTGTAGTGTGTGATACTCCTTCCTGCCGTTACAAGCCCACTGACTCTCAGAGTCGGGAATCAGAGTGCCCACGCTGCCTCCAACTCCCCAGTGTAGCTGTGCCTAGTGCTGCGAAGTGCCAGTCCAGCACCCCGTGTCGGGGTGGGAGCCCTGCTGAGTGCGTACCCACGCTGGGCACACCTGCCCAGCCTGGCATCACACCTGGTGCAGGGCCTGAGCTCAGAAGCCTATCTCCCACCAAAGCTCACTAACAAGAGAATCCCTCCCAAGCTTCTGCTTCGCTCATATTAAGCTTAAAATAAAAAGTAAAACTCTGAGCAAAAGCCCAAAGAAACTTTGAGAATTATTTCAATTCATTTTTCTTTAATTGATGCTTTGTTCCCCTCAGAGAGTAAGCTCTACAACTTGATTTTCAAAGGGGGATGTGATGATCAGGGATGCAGTGTTTAGATGTGTGTGTGTGTGTGTGTGTGTGTGTGTGTGTGTGTGTGTGTGTATGAACCTAAAGGCTCTGAGACTGTATATAGTCACATATTTTAGATGGACGTCACTTATGGGTGTGAAATTCTGCTTTTAGAGTCATGCAGAGGGCCATTTTTCCCCTTTGAAAAACAAGAACTACTGGTAAAAATTCATTAGTTTATGTCCTAATGGGAAACCCTTCTTGTCACAGTTCTTCTCTATGATGAGACCGTTATTCATGCGTTCGTATTGTCACCTCTTGTCATTTCTTGTCCACAGGCAAAAACTGGGACCTGACAGCCGCTCTGAGCGACTATGAGCAGCTCCGCCAGGTGCACACAGCCAATCTGCCACATGTGTTCAATGAAGGGCGGGGTCCCAAGCAGCCAGAGCGAGAGCCACAGCCCGGGCACAAGGTGGAGCGACCCTGCCTGCAGAGGCAGGACGACATTGCCCAAGGTACCGCTGAGGGACTGAGCCTAGGCACAGCCGCCCAGGCCAGTGCACCGCAGCTTGCAGGCGGGTTGCGTGGTACAAAGAATGGTGGGGTCATCACCTCCCGGATGCAGACATATTGGCCTCTCAGTGCCTTCTTTCTCACACTATGCCGAAATGTCCTTTGTTGCTTCTATCCATGGTTCCAACCTCTACCTCAGAAAAGCAGAAAAATGAGTCTGATTTCCTAGGACCCCAAAAGCCCAATAAGTGAGTAAAAGCCAGCATTCCTCCTGGAGTCTTGGTTTTTTCAGACCAAACATCTCTAGTTCTTTCACATATTTCCAAAGTAACACAGTCTCCAAGTCTGTTCAGCATCACATTTCTTGTCCCATGCGCTCCATCTTCTCTATCCTTTTTCTTCATTATGAAAGTAAGATATGCTTATTATAACAAAGGAAACAATACAGAGATATATGAGGAAAACTTAAGAGCATTCGCCTCCACACCTCCCAGATCTCACCAGTGTAATGACGGCTGATAACATTCTGGTGGTCTCCTCCTGCTCCTCTTGCTATATTGTTCAAAATCAAACACATCAGAGTCAAATGCACAGCACACTGCAAAGTGCTTGTTTCACTGAGCAGGAGATGATGAACATAATCTCTCAATAGCTACATTTTATTCTATAATGTGTTAATTTTTAGATCACTGCTGTATTCATGGTGATTCTGTTTTTGCTTGGGTTTTTGTCGTTGTTATTATTTGTTAATTGCCACTGAAAGCAATGCTGAAAGAAACATCTTTATACCTCTAATCTTACATACTGGTGCTTTTGTTTCTATGGGTTTGCATTCCCAGAATGGATTTGCTGTGCCAACACATGTGTGTTTCTAGCTTAATAATTTTAGGGCTTCTTTCCTAATATATTGCTACTCACCATGTGTGAAACCGGGTGTTTCCCTTCAATCTTGCCAGCACTGGAAATTACAATGTATGGTGTGCTGGGCCATTCTTTCACTGCTGTAAAGAAATACCTAAGGTTGGGTAATTTATTTTAAAAAGAGGATTTCTTGGCTCGTGGTTCTGCAGGCTTTACAGGAAGTATGGTGCTGGCATCTGCTCAGCTTCTGGGGAGGCCTCAGGAAGCTTACAATCATGCAGAAGGCAAAGGGGGAACAGGCACTTCACATGGCCAGGGTAGGAGCAGGAGAGAGTGAGTTGGAAGGCAGAGGTGCTGCATACTTTTAAATGATCAGATCTCATGTGAACTCAGAATGAGAGCTCACTTATCACCAAGGGGTTGGCCCGAGCCATTCATGAGGGATCTGCCCCCGTGATCCAAACACCTCCCACTAGGCCTTACCTCCAAGATGGCGGATTGCATTTCAATATGAGATTTGGGTGGTGACAAATATCCAAACTATATCAATCCACTCCTGGGCCCTCCCAAATCTCATGTCCTTCTCATTGCAAAATACAATCATGCCTTCCCAACAGTCCCTCAAAGTCTTGACTTGTTCCAGCATTAACTCAAAAGTCCAAACTCTTGTCTGAGTCAAGGCAAGTCCCTTCCACCTGTGAGCCTGTAAAATCAAAAACAAGTTATTCACTCCCAAGATACAATCGGGTAAACATTCCCATTCCAAAAGGGAGACATTGGCCAAAAGAAAGGGGCTCCAGGCCTCACACAAGTTCAAAACCCAGCAGGACAATCATTAAACCTTAAAGTTCCAAAATAATCTCCTTTGACTCCATGTCTCACATCCAGGGCACACCAGTGCAAGAGGTGGACTCCCAAGACCTTGGGCAGCTCTGCCCCTGTGGCTTTCCAGAGTTCAGCCCCCATGGCTGCTCTCTGCTTTCAGCTTTTCCAGGTGCAGGGTGCAAGCCACTGGTAGATCTACCATTCTGGAGTCTGGAAGGTGGTGGCCCCCTTCTCACGGCTTTACTAGGCAGTGCCCCCATGAGGACTCTGTGTGGGGCCTCCAACCTCACATTTCCCCTTGGCACTGCCCTAGTAGACGTTGTGTGTGAGGGCTATGCCCCTGCTGCAGGCTTCTGCCTGGACACCCAGGCTTTTCCATACATCCTCTGAAATCTAGGCAGAGGTTGCCAAACCTCATTCACTCTTGCATTCTACATGTCTACAGGTTTAACACCATGTGAAAGTCACCAAGGCTTATGGCTTGCACCCTCTGAAGCAGCAGCCTGAACTGTATCTGGGACCTTTTGAGCCAAGGCTGGAGCTGGAGCAGCCAGGATGTGGGGAGCAGTGTCCCAAGGCTACACAAGGTAGCGGGGCCCTGGGCCTGGCCCATGAAACCATTCTTTCCAACTAGGCCTGTAGGCCTTTGATGGGAGGGGCTGCTGTGAAGGTCTCTGAAATGCCTTCAAGGCTTTTTCTCCATTGTCTTAGGTAATAGCACTCATTTAGCTTCCTTTTCGTCATGCAAATATCTCTAGCAAGTAGTTGCTCCTCAGGCTGCTTGAATTCTTCTGAAAAAGCTTTTTCTTTCTTTGCCACATGGCTAGGCTGCAAATTTTTCAAACTTTTACATTCTGCTTCCCTTTTACATTCTGCTTCCCTTAAATATAAGTTCCAACTCCTATCTTTGCTGCAGCATCTGAATGCAGACTGTTAGAAGCAGCCATGCCACCTCTTGAATACTTTGCTGCTTATAAATTTCTTCTACCACATACCCTAAATCATCAAGTTCAGACTTCCACAGATCCCTAGGGTATGAACAGAATGCAGCTGAGCTCTTTGCTAAGGCAAAACACGTGACCATTTGCTCCAGTCCCCAATAATTTCTTCATATCCATCTAAGACCTCCTCAGCCTTGACTCTGTTGTCCATTTCATTATCCGTATTTTGGTCATAACCATTTAACCAGTCCCTAAGAAGTTCCAAACTTTCCCTCACTTGCTGTCTTCTTCTGAATCCTCCAGACTTCCAACTTCTGCCCATTACCCAGTTCCAAAGTTGCTTTCACATTTTCAGGTACCCCCTTGGTACTGATTTTCTGTGTTAGCCCTTTCTTGCATTGCTATGAAGAAATATCTGAGGCTGGGTAATTTATAAAGAAAAGAGGTTTACTTGGCTCATGGTTCTGCAGGCTTTATAGGAAGCATGGTGCCGGCATCTGCTCAGCTTCTGGGGAGGCCTCAGGAAGCTTAAAATCATGGCAGGCCTCAGGAAGCTTAAAATCCCAAAGAGGGAACAGGCACTTTACATGGCCAGAGCTGGAGCAAGAGAGAGAGAGTGGTGGGTGGGAGGTGCCACACACTTTTAAATGACCAGATTGCGTGTGAACTGAGCAAGAGCTCACTTATCACCAAGGGGATAGTCCAAGACATTCATGAGGGATCTGCTTCTAATCCACACACCTCCCACCAGACCCCCCCTCCAAGATTGGGGATCACATTTCAACTTGAGATTTGGAGACAAATATTCAAACTACATCAAATGTGTTTATGTTGTTTTTCTACTCTGAAGAGTGGAAAATGGTGTCTTGTCTCATCTTGTCATTTGCTTCTTAGGCCATTGGATTTCCCCTTTGTAACGTGGCTGTTCGCATACTTTGTCCATTTTTCTATTGATTGGTTTGTCTTTTCTTATCAATTTGTTGCTCTCTTTGTAATAAAGACTAAAACATATATTTCCTCTATATGTATATGTGTTTTTCCCACATATCACTTGCCTTATGACTTTCTTTTCAGAATATTTTCCCATACACAATGTTTACATTATCTTGTTCTCATGGCTGATGAGCTTTCTCTCTCACTTTGGAAGGTTTCTTGGACTACAGAATTACTGAAATATATTCTTTTTTTTTTTTTTTTCTTTTGAGATGGAGTCTCACTCTGTCGCCCAGGCTGGAGTGCAGTGGCGCAATCTCGGCTCACTGCAAGCTCTGCCTCATGGGTTCACACCATTCTCCTGCTTCAGCCTCCCGAGTAACTGGGACACAGGCACCCGCCACCACGCCTAGCTAATTTTTTGTATTTTTAGTAGAGACAAGGTTTCACCGTGTTAGCCAGGATGGTCTCGATCTCCTGACCTTGTGATCCACCTACCTCGGCCTCCCAAAGTGCTGGGATTACAGGCGTGAGCCACCGTGCCCGGCCTGAAATATATTCTTATATTTAATTTAAATTTTGTTCTTTGAGTCTTTTCATCAATTTGAAATTTTTGTAAATAGCAAAGAATCTGGTTTTGCTTTCTCCTGGATTGAGAGAGAGTTATTCAAGTACATTTTCCCACTGAACTAAATGCCAGCTTTGCCTTATATTAAATTCTCAACATACCTGGACCTATTTCCATACCTTGTTCTGCCCACCCCTGTGGCTGCCCCCCTGTTACACTTGACTCAGTGGTTTCACAGGGTCTCACCCTCACCTTCTATTGCTATGCTTTTCCTTTTTTTGTGTGTGCTGTTTTTGAATATTTATTTTGCCATCTAAACCTTAAAATTATAATTCTGAGTGGAATTGGAATGGATTTTTATTTAATTTTAAAAATAATTTGCATTTATAATATTGTTCTTCTATCCAAGAACATTATGTATGCCTCTCCACATATTCAGATTCTGTTCAGATTTTAAGCATGGAAAAAAGAAACTCATTTTTTACTTATTTATCTTTTATCCAGTGAACTACATAAATTCTCTTATTAGTCATTTGCTTAATGACTAAGAGAATCACTTGGATATCTAAGTATACAATAGTATCATCTGAAATAATTGTAAGTTCTTCTTCATATTTATACAATTAATTCAGTTTTTTATTTTATTGAATTAGGTAGACTCTCCTGAACTGTTGCAAATGAATGCTGTCTTTGTTTCTATTAGCTCAGCCTATTATTCAAGCTATATTGAATCTATATCTTGGATTATTCTCAACTGTTTATTCTGTTGTTTAGAAAAGCCATAATTGAGTTAGAAATTTTAATACATATTATCTGTGTCTTCTCTGAGTTTCATCCTTTCTGCTGTATTTGTTTTGATGCTATCTTGTTAGGTATATGTATATTCATAATTTTTTAGATTATCTTCCTCGTGTGTTTTTTGACCAATATATAGGCTGTCTCTTTGTCAAGCCATTTGATATAATGGTTTTTATCTTGAAATCTGCTTTTGTTGATATTAAACAGCTACCCTGGCTTTCTGTTGGTTCATATTTGCCAGAAATATCATTTTTTCTGCTGATATAATTTCAACTTTTCCATATCCTTTCATGTTAAATGTGATTCTTGTAGACAATTTATTATTAGGTTTCATTTTATTATCCAATCCAAGAATCTCTGTCTTTTGAGTGGTTAATTCAATCCATTCTTCTGTCCTATCTTCTCTATCTAGTTAAATTTTTCTACTGGTTTGCAAGTTACACATTCTACTTTTACTCACATTGCAATTACTGCTATTCTATTAAAATCATTATTTTGGTTTTCTTCCTATTATTTTTAAAAACTTAACAACTATATTTTCCCCTGCAAAATACATGTATTAATATGATTTTATGTTGTTCTGTCCTGCCTCTACTTGCTCTCAATCTTATTTAGATACTTTTTGTTGCCTTTGCTTATTTAGATAACAATTAACTCCTTTATTTATTCACATGTATTCTTTTCTCTTTTGCTAAAAAAAAAAAAACCTTCCTCAAAGACTACTTCCAAAAACAGTTTTTGCATGGTGAATCTCCTAAGGCCTTGAGTGCCTAAAAAGATTTACATGGTATACTTAAATTTTCATTTAGTAGATTAAAAACTCTAGATTGAAATTATTTTCTTTGAACACCTTCCAACCCTTCCTCCATCATGTTCTTGCACCTTGTTCTCATGTCTTCTAAGAGATTCACTTGACCTGATGTTTTCACATCCCTATTTATTCTGCACATGAATGCATTATTAGTCCCATTAACATTTTTTTTAATCCCAAGTTAATTCTTTGTCTTTATTATTGTTATTATTATTTTGCATTCTGATATTCTATTTATCTCTTTGCATGTATTTACTAGGCTCATTTTTTAATCTAGTCCTCCTGGCCAGTACTTTGTTGCCTTTCTTTAACAGTTTCCCTGAAGCTCCTGGGGCACGCAGTTATCATCCATCTTCACTGTGCTGGAGCACAGGCTCTGGTGGATGCTCCTCCAGATGAGAGTCGGGGAAGGGTACTCAAGCTGGAGAGCCTTAGATGTTGTCATTTGGGCTCTAGAAGTTCCCTGCCTGTTCCCCTCTGCATAGCTGGATTGTCTACTGAGGGCTGCTCCCAGCTCCTCTCTTCTAGAAAGTCCTTGTTTCCTGTAGGGACTGCCCTGCTCTGGTGTAACCGCCAAGCTCCCCAGTGTGTTAGGGAAAGGAGGGAAGCAGTGCTTATGGTGACTGGTGCCCCACCCAGCTGTGCTCCAGCACCACCTGACATTCTCCAGCTGGCACAGGGCTGGGGCTAGGGGATGATAGGGAAGGCAGGCCATGCTGGAGCCATGCTGGGGAGAGGAAAGGCAGGACCAAGACGCCCTACCCCAGGCCCTCTCTGTCGGCCTCACCCATTCCCACCTCCTGCCCCTGAGGATTTCTAGGTGTGTGTGAGGACAGGACACTGAGGCTATGCACTGTCTTGCCCCTCTTGCTGATTATTCTTAAATTCGGTTTCATTTCTGCCATTAGACCTGACTCCAGAGGAACCACCCCTTCCAGTCCTTGGCTCGGTCTTGTGCTCAGGGCCTTCCTTGACTACACCACACGGTTAAGGCTGCTGGTATCTTTCAGGCAGCAGCAATCCAGACAGATGGCCACATGGCAGTCCTGCTCTTTTGAGCTGGCAGCAAACAAACCAACCCATTATCTTATCCTCCTGGTACAGGGGCTAGAAGGACCCTTCTCTCTGCTACCAGAGAGATTGGCAGAATCAGGGCCTAGTAAGTGTAGCTGTTACATACTGTGATCTGACTTTTCTTAGATATCATTTAAGAAAAAAAAAATAGGACTCTATCCCAGCATAATCCTATTAATTGAGCCTTGCGAGCAATCATATCGATTCCTATTGAATTACAGAGTTTCTGAATTAAATTTATGTCTCCTTTAGTTGAGTTCTTCCTGAAACCATAGTGTGCCAAAATGGAAAATGGAACATTTCATATTCTAAATCAGGGCCCAGAAAAAGACCTGTGAGCCCAATCTGGGCTGTTTTTTAAGTAAAGTTTTATTGGAACACCCCCACGCTCACTCATGTATGTACTGTCTTCGACGGCTTTAGTGCTGCAAAGACAGAGGTGAGTAGTTGAGACTGCATGGCCCACAAAGCCTAAAATATTTCTGTCTCACCCTTTAGGAAAAGTTTTGTCCACCTGTTTTAAAATATACCCAGGATCGGTTTTAATCAGGTGTCATAAGACACGCAGACACAGAAATGACTGTCATGAAGGTGGAAGTTGTTTTTTTTTTTTAACTCACAGTTCCTTGGAAACAGGAGGCCCAGCACAGCATGCAGGGCCACACGGGGAGGCGCCGGTCATCTGGAGATAGGAGTGAGGGGAAGCATGGGCCAAAGCCTTTGAGGTGGTTTCTATGGGAAGGCAGGGCAGGGGGAGCAGCCCCCTACCCCAGCTAGTGTGCATAACGGCAGCCAGCTCAGAGGCACCAGGTACCAGGTACCAGGGCCTGTCTCCGGCTGCCTGGTCCCTGGCCTGAAGTGCTTAGGGCAAAGGAACGTTGCCTCCTGGAGAGTAAGAGCCAGCTGGAGAGGGTAGTCAGGAGTGTAGATTCTGGATTGGCTGCTCCGCATAGGAGAGGTGTGCTGCGGGGCAAGGCCTTTGCCATCTCTTAACATTGGCTCACCTGGGAGGGGCAGCCTCTCCCCAGTCAGGGAGGTCCCAGGTGCCAGAGCCACAAAAACAAAGAAAATAAGAAAACGCAGGGCCAGATGCAGTGACTCATTCCTGTAATCCTCGCTGAGCCCAAGTGTTCAAGACCAGACAGGGCAACATGGCAAGACCCCATCTCTGTAAAAATTAAAAATAAAAGGAAAATAAATGAAAAAAGAATATATAGTTAATACATCTCCCCTTTGTCAGTGGCAGGGAAATTCTGTACATTCTTGTACTATGTTTTGTTTTGTTTTCTAATCTTTCTGTATTTTTCTGAGACATAACTTTGATCATGGTAATTCCTGTAAAACATTTTATTTATACATCCAAAAGTAGAATCACTGAGTTCACGTTTAAAGAATCAGTGTGTGAATGTGTGTGTGTGTGTGTGACTCTGTGTGTGTGTGAGAGAGATGATATGTGTGCATTCCTGGGGTGTCACAGGAAATGTTAGAATTAGGAGCATATATTTCTCATTTTATATGATCTTCAACGCAATCTATTAATATTTTTAGTTCAAAAATACTTTTTTCCCTCAAACTCCAAATATTTCATGTTTAGAACTGCAGAACCACATCATGTTGTCCTAGGAATCACCGTGTTTCCAAGGCCATCGAAGTGTCTCATGTGGGTGCTGATTGATGGGCCCGGGAGGAGCATGGGTGCCCCTGGACAACAGGTGCCCACTGTTGAGAGCAGCCTTGAGATTGTCTGTCCCACCGATTGCAGGTGCACATAGCACCTCGATTCTCTAATGCCTGATGTCCCTCTCCATCAGATTCCGAAAAATGGGGCAGTTCCTTCTTTCCCAGATACAAAAATGGTAGTTTGTGGCAAGATGAGTGGCCTCAGCATGGCTTGCACGAGGCAGAAAGACACAAGCCTCCACTGCTCCTGCACTCAAGGACCTGAACCAGCGTGGGAAGCAATGGGCCGTCCCCCACCACCCAAGCTGGGCCCATGTGCTCCCTCCCTCTTCTTTCTAATGTCCTGTGTGGTTTAACTTCTCTTTTTACCTTTCTGCAAAATACAAAGAACTTAATCCTGTTGGTCTCTGAATGAAATTGAAGGTGAATCTAAACCACCCATTGCGAAATGTAGTCTGTCTCTGTGACTCTGTATTCATTTTAATGGGAAAAATACATGAACCTTCTGGAAATTAGCTTCGGATTTAAAACTAACTTGCCATAGGATCAAAAGCTTATGCTTTTTAGTCTGTTGTAACAAAACTCCATGAATGCCATTTCTGTCCAGTGCTCTTGCAAGTGGGGAAGGAAAATGCTGCTGTTCCGGGTGAAAGCTGGGGCTGGGTTTTCCGTGTGACCGTGGTGTGCTGGTCAGTGTGGACCTCAGAGGGGCATTGCAGGAGCACAGACCTCACCAGTGGGCAGGCTGAACTGGAGGACAGTGGGATTCCTTGGGACCTCAGGGAATAGCCTCAGGAATTTGCCACAGGGCTTAGACAATGCTTATTTATACTTAATTTAGGCAACACAGGCAGCAGGCTTTTGAATAAAACACCAGAGACCATGCTTTCCTGAGAAAAATGAAAGATCTACTGCCCTGCTAAAAAGACTTCTCCTTACTGAAAACACTATGAGAAAAGATAACCTATTCTTAACATATATTTAAGCATTCTTGTTTTATGTTCAATGTTAGTCATTAGAACACAGGGCTTATAAAAACAAGCGTGCTTTTGCAGCATCAAGAAGATACATCTACTTTCTAGGTAATCGACTTCCTAACATGGTAACATATTGTACCTTAGAGAAATCCTACACTGCGTTTCTCATTCCCTGGCTGAAAAGCCCAAGAAGAATAAAGCCAGAGGAGAGCATTATTTTTGAGAGTGCTGTGGCAAAAGAATATCCAGACAGAAGAGAAACACATGGACTGACTTAATATTGTGTGTCCTGGGAGGGCCATGTAGGAGGCATTTATCAGCGTAACTTTAGTAAAACAACCTGTCTTAAAACCTGAGCTGCTGTGGATGCCTGAATGATTGTTTCTTTGCATTAAGTGCATAAATGCATCGAGACAAAGAGCGGTCTCCCTTGTACCATTTAGTCCTGGGAGAGGACAACTCAGTGGAATTGAGGTAGATGTAACTTCAGACCCAAGAGCAAGCCTGGTGCTCTTTGACAGTGCTGATGTGCAGTTGTACTGTGGGCTTGCAGCTCCCCACTTACTAAGTGGTTTCATGACTCTTGTGAATAAGTGCCACATACCAGGTGGTGGTGATTAATCCAGCAGCAGGAAGGCCTGCAGGATAGAAAAGGCTTGTAGGATATAAGGGCTGTTGCAGAGAGAATATGGGTGTGCATGTGTATGTGTGTGCACACATGTATGTGTACGTGTGTATGCATATAGTCTGTGCATGTATGTACATGTATGTGCGCTGTGTGTCCTGTGTATTTGTGTGTGCAAATACATCTATATGTGTACACGTATATAGTATGTGTATAGTCTGTAGTGTATGTGCGTGGGCATGTATATATGTGTGTAGTATATGTGCCAACTGTTTCTATGTGTGTGTCTGCATGCATGTATGTGTATGCTATGTAGTGTGTGCACATGTATGTATACAAGTGGATGTGCAGTGTATATGTGTCTAGTGTGTGCATGCATATGATCCTGTGTATGCTTTCGTATTCATGTGTGAGCATTTATGTGTGTGCATGTGTGTGTATGCGTATGTGTGCAGTATGTGTATGCACATGTATATCTCTGCTTATAAGTGTGTGTGCACATGTATATGTATGTGCGCATGTGCCATGTAGTATATATGTGTGAACATGTATGGTGTGTTCATATGTGTGCACATATGTATTTTTGTGTGTTGTGTGGTATGTGCATGTGTGTGGTCTGTGTGCATGAATGTGTACCTGTGTGTGTGTATTGTGTGTGCATAGTATGTGTGTTTATGTACATAGAGCCACACCTACACCCACTCAGCCCTTGGGGCTATCTTTCCTTCTCCCCCTGCAGAAAAGCGGCTTTCCCGGGGGATTTCCCACGCCAGCTCAGCCATCGTCTCCCTGGCCCGGTCCCACGTGGCAAGTGAATGCAACAACGAGCAGTTCCCCCTGGAGATGCCAATCTACACATTCCAGTTGCCAGACCTGAGCGTGTACAGCGAGGATTTCAGGAGCTTCATCGAGCGGGACTTGATCGAGCAGGCAACAATGGTGGCTTTGGAGCAGGCAGGTGAGTTGCCCCTGCCAGCAGGCCCACCCTCTTTAGGCTTGGTGAATGGTGAGCTGGCCTAACCTACTCTATGAGCAAGAGAAGGGCACATGTTCTCAGACTCTGGGCAGTTTTCAGTTAGGATTCTAGATGCTGCACCGCACCTCCTGCTCTACGGGCCGACAGTGTTCTAGCCAGCATGGGCTGGATGGAGGGGCCGATAACTAGGTGGTGCTGAAATCTCTCGAGTTTTCCCCTTGCTCCTAAATCCCAGTCCTCCTTTAAGGAGAACTCTATGCTTCTTTGCCTTGCTTCTCTCTTTCCCCAGACAACTCCTCCGTGGGTGTTGAATGAAAGATAGGAAAGACCATGGGCTTTAGAGAAAACGGGAGACCCGCCACTTCCTGTGGACTTGGGCAAGTCAGGTGATCTCTCTCAGCCTCAGTTTCTCCATCTGCAAAGATGAGGAGACTGCTGACCCGGCAACGCTTTGGGGTACTAAGTGACATGTGCTTTCCATAGCTGTCCATTCCCTGCCTGCGCAGCCTCTTCCAGCTTCCAGGTTAAGGAAGCACAAAACCTGACCTCAGTCTCCTTCCTTCTCCTTAGTGTTTCCTCACCACCCTAACATCCCAATGAAGAAAGCGTTCAAGAAGCAAGACAAACTCTCTTCTTTGGAATGTTTAAGGAGAAAATAATGAGTCCAAAACAAATGTCTAAAACAGATTTAGGTTCTTCCTGAGACAAAGCAATGCCAGTTTCACTCATAATCATTCACATTATAAACATTGCAAAATCACATATCTGGGGGTTTCTCAGGCACGCATGTGGAAGATGTTATGGCTGTCTCCTCAGGCCCACCACGCCCCTCCCAGTGGGAGCCCCGCCTGCCTGCACGGGCTGACAGTGCACATGGAGCATGTCCTCAGCCAGTGGGAAGCCCTGCTCCTGCTGGGGTGGGGAAGCATCGCCTTCCAGTGCTGACCCAGCCTTCAGCCAGCTCTTCATGTCCACTGTGGAGTGGAGCCTCCACTTCCAAGGCTTGGTCCGTGGAGACGTCCCCAGATGTGTCATCCCAGGAGTTTAGGGCTGCAGCCAGCAATGCACTGTTAGGGAGTAGAGCTTTTCTCGGTGCTCGGCGAAGACCCAATAAAATTACCAAGCACTTTCTAGAGTTCCAGAAGAAGACAGGAGAGAAGTACCTGTAGGTTGGTATGATTCTGATATTGGTGGATGGACCAATCAGGACCCTGGTAGGAAAGAAAAGGCAGCACAAAACTGTGAGATAAAGGACTCCATAAAGGGACTGCTTTCCAAGGAGTGGGCAGGATTTAAGGACACTAGTGAAGGATACTACCGTTCCTGGGACTACCCTCAGGCCTGGCAAAAAGACAAGGGATGAGAGTGGCTGATGGAGATAGCCACGGGCAGTAGGTGTGGCATCCGGGAGAGAGAAGATGCTGGGGAAATAAATACTCTGACCACACTCTTCCTCCACCATCCAGGTTCTGACCAGTGCCTCTTAATGGCAGAAGGGCAGATTGCGGGGAGCTCACTGATGTGGTCCACGCAGGTCACCCTCTGCATACAGAGCAGCATGGAGAAGGATAGACGGTAGATCTGTGGGGCCAATGGGAAACATCCAGAAAGTCAATGTGCCGGGAAGTTTTACCAGACCTGGCTTCTGTGTACACGTGTACACCTGCTTTCATGCCATTGCTTGTCATTGTTTGCCCAGGGCTGTCGTCATCCACCACTTTCAAGAGGGAAGGCACAAGATGCGTTTAGACAAAGGACGAGATGTGCCTAGTGGGGCTTATTTGTGTTGGGCAGGCTTGCAGTCAGGTCGTAGCCACAGGACTCATAGAAGCCTCACCAATGGCATGCTTGACATTAGAACAGGCTCTACATTCCCAACAGCTGGATCTCATGTTGTGACTGTGGAGAAATTCTCATCTCAGCTGCTTCGCAGCCATCAAGAGCAATCCAATGACTGGCACCCACAGCCTTGCTCTGTCTTACCTCAGCAAGACTCAACAAACAAAACAATTCAGCTAGATTAGCAATAATCTAAACCACTCACTGTGGGGGCTGGCTATTTTAAAGACGCTTCTATATGACTAATTCAGATAAGATATTTTCAATAGAAAAAGCTCACTATTCATAGAGAAGCGGAAATTAGTATTTGTTAAGAAAGAAACAAGTTTCATGGGTTACTCTCTGTTGAATGCTACGGCGGTGTAGACCTTTATACAGCTCAGCACTGACGATTGCTAATAGCTTGGGTGATCATAGCAGCTGCCTGAGTGCTGTGTTTCGTGTGAAGCACAGTCTCATGCAAGGTTGTAGGTAGACCCCACCATGTTACCTTCTCCTTGAGCCCTACCATGCTTAGCAAAAGCCTTCACTTCTTTTGAACGTCTTTTCTGTTATTTTTTTCCATATTTTGCATTTTAATTTTTATCACTTATATTTTACCTTCCAGACTAGCATTTTAAGATGGGACTCTGGCTTCATCCAGTCTTGAAAAATACCTTTTAAAAACCCAAACTTAGTGAGTTAAGATGTTAAATTATGAATAGCTCATTGTTTATGTTGGGCACCACGAAGAGAACCAACTGGAAGCAGAGATCAGTGAAGGCAGGAAGCTCAGGCTCCCACCCAGTGGTGGAGAAGCCATCTGGTCTACACTCGCAGGAGGCCTTGAGGAAGTGGGTCTCACTCTTCAGGGAGTGGTCAAAGGTGCTTGTGGTGCAATTCGCGCCTGAAGATCAGGGATCTGCCTGGGACAGGAGTCCTAGTAGCCAACATGTCTTCCTCGTCCCTCACGCTGAAAAATAATAAAAGTGGCCAAACGCGATGGCTCACGCCTATAATCCTAGCACTTTGGGAGGCCAAGGCAGGAGAATCACTTGAGCTCAGAAGTCCGAGACCAGCTTGAGCAACATAGTAAGACCCCATCTCTACAAATAATAAACAAATTAGCCAAGCATGGTGGTGCACGCCTGTGGTCCCAGCTACTCAGGAGGCTGAGGTGGGAGAATTGCTTGAGTCCGGGCAGTCAGGGCTGCAGTGAGCCATGATCACACCACTGCACTCCAGCCTGGGTAACAAAACCCTGTCTCAAAAAAAAAAAAAAGAAAAAGAACAGAGGTACGCAGACAACTGTGTGTGTGCTCCCTCAGAGGAGTGAAGCAGTCTCTGGGCTGGGTGATAGCATGAACCTGACCCCTGCCCACCATCCATCTGACTCCTCCGAACTCCTTTCCTCTGCTCTCAAGCGAGGTCTTAGACTAGGTCATTTCTCAGTGCCCTGCTATGCTCAGACTCACGTGAAGACCCTCAGCCGGCCAGTGCTAAAGGGTCTCCCACAGCCCATCTGGGTGAGGAGTTTGGTCACTGGAAAGCACTGGCAGCTCCTGTACCTTCCACCCCACAGCCAGGCTCTGCTCCCGTGGCCCCCACTGTCACAGTCCACTTTTCCATCATGAAGTGGCCATCCAAGAAAGCTGCTCAGTATTGCTGGGTACAAAGGGTAAATGCCTCTTCCTAATAGCTTAGTGCTTAGAATCTTTATGAATAAACTATTTATATGCAATATTATTTTACTGAATACATGAGAGATTGAAATACAGATGTCAAAAAATTATTTAGTAAAAAAAAAATCCATTTGTTTAAGGGACAGTTCTAGCTGTGCTTGGCAGGAAACATTATTTCTGTCATAAGACTTTGGGTGGAGGACTTCCTTTTCCCTTGGACAGAACATGAACCCAGGGCTCAGGTGGTTCTGAAAACTGGCAAACAGTGGCCTTCACTCAGTTAACATTGCCCACCATCCAGCTGTCCATCCTGGGGCCTGATTCCACTCTCCTGGGGCCCTGCGTGGTATCTGCCTGGCCTCCCGAGCCACATAGGCAGCCCCGTCTATTTTTGAGGCCTCTGTGTCAAGTGGGGTGCCAGTCTGAACTCCCATAAAACCCACAGATCTGGGAGACTGGTCTTCCCCAAGTCTTCAAACCCTGGAAAACACAACCCACTCCCACCTCATGACAGTCTCAGGGCAACAGAAGGGCCGGATCATCTGGGCCTAAAACCAGCTGACCTCCTGAGAGGAAGGGAAACACCTTTCGTTCTTTAATGACTAGCCTGCCATTGAGAAGGCAAGAAACCACTCCTTTTGCCATCAGCTGATCCTGCTGCATTTACACAGGAGATGGCTCGGAGACCGGGGTCTCTGGGTTGGGAAGTATCATCTGCTGCCTGTGGCAGCAGCTAACCACCATGTGGGTGAGATGGTGTGGTTCTTCAGTGTGTCTGGGGGCAGAGGGCAGAGGCATTTTTGTGTAATGCAGGAGTCACTGCATACATGGGAGATGGAAACGCATGTTGAAAAATCTCTAGGCACACCTTTGAGTTGTGCTCCAGGGGAGGATAATTGGATTGAGGGGAATCTGCCAGAGAATGGTAAGTTACAGAGGAGGCTTGTGGGCTTCTGAGTCAGCCCGACCCTGGCTTGAGGCCCGGATTGGCAGGGGGAGCTTGGCCACGTCACTTGGCCGGCTGGAGCCTCACTTCCTTCCCTCTGAAAGTCAGAGATGTGTAACGGCGGCCAAATGGAGACAGATTGACCCAGTGTCAGCCTGTGTTGAATGCCCACGAAATGCCCCATCCAGGTCTGGGGCTACCTCCACACTCCAGGCAGATGAAACCCCTGCCCTCAGGGAGGTGAAATTCCAGTGGAAGAAAGCCGATGAACAAGGGGAGCATGAAAATGAAGTGGGGCCTCAGAGGCTACTCTGGGGAGGTTAGGAAGGAGAGGGAATCCCGGGATGCCGCTGGAGGGCAGGGAGGGAGGCAGCAACAGACACCTGCGGGCCTGGCTTTCCTGGCAGAGGGAGTCTAACATCAAAGTCTTGGCATATTTAAGGAAGCCAGTGTCACCTGAGCTGGTGGAGCGAGGGTGAGAGGATTTGGAAAGGAGGGCAGGAGAATGGGAGCCGGGCGCTAGGGAGCCTCGTCCTTTAGGCTTCACTGAAGGTAGATAAGCAGCCCCTGGAGGGTTTTGAGCCGGGGGCTGACGCGTCTTGATTCACATCTGACAGATTCTGGCTGCTGGAGAATGGACTATGGGGTGGTAAGAGAAGAAGCTGGAAGAGCAGGGAGAGGCAGTTGCTCCAGACCAGGGCAGAGAGAGACGGCTGGCAGGGTCGTGGGGGTGGTAGTGCAGGTGAGGGGCAGTAGAGAGACACGGCTATGGGGTACGTTTTGAAGGCAGACCTACAGGCCTTGATGATGGAGGGCTGGGGCTCTGGCAGGCAGGGAAGAGTCCAGCATGGCCCTAAGAATGTTACCCTGAATATGGGGGTAGATAATGTTGCCTGAGGAGATGCAGACCCCTGGAGGAAGGGCAAGAAGAAGAGGCCAGCACTGTCAGGCAAAGCCCGAGACTGTAGTGAGACTTGTAAAGTTGCTGCCCAGATGAACATGAGGGTCTGGAGTCAGAGAGAGCCCTGCGTTGGGGATGCAGATGTGGAGTTAGTGCCCTAAAGTGAAACCCGTGGGATCCCGGAGTGAGCTCCTCGTAGGACCCTCCCACCATGCCCCCAACCTGGCTCCATGCAGTGGTGAGCATGAGTTGGACACACTTGTCTGGAGCATGGACAGAAAACAAGCTTTCCAAAGACTCAGGCTGGGGCCCTACAGTATTGAGGGCTGAGGAACAGAAGAAGGAGCCAGCAGAAGAGACTGGGAATGTGCGGGCCTGGGAATCAGGGCGAACCAGCGGTGGATAGTGACCCTGACGCCCAGGGTGGAAGGTGTTTCAAGAAGGGAGCAATCAGTGGTGCCAAATATGCCAGTAAGTCAGTGTGCACTAGAAACTGACCGCTGGGTTTGACTGTGAGGGCAAGGTTCTCGGGAAGCCATGCTGCACTGTGCTTGATACAGAGAAAGGTCAGGAAGTGGCTTCCATTCCCCTTCTCCTTATAGCTCTCACCATCGGCTGCTGTGAGTCATCTCTTTCCTCCAGCTACTTTTACACTCCCTTGCCTTCCATCTCGTGAGGCTTCCATTGGCCTCCTAGCTACCTGGGACCATTCCTTGCTTCCAAAGGCAGCTCCTCCCATGGCCAGTTGCCAAGTTTGCCTTCCCATCCTTGCTGTGCTTTGGAGCTTCCTCCACCCATCAGTCAGGCAGAGTCGCGGCTGCGACTCTGGGCAAGCCTGGAAATACCACGTTCCTTTGTGGGCCAGGTGCAGCGTTGGGCAACCCTGGGCATAGGGCCTGGGCCAGAGTGTGGGAGAGACAGAGGCCAGGGTTCACATCTCCTCAGCGTAGTGGTCACAGTGTGGTTCCTGTGCAGCCCCCTGAGGGGGCGTCAGGCTCTCCTCTGTGACGTCGTGATGAAGCAGCCCACCTTGTGGGGCTGTTGTGAAGATGAACTGAGGTCGTGTGTGCACAGGGCTGGATGCATACTCAGCATCAAGTAAATGGCCTCCTCTACTAATTTTTTATTTTCATAGAGTGGTATTTCCTATTTTTCTTTCTTCACACTTTTTGCTATAAAGAATTTAAATTGTGACCAAATACTAAGTTATCTTCTCCAGCATTACAATTATTCATTAGTAAACATTGAGCACCTGTGGTGTCTCAAATCCTATTGTCATAGCCCATTTGCATTGCTTTAAAGGGATACCTGAGACCAGGTAATTTATAAAGAAAAGAGGCTTATTTGGCTCACAGTTCTGCAGGCTGTACAAGAAGCATGGGGCCAGCATCTGCTTCTGGTGAAGGCTTCAGGAAGCTTCCAGTCCTGGCAGAAGGGGAAGGGGAAGCAGATGTATCATATGATGTGAAGGGGAGCAAGAGAGGAGGTGCCAGACTCTTTTTAACAATCATCTCATGGGAACCAATAGAACAAGAACTCACTCATTACTGCGAGGATGGCACCCTGCCATTCATGACGAATCCACCCCCATGACCCAAACACCTCCCACCAGGCCCCCCTCAACATTGGGGATCACATTTCAACATAGATTTGGAGGGGACAAACATCTCAAACTATATCAACTACCAGGATTATTGGGGACAACCAAGATGAGGAACACAAGGCCCCTGCCCCAGAGGAGCAAAGGACATGAAGGCAATACCGCAGTCCCATGGCAGGAGCTCTCACAGAAGCACGTGCAAAGCACAGTGATGCCCAGAGAGGGGACATCCGAGGGCCCAGGTGGGGAGGGAGCACTCCAGTGATATTAAAAGGAGTTACAGTGTCACATTTAGGGCAAGAATCCCCTCATCTTTCTGATAGAGAATTGTCACGTTTTGTTTTCTTTCATCAAAATGTCGTGGGGTGATGAGCAAAAAGACATCTTATTTTAAAGTGTGTGGTAACCACCTGCTCCAAAGCTGAAGTTAATTGGTCCCATTATCACGGATGAATCAGAGGACTATTGCTCAGAAAAGTCAGAATAAGTGACTAATAGCTCCCCACGTGTGAAACCACCTGCCTCTCTCAATGGTGTTCACCTGTGATTTTCTTATTTGCAGAACCTCAAGTTTTCAAGCTATTCACAATGCCAGTGCCCGTGTCTTGTTCCTGTTCTGTGGTTATGTCATGGGGAGTTGGGAATGACCACTCTGTCAAAGCCAGGAATAGAAACATGAAACCATGAAACTTTGCATGTTCCCAATCGCACTCCTTGTATGGAGCACACCTTTATCTCGGGCACCACATTCTAGGTTCTGCTGGATGTTAGAATAGCACTGGGCCATGATGGGGTCTCCGGAGGCTGGAAAGTGCTGGCATTTACCATGGCTGGGCCATCTTTTCAGGGCGGTCACGTCTGATGTACAGCCCTAGGAGTGCTCTCAACTGAGTAAGAGTCTTAACTTCTAGAAGCTGGCTTACATCAAACCACTAAGCCTTGCCCTCCATCCACACAGCTGCTCTAGCAGGCTGCATCCTGCCTACCTGCCCTCTCCCAGGTGTGCACAGTCTCAACAGCCTGGGCCACACTGTTATCTGCACAGGTTACAGGAGCTGTCTGCTTGCCCTTGAGCATTCAGGTGTTTCTCTGTGCATAGCTCCCGTTAGCAGCATGCACTTCAGGGACACGAGTAAACCTCCCAGACACCTGCTGAACACTCCCAGGATACGCCTCCCAGGATACACATGTGAAATGAATGGACAGAATTCCTATTTAAATATCCTTGGGCTAAAGGACGCTGTATGCATTTCTATTTCTGCCTAACAAATTACCACACATTTGGCAGCTTAAAACAGCACAAGTGTATCATCCCACAGCTTCCGGGGGCCAGCCGTCTGCTGTGCTTTAGCTGGGTCTGAGACTCTGCTCATAGTCTCTCAAGGCTGAAATTAAGGTGTCCCCTGGCTGTGTGCTCATCTAGGGGCAGATCCATAAGTTCCCTGCGGTTGGCAGAATTTAGTTCCTTGCAGCTGAATGACTGAGGTTCCATTTTCTTGCTAACTGTTGGTGCCTAGAGAGTACCCAAGAGACTCAGGAGTGATGCAGGTTCACTGTGCGCTGCTTCCTTGCCAAGTCTCATGCATGTGTACAGGTTGCACAAAGCAGGTGTCTTACAGACAGGCAGTGAGGGACAATAGCAGCCTAGGGTTCAGGGTAAGACAGTCACACAAGAGTTAGGACAGTGCCCAGGGTGCATGCTGTCTTGTGCTGCAGCTGAGGGACCCCAGAAAGCAGCCTGCTGTGGGTTTGATACCTGGGGGATACAGTCATTATTGGGCTAAAACATTGAAATACATCCTGTTCTCGGAGGGACCAGAACAGAGTCCAGACTGGTCCAGCTAGTTTCCCGTGATCTCAGGATACTGCATTCCCAGCACATTCTTTTTTTTTTTTTTTTCCTGGAGACAGGGTCTCCCTCTGTTGCCCAGGCTGGAGTGCAGTGGCACGATCTCGGCTCAGTGCAACCTCCACCTTCTGGGTTCAAGCGATTCTCCTGCCTCAGCCTCCCAAGTAGCCAGAACTACAGGTGCCCACCACCAAACCCAGCTAATTTTTGTATTTTAGTAGAGTATTTTGTATGTAGTAGCATGTTGCCTACAGTAATGCTTGAGAACTACAGGAAAGGGGAAAGAACGGGGTCAGTCCAAAGCCATCCAGGACCCCACACCACATCCTTGCCGTCTAGCTCTCTTCTTATGGCATGGCAGTGAAGTTGTTTACTGCTTTGGGTTGTTTACTGTTTGGCATGGCAGTTGTTTACTGCTTCAAGACCAGCCAGAGAATCTCTCCTCTCTCCCCCTTTCCCTCTTCCCTCTTCCGTATTCCCTTTATATTCTACCATCTGCCCTTTCTCTGTAAATCTCTCTGACTTTCCTTTTCTCTGACCACTAAACCCTCTTTTGGTCCTCAGATTAGGTCAGGCCAACCCAGGATAATCTCCCTTTTGATCAACTCAGAGTCAGTGAATAGTAAAGTAATTACATCTGCAAAATCCCCTCACTTTACCCCATATTATAACCTAATCACAGGAGTGACATCCCGTCGGAGTCACAGGTTCCACCTACACCCAAGGGAAAGGGATGACACAGGAGTACACCCCAGGAGGTGGGAATCTGAGGACCACTTTAGAATTCTGCCTGCCACAGATACAGTGTCATTACTTGCAGTATGATAATTCTTCTATGCTAAAAGATCCAGAATGAGAGATTAAATCATACTGAATATGTTGTGGTCAGGGGAATTTTTTTGATTTCCTGATGTGCCACTTTTAACCATTTCACTTGGATTGGTATGTTACAGCACACTGTGCCTAGAGGCAGGCATGCATTTGGACTGAATTCTACTTTTTTTTTTTTTTTTTTTTTTGAGACAAGGCCTCGCTCTGTCTCCCAGGCTGGAGTGCAGTGGCACGATGTCAGCTCACTCCAGCCTGTGTCTCCCGGGTTCAAGCGATTCTCCTGCCTTAGCCTCCCAAGTAGCTGGAATTATAGGCATGCACCACCATACCTGGCTAATTTTTATATTTTTGGTAGAGATGGGGTTTTGCCATGTTGGTCAGTCTGGTCTTGAACCCCTGGCCTCAAGTGATCCACCCACCTCAGCCTCCCAAAGTGCTGGGATTATAGGCATGAGCCACTGTGTCCAGCCAGAATTCTACTCTTGATGGCTTCAAATTTCAAACAGCTTGTCTCTGAGCCCTCCAAAGATATCATACCCTTTGATTGGGCTCTTTTGACAATCAGAACCATGGATGTGGTCATCTGGGATAGGATGGGGTGGGCACTATGGCAACTATGCTTTTGATAATAGCAGCCTTCACGTATTGGGGATCTCCTATGTGCTAGGTGTATTATACGCCATTTTAATTATGTCCAGATCTCACATCGGCTGCATGCAATTGCCAAGATGCTCTTCATTTTACAGAACAGGCAGAAGAGACTTGGGGAAGCCGAAGGGTTTGCCCATGGCTGCCTGGCTGTGAAATGTCCTCATCCTGCCCATGCCACGAGACCTCCTCAGTTCAGCTCAGAGCGTTGGGAACTGTCATCCTTTCCCTCAGGATACTTTCTGCCACGTGACCCATTCCAAATATGAATTGCATGATTTATTGGATTTTCTTAAAAGAATAAATCACCAATACCAGAGAAAATCTCCAAAGGAACACTCTTTGAGAGGCCAAGTAGAAAGCCAGCAGCCGAGTTACACAATTCTAGAGGGACACGTTGCTGAGGGCACCGCGCAGGAACATCTGACAGAGGCAAAGTGAAGGGGGGTGGCCCAGGGCGCCCACAGATGATGGGGGTGGCCCGGGAGGCCCACAAATCACGGCAGTCCCCAAGCTTTACATTTAACACTCCTCACACAGAGTGACTGATCCCCAAGTCCTGTCAGGAAGAAAATCAAATGAAGTTATCAAATTTTTAGGAGTATATGGTACGTACAGAAGAACAGTTCACAAGCCCAGGAGACTTCAGACCAAGCGTGGCAAGAAGCCTACCTTGCGGCAGTTCCAGCACAGCTGAGAAAGCGTAAAGGAGGAAGCATTTTGACCATTTTTGTGACTGACTGTTACACATTAACCTTCTTTTTAGGGCAAACAGAGTTAGTTTAAGCTGATTTGTCTACAGCTGGTTCACTGAATCATGTGGACTAGCCAATGTTTTGTGTTTTGTTTATGATTAGAGCTAATATCTCGGGGAAATCAGGATGACTTAAGTTTTGGCTACATGGTTATAGGTGGTTGGCCTTGGGGTGTGTCTGAACTGGGGCCTCTATTTTTCTTTAACAGTCCTGTAAAATGCAGGGATACATAATGTTACTGATGAGCTATTACCCACCAAGACTGAAGTTTGGAAGCAAGTCATGTGATGAATCTGCTGTAACAGAGCTCGTAAGATCAAAAAATATTCATTAAGTCACTATTGCATTGTCATTATGTTCTCACTTTTATTTTTGTGAGGAAGAAATAGAAATCTGTTTGTTAATCTAGGTATTGGAAATGAAAAGCATGTGTTCAGGTGGGAGTTAAGGAAGGGTTAGAAAATAGAACCTTTAGATGTCTTAAGAAGTGGTAAAATAAAACTGGCAGTGTATCAGATCCATGAGAAGCCAGCCTGTTCAACAATTCTGGGTAAAAATAAGAAACATGTGATGTTAAAGCATATATTAATGACAATATGTAGTCACAGTTTTATGTTGTAGCCTTGTTTATAGACTCAGTCAGCATCTAAGGTACCCCTTAAATATTTCAGACATACTCTTTTGCATTTTATGGAAAAAATAAAATGAGGTGAAAATATTTGCAAATTGGGGTTTTCTGAAGACATTCCATCCAGCAGATTCACCACCTGAATCCTTTCTTTGCCTTCAAAATGTCATCTCAGGTTCAAGCAGCTTCCAGCTGTCTTTTCTCTTAGAGTCATCTCTGGAGCTAGACCCATTACCCTTTCATTGTTTTAATTCCTTATTGAAATGTACATGTGGGAAAGTGTGCAAATCATAAGTGTAGAACAGATCACATCCTATAACAAGGACTCAGACAAGAAACTCACATCAAGAAAAGTGACTTCTTATAGCATAGGTTTATTTTGCCTCTTTTTGAGCTTTATATAAATGGAATCATGAATGGGTTAAGTTCTGGATTCTTCTGCTTATCATTAAGCTTATGCAATTCATTCATAGAGTTGTGTAATTACCATATAGCTTATTTATTCTCATTGGTGTATTGCACTGCAATGTATATACATGTATTACAAATAACTTCTCCATTATGTTATTGATGGATTTTTTGGTGTCTTAGCTCAGGCTAACATAACAAAATACCATAGACCAAGTGATTTAAATGACAGAAATTTATTTTCTCACAGTTCTAGAGGCTAGAAGTCCCAGATCAAGGTGCTGGCCAATTCAGTTCCTGGTGAGGATTCTCTTTCTATCTTGTAAACGGCTGCCTTCTCACTGTATTCTCACATGGTCTTTCTTCAGTGCATGCCTTGGGGTGGGGGACAGTTTGAGAGTTGAAGCTCTCTAGAGTCTTTTATACAAACACTAATTCTGGGAGATCAGGGCCCCACCCTTATAACCTCATTTAATGAATTTAAATTACTTCCTTGAAGTCTTCGTCTTCATATATAGCCACACTGGTGATTAAGATTTCAATATGTGAATTTGGAGGGGACACATTCAGTCCATAACAAGCTGTTGCAACTTTGTCATTATTATAATAAAAGTGGGGTGCTATGAACATTCTTGTACAGGTTTCTGGTAAGCCATGAACACATTTCTAAAGATATATACAGTCATCCCTCAGTATCCATAGGGAATTTGTTCCAGGACCCTCCAGATACTGAAATTCTCAGATGTTCGAGTTCCTTGTAGAAAATGGTGTGCTATTTGCATATAACCTACTCACATTTTCCCATATATTTTAAATCATCTCTAGATTACCTGTAATACCTAACACAATGCCTACATCATTTCATCCATGTGGATTTGACATACTATTTGGCACACAGCAAATTCAAGATTTACTCTTTGGAACTTTATGGAATTTTTTTTTCTGGATTATTTCTATCAGCAGTTGGTTGAATTCGCAGATTCAGAACCCACAGATAACAGAGGGTCAATTGTACTTAGGAGTGATATTGCTGGATCATAGGATTTACATATGTTCAGCATTATAACAGTTGTCCAAATAGTTTTCCAGAGTGGATGTACCAGTTGCTCTTCCTCTGTTGAGAGTTCTGGTTGCTCCATGTTTTTTGTCTTTTTGTTTTAGTTACTGTGTTGGAAGTGTAGGAGTATCCACACAGTGGTTTTAATTTTTATTTTCTGATGACTAGTAAAATTAGGTACTTTTCATGTTATTGGCCATTTGCATATCCTCTTTTGTTGGGTGCCTTTTCAGGTTTTTTACCCATTTTTAAGATTGCCTTTTTGATTGACTTGTGGGAATTATTTATACATTCTAGATATGGGACCTTTGTCAGGTGTGTATTGCCAATATCTTCACCCACCCTACTGGTTCCCTTTTCACTCACTGACTGATACACTTTGATGAACAGAAGATCATGACTAAAATAGTTCAACTTACCTTTTTTTTCCCCTTACTTGAGAGCCTCTATTTCAGCTTAAGAAACCTTTGCCTACCCCAAGGTCCTGAAAATATTCTCCTGCCTTTCATACTTAAATCTATAATCCACCTAAAAGTGATTTTCATAAATGATGTGCTATGTAATGAAAGTCCATTTTCCCATATATTCATCAACCTGACATGGTACCATTTATTGAAATCATCTTTTCTTTATTATGCTGCAGTGTAACCTTGAGATACAGCAGGTGACTGTGTAGGTGTGGGTCTGATTCTGGGTCTGTTCTGTTCCATCAACAATTTTGATGTTATTCTTCTTTATCATTAAGTTTAAATCATTTTAAATACTTATTATAATTTTTCCTTTGACTCATAAATTACTTAGAAATATGTTGCTTAATCACTGTGGGGATATTTCTAGGAGTTTTTTTTTCTAGCTTAATTCTTCTGTGGTCAAAGAATGTATAATGAATGAATTCAGACATTTTAAATTTGTTGAGACTTGCTTTATGACCCAGCATATAATTAAGCTTAATAAATATTCTATGTGCACTTGAAAAAAATTTGAATTCTGTCCTTCTTAGGTATAGTACTTTTTATATATGTTAATTATATCAAGTTTGTTAATTTTGTCGCTCAGATCTTTTCTATTCTTCACTAAGTTTTTGTCCACTTATTCTACCAGCTATTGAACAGGGTGTGTTAAGATCTCCTACTATGATTGTGTTTCTCTGTTTCTTCCTTAGTTATCTTTTGCTTTATATATTTTGAAACTGTGTTAGTGGATGCATAGACACTTAGAATTATTACACCATCCTGGTGTAATAACAAAACTAAAGTTTTGTTAGATGCAGCCCTGATGGCAGTGAAGTCTCAGGTTTTCATTTGTCTGAAAATGGCATTATTTTACTTTCATATTTAACAGCTAGTTGTAGGCTTTACAGACCATGTAAGTTCTCTATCACATATTCATTCTCTCTTTCTCTTTCCCTTCCCTCTATACCTCTTATAGACCAAAGTTTACTGACTCCTGATCTATATTATTTTCTCCCTCTACTTTGGATTTAATCACTGTTCCTTTGTAACTTTTTAACATGGATGATTAATTCATTAATTCCTAGCCTTTCTTTTTAACTCTTGCAAGTATTTAAGGTTATTAATTTTTTTCTCCATACTATTTTAGCTATATCCCCAAAATTTTGGAATGTAATATTTTTGTTATTACATGGTTTCAAAATATTTTCTGATTTTCATTTTGGTTTATTATTTGACCCATGAATTATTGTAAGTGCTTCTTTGTTTGCAAGTATGTAAAAACTACTAAATATTTTTAGTTATTTTTATTATAGATTTCTTACTTCCATTGTGGACAAAAAGCATTGTCTGTATGATTTGAAATCTCTTGAGAACTTTGCTTCACGATTCAGAATATGATCAGTTTTTTTAAAATCATTCCATGTGTGCTTGAAAATAATGTTTAGTCTTCTGTTTTGGCTGCATTGTATTTGTCCATTTGGTCATTTATTATGTTTTTCACATCTTCTGTACATTTATTGGTTTATTTTTTACTTTTTCTCTCAATTACCGATAGAGATGTGTTAAAATCTTTCATCATGATTGAGTACTTGTCTATATCTCCTTTTATTCCTATGGATTTTTAATCCTGCATAAATATAATGCTATGTTATTGAATACAGCAATTAAACTGATTTCTTCCTCATGAATTGAGCAGTTGAACAGTGTAGAGGGTGCTTATTAAATTCTACTAATGCTTTTTGCCTTTTGATTTATTTTATCTGCTATTGATTCAGCTATGTTAGCTTTCCGTAAGTTAAAACATTCCTGATGTACCATTTGCCACCTTTCATACCTTTACCTATAGCACTTTTGTATTCCTCTGTTTTAGATTTATCTCTTGCAAGCTGCATGTAGTTAATTTATTCATAAAATCAGTTTCACAGCCTTTGTCTTTTAACAGGTGCATTTATTTTTAATGCAATTGCCATTTTCCCCCATTCAATGTGGTGTTTATTCTCTCCTTACACATCTTCTTTTAAATCAATTAAATATTGTTTAATCATGTCTTTTTAAAAATTCTACAAGTTTTGAAGTTATACCCTCTCTTTCCATTATTAAGAGTTTACCCCTAAAATATGCGTATGAATCACATCTCAAATTAATTAACATCTTAACCTACTTTACACCCAGGCAAGACAGGGACTTTGGAGTAGTTTAGTTTTATTCATCCTTATTCTCTCCTGTTTTGTAAGTTGTTGTCATTTATTTTAGTTGTATACTTTTAATCTCATCAGACATTAGTGTTTTATATAGTCAACATTCATTTTGATTTACCCATATGCTTACCTTTTTTGTTTCTCCTCATTTCTTCTTGCATGTCAGATCTTCCTTCTGTTTGAAGTTCATCCTTTACAGTTTCTTTAGGTGAGTGCTAATTTTACTCTCTCAGTTTTTGTTAGTCTTAAAATGTCTTTGTTTTGCCCTCATTTTTTGAAAACACTTTTCATGGGTCTAGTATTATAGATTGCCAGTTATTTTCATTCAGCACATTGAAGATTTTTTTTTTTTTGGCTTCTTCTTTCCATTGTTCCTTTGAAGAGGTAGGCTGTCAGTCTATCACTCCTTTGAAGATAATCTGGTTTTTTTCTTTCTCTAGGTGCTTTAACATCTTTTCTCCCTGTCTTTTATATTGTGCAGTTTCACTAGGATATGTTAAGGAAGACATTAATTTTATTGTTCTTAGAATGTCTTAGACTTTTAAAATCTGTGAGTTTATTTTTACATATTTTGGAAAATCCTCAGTCAGTATTCAATATTGCCTGATTCATGCCTTTCTGAATTTTGATTGGACAATGTTAGATCTTTTCAGTCTATTCTTATGTCTCATAAACTCTCTTGCATCTTTTCTCTTTCCCTCTTTGTTGCTTCTTACTTATCTTCAAATGTATTAACTTTTTCCTTCAACAGTGTCCAACCTGATATTAAACTGATTCTTACTTTTTTACTTTAATTTTTATATCTTTCATTTTAAGTTCTATATGTGTTTTCCAAATCTGCCTCTTATTCTTTGGTCATATTTTGTTTAATTCTTTTGTGTATTTTAAACATTTTTAACATGCTTGTTTACAGTCTCTAATCATTTTTAACCTCAAGTTTATAGGTATCTATAAACTGCTGATTTTGTGTGTATGACTCTTACTCACAGTGGCTTGTTTTCTGTTGTGTTTGTAGTTTTGGGTTGTGAGCAGGATGTTATATGTGGGACTCTTGTGTGGCCTGTGTTGAGAGTGTACTCCTCTTAGAGAGATTGTTTTTGTTTGTTTGTTTGTACCAGTTTCCCAAGAGGAATTACCTTTGGTACTTAGAACCAATTTTAGGTTAATTTCTTGGCTTACTGGTTCCAAGCCACAAATCAATTTAGGTCAAGTCTTCATGACAGTCAACATTTCCGGGGAAGTTTTTATTTTCCTCTGCTAAGCCTAGGCTAAAAGAGACAAATTTTCTTCCCAACTGCCTTTGCCAGAGCAAAATTATTTCTAATCTTTGCATTCAGGATATAGTTTTTGAGGATCCTAACTCTATATGGAAGGAAAAGGCCATCCCCAGTCCCAATTCCCCACATTTCAGGGTCTCCAGCCTTTTTTCGAGTTCTTATGAAGTGATTAAACAGTTAAATGTCTTCACTCGTTGGCAGTTGCTGGTTTGGTGCATACTAATTTCCATCCCATATTTATTTCCGGTTGTTGGAGATTTACTACACTTTCTTTCAAGCTTGGATATACATTTGAAAGGATTATTGAAAATAAGTATTTTTATTTTCTGACCTCTTTTCCTCTTTAAATCTGTGCCCTCCTGCTCATCTTAGGGAGAGGGATTTCTCTTTTCAAACGACCAGAGACAAAGCCTTCAGCCCCTACTTTATCTGCAGTGCTACACGCATTCACACAAGATCTTATTTTAAATTATTTTTTGCTAAGTATTACAGAGAAATCAGGAATAAATAAGCATAGAGTAACTAACAAAAGTAAAAATCAATGAGGGTTTGTAGGGATATAAGAAATCTTTTCATTGGTTTTTAAAAGTTGCTTTCTTTGGTTCATTAGGCTTAACACCTAAAGGCCAGGTCTTTCCTTACATTCCTCACATGGTTCCTTTTCCCGAAGATCTACTCAACTTTTTTCTTTAAATCTTTTTTATCCTAATACTACAATCTAACCAATGAATGTAGGCAAAAAAAAATTTAACATGCTGTATTTAGATGTCTACCCAATTCAAGAGTGTAATTTGCATTTCTGAGAACCTCTGGACAGTGCTTCTCAAGCAATCTGTGTTGAAGGACAACTCTTTTCTTTAGATTTCCAATTCACTGTCTCCCTATGCTTCTATAAAATTTAATAAAAATATTACAGCAAAGCGCATTGCTATAAAAGCTCCTAAACACTTCCTCCCATTTTCTGTACTTGCCTCATTGTGCACCAGCTGACCTCCCTTTAAGCAGCACCAGGCACTCTGTGTGCAAAAGCTTCCCTTTATTTGCAGTTCATAGTCTTTCTTGCATGAATGTCAGAGCAGTTGTGCTTACTCTAAAAAGGACTTTGGTGTATAAAGGTACCTTTTAAGCCAAAGCATTTTGGTTCACTCATTCATTCATTCATTAGTATATGCATAAATATACTCCTTTATTTAACTCAGGATTTTGGACCTGTATATGCATAATACATATATGGGGCTTTCTATATGCCACGCCCTATCTTAAGTACTTTCCCAATATTAAATAATATAATGTTCATAAAAACTCTGTTAGATCAGGACTATTATTATCTCCATTTTTAAGAATTGAACACTGAAACAGAGTGGTTAAGTAAGTTGCCCAACACCACACTGCTAAGAAATAGTGGAACTGAGATTTGAACCCAGGAAGTCTAACTCCAGCTTCTGTGCCTAACCAGTCTGCTGGCTGCCTCTCTGATGACTACCTTAGACACTCTAGTCCAGATTCTGCAAGGGTAGGTGTTCCAAAGCCCACTATTTCATCCTCATTTTCAACTTGAATCAGTTGGTCTTTATTGCACAGACCTCTGAATTGAAAAGGGAAATCAGGTCTTTCACCTCCTTTGTGGGAAGAGTGATGATTGGTTAGCGTGTCTGCCATGGAAAGTGTGGTGATTTTTCAATGCTGCTTGCTATGGTGTAGAGGGGATTGACAGAAGACACTTCAGAGAAGTCACCTATTAGCTTCAGGGCTCTGTGCCTTCAAAAAAATTGAAAATTATAACCAAACTAAAAATTTCAACTCAATCTATTGAAACAGCGGAAAAATTTAGTCAAACTAGCATTAGTTTGCATTAGTTAGATTCGCCCAAAATATTTTTAACTGAATTCAACCCATTTTTAAAACTTAATCGAGACAAATGAGTTAATTTACATAGAAATTGTCTTTGGCACCAGAACAGAATGTCTCCATTGTAAGACTATAGAGTAAACCCACATGCCATTTCCTTCGTCTTGAACATCTTCACATCTACAGGAAAATTGGAAGATGAGTATTTATATATCTTGCACCAAAAATCACCAGTTTTCGGGACTTTGTCACATTTGCTTTATCTCTCTTTATGTGTATGGAAGTACATACACTTTTTCTGAATCATTTGAATGTGTATTGTGGATACTTCACTTCTTCTGAAAATAAAGACATTCTCCTATATGACTTAACAGCATTAGAAAATTAGCACTAACTTAGTAATGTCAACTAGTAGAGCCCATACTCAGATTTTCCCAATTGGCCCCAAAGTCATTTTTGTAATTTATTTTCATTCCAAAAAACCCAACTTTATGCGTTACATTTGGTTGTTATGGCTCTTTATGCACTTTTTGAAAAACATTCTCTCTTCTTTTGTTTTTCATGAAAATGGATATTTTAAGATTCCCAGCCAGTTCACGTACAATGGTCATATCTCATTGTTGAATGCTCCAGTGGGGTTAATTCCTCACCCTTCTCCCAAGTGTAGACCTCGGGGTCATATGACCCTGGGTTACTCTCCTTATATCTGTAATAAAGGCTGGAACAAGCAGAGGCCCTGCTGATCTGCACAGTCTGTAGGGATAGGAAGGGGAAAGTCCTGCTATGCCTAGACACTGGCAGTGAGCCAGGTTGGGGAGAGAGAAAGCTCAAGGGAAAGGAATTGGGGTGTGGGGAGGAAGGAATATGGGAGGAATGGGATAACATGGATTTGAGGCACTTGCTCATTATATGGACCCATTGGATAGCCACTCCCCACCTAGGAATAACAAGTCAGAAGTCTTAAAGAAGAATCCTCAGTCTCTACTGCAGGGGAGAGGCCAAGCCAGCGCCTCCCCAGAACCGGTGGCAGAGGAATAAACATTGTGTACAGCACATATTCGTCAGCATTTAATAGTATCATTTATCTGAAGATTTGAATATATAATGTATTTTTAAATACTGTCTTCATGTGATATAATGAAAAAAATTGCCAAATTCATGTTGGTGTTACAGCGAGGGAGGAAGGAATGAGAGTGAAATGGGGGAGGCAAATAGAGGGAACTTCAGCTTGATCTTTACTCGTTTTTCTTTTCTTTTATGTTGAAAGGAACCTGCTGGTGCAAATATGGCAGAGGGGTGACATTCATTTGGTTTTGGGTGATGGGTGTGTTTCTTTTGGCACTTTACAAAATTTGAGCTCCAGTTTTGCTCGTTACTCAGTAATACGGCTTTTGAAATCATATAGGTCAGAGAAGTTAAAATTGGCTTGCCACAAACTCAACCATAACAAACAAAATTAGACTGGCCTTTTTTGTGATCTGATTTTGTCCTGGATGTGTGAGGGCTCCTGTTAAGGGTCAGCGGATCGTGGGCAAGTTTACTTACTCCCTGTGAGCGTCAGTTTCCTTCTCTGTAAAATGGGAATAACATCCCCTGACACAGAGCTGGTTGATTTATTGAAGGTCCTGCAGTGTGCAGGAGAACACACTAACCCAGCCAGCAGGAGCTTAAACTGTGAGGTCATCATTATCCCACACAACTCAGAGTCTGAAAACAGGGATGTTCATGGCAGGGCTGGCAGCTGCACAGTGTTATGGAGGACCCAGGCACACATAGCACCCTGCTCTTCTCTCCCCAGCGGGTCAGTGCTAGCTCCAGCTGGGGATGCAGTGTAGCTGTGGCCGCATCAGGCCACACATCCTCACACTGCATCATTCAGGGCAGCAAGAGAGAGCCCCTGATTGTGGCCCTTGTGAAGGAGGAGCAAGCCCCAGCAGGTCTCCTGTTACATCTTGTGAGCCAGGCGACAGCAGTCCATGGCAAGGGGAGTGGAATTGCACAGATCGTCTTGGACGTATGAACATTTGCACGTTGCCCCATGGGGCAGGCAAGGAGGCTTGCCTGAAAAGCCCCAGACACAAGCAGGGCGCTGTCAGCAAGGATGGGAGGGAAACGCTGTGGGGCGGGCAAGACAACGAGGTCTGCCGCAGAAATGCAGACCACCTGCCTCATTAGCATATTCCCTGTCCCTCCTCTCCCTGATTGTCTACTCATGTTCCCTATACTCCCTGATGGTTGCCCAGAGCACTAGCAGCTGAGATCAATGCAGAGGATGAACAAGGCTGCCCACTTTGGTGTCAAATGTGTCGGATTTCCAGGTGTTACAGCCATTTTGTTGAGTTTTATGCCTTTGTAAGCAAAGATCCTGCCATTTTATTTTACTCTGTGGCAACCCAGTTTTACTGTATCCCAGCCTGGTTGTTATAAACACTTTTTAAAAGTCAAGTGAGACAGGTTGCTATTTCACAGCCTAGAGACAAAGAAGTGACTAAGTAACTGCGTGTTTTTTCCAATGACGTCCACAACGGTCCATCCAGTGGTAGTGTCAGTTAAAGCCCTTACTTGCATTTCTCATTTAGCTTTAATAAGGTGACTTGTAGGTGGTAAGAATATACCAATTTGTTAGTGTAAGCATTAACATCTTCATATAATAAATAGATGTTCGTCTACTTAACTTTGTAGTGTTAATTTTAATACATGCTTTTATTTAGAATTAAGGGCGCAGTTATTTTTTATCAGTAATGCCACTTATTACAATGGAATCACTGAATCTTAACCAAAAAGCGCTGAAGAGTGGATAAGGATTCAGTTTAAACAAAGAACCAAGAAGTTTTTTTATATTAAACTTTGTTAATATGGCAACACATTAGGCAATAACTGTCTGACTCTAAAATAAATATACTCCTGAGGGCCTTAATTTTCAAGCTTACTCGCAGTCTTTATCCTTCATATTTCATTATTTCTATTCTGATAGAAACAACACCTTTTATTAAAATTAGATATTTTTATTTGTACAAATTTATGGGGTATATCTGAAATTTCGTTACATGTATATAATGTGTAGTGATTGAGTCAGAGTGTTCATCACCCGAGTACAATACATTTTTGTTAAGTAGAATCACCCTATTCTGCTATCCAACATTGAATGTATTCCATCTTACTGTATGTGTGTACCCTTTAACCCACTTCTCTTCATCGTCCCTCACCACTCACCCTTCCCAGTCTCTGGTATCTGTCTTTGCACTCTCTACCTCTATGTGATCACATTTCTAACTCCCACATATAATTCAGAACATACAATATTTGTGTTTTTGTGCATGATTTATTTCACTTAGGATAATGACCTCCAGTTTCATCCATGTTGCTGCAAATGAATGACATCATTCTTGTTAATAGCTGAATAGTATTCTCCTGTGTATTTACACGTTTTCTTTAGCCATTGACAGATGGAATGTAGAAATGTAAAACATGTTCTGCTTCTTCAGTTGTTCAAATCCTATTAATATTTCTCTCTTTTTTAAAGAATTTTTGATTAAAATGCTTTTATAATTTCTTGGAAATATCTATTATAAACATTCTCATTTGATTGAAGTTCCCAAAGTGTTGAAGGCCCTAGGGAGGTGCATGTTATATTTCATCCTCCAAATAAAAACATATATATGTCACTAGAAGTTTCACATAACATTAGAAGCTTGATACAACCACTCATAAGCTTGAAGCAATTTTTAAACAATTTTAGTATTATCCAAGAAGTGACATGTAAGATGACATTTGTGTCACCTGCCTAACATGTAAATGAGCCAGGCTATTTATCCTTTCCATAGACACATTCTTTTGAAAAGCAGCCATGAGTGCAGATGCACCTGTCATCAGGTAGGATAGAGTCTCCTGTAGCCATCAGCCTGGAGATTACCTTTGCCTCGCTTCTGTGCTATTCACCCATTTCCCTCCTGTTTCCTGTATTTCTCTGGTTTTGGTTTCCACCCTCATTTTGTGGAGTACATCCTCCTGAAGCTTCCTGAGAAAGAGTGAATGAAGATGTCTTGACATGAGTTCACTAGAAAACAGAACCCGGCCAGGCGCGGTGGCTCACACCTGTAATCCCAGCACTTTGGGAGACTGAGGTGGGCGGATCACGAGGTCAGGAGATTGAGACCATCCTGGCTAACACGGTGAAACCCCGTCTCTACTAAAAAAAAATACAAAAAATTAGCCAGGCGTGGTGGTGGGCACCTGTAGTCCCAGCTACTCGGGAGGCTGAAGCAGGAGAATGGCATGAACCCAGGAGGTGGAGGTTGCAGTGAGCCAAGATCGCGCCACTGCACTCCAGCGTGGGTGACAGAGCGAGACTCTGTCTCAAAAAAAAAAAAA
Organism: Homo sapiens; assembly: GCF_000001405.40. Taxonomy (NCBI): domain Eukaryota; kingdom Metazoa; phylum Chordata; class Mammalia; order Primates; family Hominidae; genus Homo; species Homo sapiens. Next base: position 31,535,681 of record NC_000015.10, on the reverse strand, counting down.
AAAAAAACAAAAACAGAACCCAAGGTAACTCCCAATGGCTATTTATTTCAGAGACACAGTCCCAGATGTGTTAGCAACTAGTTTTATTGAGAAATAAGGCTGCTCTGAATTTCTTATATGAGTCTTATGTTTTCATTTCTCTTGGGTAAATAAATATCCACGAGTGGAATTGCTGGGTCATATGGTAAAGGTAGGTAATAGTCCATTTCACACTGCCATAAAGATACTACCTCAGACTGGGTAATTTATAAACAAAAGGGGTTTAATTGACTCACAGTTCAGCATGACTGGGGAGGCTTCAGGAAACTTACAATCATGGCAGAAGGGGAAGGGGAAGTAGGCACCTTCTTCCCAAGGTGGCAGGAGAGAGACAGCACAGGGAAAACTGCCACTTTTAAAACCATCAGATCTCATGAGAACTCACTCACTATCATGAGAACAGCATGGGGGAAACCGCCTCCATGATCTAATCACCTACCACCAGGTCCTTCCCTTGACACCTGGGCATTACAATTCAAGATGAGATTTGGGTGAGGACACAGAGCCAAACCGATATCAGAGTATGTTGAACTGTATTAGAAATTGCCAAAAGTTTTTCTAAAATAATTGTGCCTTTTTACAATCCCAACAGCAAAGTATGAAAACTCCAGTTGCTCCATGGCCCCTTAGACATCTGTGCTAGTATGCAAAATACAATTGACTCTTGAACAGCACAGGTTTGAACTGCACAGGTCCACTTCCACTTATATGTGGATTTTTTTCAACCAAGTGAGGATCAAAATTACAGTATTCACAGGATGCAAAATCCATGTATATGGAGGGCCAACTTCTTAGACATACAGGTTCCACAGAGCCAACTATCAGACTTCAGTATACACAGATTTGGGTGTATGTCGGCGGGGTCCCAGAACCAATCCTGTGCAGATACTTGGGGATGACTGTACCATTGATTTGTGTATATTGATCTTGTATCCTGTGACCTTAAAAAATTGCTTATTAGTTATGGTTTTTTGTAGCTTCCTTATGATTTTCTGTGTGAACTATCATGTTCTCTGCTAAGAAGAATAGTGTTATCTCTTCCTTTCTGATTTGCGAATACAGATTTTATTTCTTTCTCTTGACTTATTTCACTGGCTAGGACTTCTCATACTATGTTGAATAGCAGTGGAGAGAGGGCGCATCTTTGTCTTTTTCCTAGTCTTAGAGGTAAAGCATTCAGTCTTTCACCATTAGGTATGATGTTAGCTGTATGTTTGTGTAGATTTTTTAAATCAAGTTATGGAGATCCCCCTATTCCTAGTTTTATGGGAATTTTTAATTATGAGTATTGAATTTTGTCAAATGCTTTTTCTGTATTCATGATATGATTATGTGATTTTTCTTCTGTAGCCCATTAATATGGTGAATTATATTGATTGATTTTCAAATATTGAGCCATCCTTGCATCCCTTGGTCATGGTATATAGTTCTTTGTATATGTTACTGTGTTCTACTTGTTTGTATTTTCTTATGAATTTTGCATCATATTCATGAGAGATGTTACTCTGCACTTTTCTCTCTTTGTACTTTTTTTGATTTTGGTATCAGGGTAATGTTGGCTATTTTCTGGAGGAGCTTGTGTAATATTGGTTGTTGTTAGGTATACCTCTTGGTATAACCTTTTTGGGAATTGTTCTAGTTATTACATTATATACACATACTTTATCAAAGTCTATTGGTGTTGACATTTTACTACTATTGGTGAAGCATATAAACCTTACCTGCCTTTTTGCTTCTTTATTCTCTACCATTTATAATAAAATTGTTTTAAATATTTATTCAACATACATTGAAACATATAAACAGATAGGCAATGTCATAATTTTTGCTTTAACCATCAGACATAATTTAGAAAACTCAAGAGAAGAAGGAAAGTCTTATTATGTTTGCCCATATTTTTGTTCTTTCCATGTTCTTCCTTCTTTATATGCCAAAATGCCTTCTTTTATCGTTTCCTTTCTGCCTAGAGAACTTCCTTTAGCCATTTCTTTAAGGTAGGCTTGCTAGGAACAAAATCTCCTTGCTTATTACTGAAGAATATTTTTGCTAGCTTTAAAATTCTGGGCTGACAGTTATTTTCTTTCAGCACTTAAAAAATATTATCTTGGCTGGGCGTGGTGGCTCATGCCTGTAATTCCAGCACTTTGAGAGGCCAACGCAGGCAGATCACTTGAGGTCAGGAGTTCGAGACTAGCCTGGCCAACATGGTAAAACTCTATCTCTACTAAAAATACCAAAAATTAGCCAAGTTTGGTGGTGCATGTCTGTGTCCCAGCTACTTAGGAGGTTGAGGCAGGAAAATCACTTGAACCTAAGAGGCAGAGGTTGCAGTGAGCTGAAATTGCACCACTGCACTCCAGCCTGGGTGACAGAGCAAGACTCTGTCTCAAAAAAAAAAAAAAAAAAAATTTATCCTGCTTCCTTCTGGCCTACACGGTAGCCAATGAGAAATGCACTGTCTTTAGAATTGTTTTTCCCATATAAGTAAGGCGTTGTTTCTCCTTGGCAGCTTTTAAGGTTTCTTTGTCTTTAGTTTTTAGAAGTTTGACTATGATGTATTTTGGCATGAGTTTCTATGGGTTTTTTTTCTGTTTAGGGTTTGCTCAGCTTCTTGAATCTGTATGTTTGTTTGTTCATTTGCAAAAATTGGGAACCTTTTAGTGATTTAGTGATTATTTCTTTGAACACTTTTTTTTTTTTTTTTTTTTTGATACGGAGTCTCGCTCTTTCACCCAGGCCTAAGTGCAGTGGCGCGATTTCGGCTCCCTACAAGCTCCACCTCCCAGGTTCACGCCATTCTCCTGCCTCAGCCCCCCGAGTAGCTGGGACTACAGGCGCCCGCCACCACGCCCAGCTAATTTTTTGTATTTTTGGTAGAGACGGGGTTTCACCTTTCACCGTGTTAGCCAGAATGGTCTCAATCTCCTGACCTCGTGATCCGCCCGCCTCAGCCTCCCAAAGTGCTGGGATTACAGGCGTGAGCCACCGCGCCTGGCCTCTTCGAATACTTTTTTAGCTCTACCTTATTTCGCCTCTTCTACGGACTCCAGACTTTTGTCGCAGTCCCACATGTTCCTGAGTTGTGTTCTGTATATGTGTTTTTTTTTTTAAGTTTAATTTTTCTCTGTTGTTCAAATTGGGTGATTTCTATGTTATACCTTTACATTACACTGATTCTTTTTCTCTTCTCTCCAATCTGCTTTTCAGCACATCCATTGAGTTTTTAAAATCAGAGTTGTATTTTTCAGTCCCTATTATATCTGCCCATATTTTTGTTCTTTATTTGGCTCTGTTTTGTATCTTCTATTGTTTTGGTAAGACTTTCTATTTCTTTACTACATTTTCTAATTTTTCATTTGTCTTAGGTATGTTTGTAATTGCTTGTTGAAGTATTCTTAGGATGACTACTTTTAAATCCCAGTCAGATAACTCTAACATCTGTCATCTCAGTTTTCATATCTTTTCTTGTTCTGTTTGAAATCTTCCTGGTTCTTGGTATAAGTGATTTTTTTTGTTTGTTTAAAAGGGTATATATTTGGTATTAAGTTATAGGACTCTGGGTCTTACTTAAATCTTGTGTTTTAGCGGACCTCCTGACACCACTCTGGTAGGTTCAGGGGGCCATTGCCTGACAACTGCCAGAGGGTAATTGAAGTACAGGTTCCCCCTCTGCCCCTGTTGATACCTGGGGAATGGGCTTGGTACTTCTTGGCAGGGGTACTTCCTAGCTGAGAGGAGGCAGAGATTCTCATTACAGCCAGATGAGTGTGAAAGTTCAGGCTCCCTGTGTGTCCTCTGAAGATAGAGGGCAAGGTGCTTATTACCACCCAGTGGGGTTGAGGTCTTGGCTTTGTACTCAGCCTTCTCTGACACTCCCCAGGTGATGGAGCAGGCAGTGATGAGCACCTTGTTACAGCCTGGTGAGGGTGGAAGTCTAGGCTTCTCACTAGAACTTTGCTGGCAGGGGTGGTGGTCGGGTTATAATTTTTTCTGTGATGTTTGGCTGGAATAGAAGAGGAAATGTCTAAGCAGCTACTGTTTTGCTAAGCTACCCCTTTCCTGGTATTCTGTCTAGAGAGAGCATGCTTTTTCTTTTCTATCTTTTTTTTTTTTTTTTTTTTTGTGGCCTACTCTCATTGGTTCGTTTTTACAGTATCTAATCTGGGATATGTGAGGCAAAAAGAAACTCCAGGGAACCCACCATTATGTCGTTCCTCAAGTCTCAAGATCCCTAGTTAGTCTGCCACTTCTTCTCCACTTTTCAGAGTCTTCTAATATGATTTTATACATAATTTCCAGGGCTTTTCGTTGTACTTAGTAAGAGAAATAGGAAAAAGTACATCTGATCTATCTTCCCTGAAGTGGAAGTCTCTAAATGTAAATATTCATGAAATTTAACATAACTACACCTATGTAACTATAATGGTTTTGATGAATCAAATGAAATATGAACTATACTTTCAAAGGTATGTGTGCCTCAAAAAAGCAAGACGGTGAAAGGAAAAAATAGCTTTCAGGAGGGAAAGCTGTGTTCAAGGAAATTACAAAGAAATGTTTTATCTTGTGTAAAATACGTTTCCAGATTCAAGGAGAGAAGGTGCTGGCCTTGAGTTTCTTAATGCTCATGCTAATTGATGGGAGGATTTGGCCACTTCTTGTCCTCAAAGGGAAAAGAAATCTATATTTTATTTGAGGAGAGAAGTAGCCATAATGTTCCCCCTTTCTATTGAAACCTGTAGAAAATCTGTCCCTGATGTTTATGCCTCCTTAGCAAACACCCCCAGTGGCCCCTTCCTTTTCTGGGATCCTGTTCTAAAGTGAGCTTCTTTTCCAGGTCGCCTGAACTGGTGGTCCACTGTGTGCACGAGCTGTAAACGGCTTCTTCCTCTGGCCACAACAGGGGATGGGAACTGCCTTTTACATGCTGCTTCACTGGGTAAGCTCCACAGCACAGACAGAGGGTGGCCAGGCTCCAGGCCTGCGTAAGGAAAGACATATGCTATTGAAGGAAACACTATTGAAGGAAAAGCATACACTAAATAGAGTCACCCATGTCACTGTCATGAGAAAGTCCCCAGGAGACAGAGCCAACAATCCTGGCCCTTCTTGTCAAGTAGCACTTGCTGGAGAGACAGAACACACATAAGAAAAGACCTGGCGTGATAGAAGGAGGCCTTGAGCATAGCTGCAGGGATGGGACTTAGAGACCGTCGCCTGGTACAAATAAAAAGGACTTCCTGGGAGGAGGTGGGATCTTTACTGAAACTTGAAGAACTTGAGAGACTAGAAGAGGGCATTGCAGGCAGGGAGACCCTGCAGATAAAGCATAAAGGCAGGAATGGACAGGGTGTTTGGAGGTAGGGGTGAACGAGGTAAAGCTGGAGTAGGAAGTTTTGGGAGCAGTGCATGAGGTTGGGTAAATGAGGGTCCACTATGTTGACAGCAGTCAACAGTTGGCATGGACTAATGGAAACAGACGTAGGTACTGCTCAGATAAATCACAGGGGAGTCAGCATAGTCAGAATATACCACAGAGAGATCAGCACACTTGTCCAATAGAGACGTGAGCTTCCCGATCACACAAAGCCACACAACACAGAAATATTTGGATAATTGAGGATCATCATCGACTTTCTGGAACCTCAGTTATCCCTTTAGGCCCAGCGTTATATGCACAAGGCTGAATCCATTTTGATAGGTGAGTCTGGGTTTGCACCAGGGACCATCAGGGCCGGTTGGTTCTTACCCGCCCTGGAGGATAGCGCCTCTCCAAAACACACAACCCTCACACAGGAATGCAGTCCTTGTTTGTCAAACTTGCATCCCCAACAAACATGGCTTTAACTGGGTGCCATGACCTACATCAAGGGCCAGCCCCCAGACCTCTCTCTCTTTGGACCTGCGGTGAGGCCTATTCAGCAAGAGGTAGGTGAGATAAGACTGTAAAGGGCTTCAAGGGAAATACATCAGGGTCTTGAAGGGTTCCAGAGGAGGATGGAGAACAAGGGAAGCATTCCCCAGGCTTGACCTGCAGTGAGGAAAGGCAAGGCAGCCACTTACCTGCTTCATCTCCATGTCATTGGAGCACATTCTGCTTGTTGGCATTGCAAAAGTACTCCACATTCACCATGGTGAGAAAATGAAAATCAGCGACCCCCACCCAGCGGCGGCCACTCTTAACAGTTTGGTATTGTCATCATCTTCCGGTCTTTTGTCTGTTCTTCAGGTGAAATGATGATCTTGCTGTGTTCACAGTCTTGAATCCAACATTTTCCCTTACAATCTGAGAATTTTCCCTGCTGTTATCCTTCAAACACATGATTTTAAGTAGTTGGGTCTTATTTTATCATAGTGGATAACATTAACTATTCCCCTGTTATTGAGCATATTTTGCCTTGTTCTTTCTAAAACCTGGAGAAAGAATCTAAAAGAATAAATCTCTCATCTGTGTCAAACAGCAGCCTCATTGTGAAGTCTGGGGCATGGAAATGTTTTTGTCCCTCAGCAACTGCAGCATGTAGAGTCATTGTCCCCATCAGCACAACAGCGGGGCAAGGCCACACCCCACAGCATTTTCCCTGTGAGCACAGTGGGCCTCCCAGGCCTGCCTGGGAAGAGAGAGCCTCCCTCAGGCTGGTCATTTCCATCTGCAAGAGAGCCTGGGCCATGACTGACCAGGGCTGTGAGACCCCCCTCCAAGAATCCCCTGTACAACAATAAGCCCAGAGCTCATAGCAATCTGTCCTCTTATCCCAGCACTTTGTTTCATTTTGTGCCCATATAGCTAAACTCCGCAGGACTGGGGCTGCCCAAAGCTGCCACATGACATTCACCAGCAGTCCTTGTGGAACCCCTGTTGGCCTGGCCTGACGTTGAGCTAGGATTGTGGGGCACATATAGAAATGACAGTCATCTTGGAGTCAGGCCTGTAGGCAGATATATGCAGGACAAGGAGGCCATCTCTGCAAGAGAGACCTGCCCAAGGAGCTGTGGGAGAGTCCCAGAAGGCAGCTGAAAGAGGTCTGAGGATGAGCGAGGAGTGACAGTGGTCATTCCCCCTCCCCTGCCATCCTATAGAAAAAGGCGAAGCCTTGCTGGCTAGAAGCCTGTGGCAGGCCTGGGCTATTGCATATCCAAAGATGCCCAGCCAGTTGAGCCTTTGAAAACATCAGTTCACATTACTCTCCTTCTGTAGACTCTCCAGAGGCTCACAGTTCCCTCGAGAGCCCCCTTTTCACTCTCCCTCTCTCCTCGATCCCACTTTAGCCACCTTTCCCTCTTGCCTTTTCTCAAGTACTGCCCCCTCTGGGTCTGTCCCTGGCCTTTCCCTGTGCTGGGACAGCAACTTGGCTCCTTCCTCCACCCATTTGAGCCTTTGCTCCTATGTCTCCATTCACGCCACAGCAGATCTGCCTGCCTCACCTCTCCTCGTGGGGCTGCCACCCTCAACATCGTACACTCTGTGCCAGCCTCGTGGCTATCCTCACTTCCCACTTCCCCACAACATGTGCTCCATGAGATTTTAGGAACTTCATGTGTCCCGGCCACTGCCACATATATTCCCAGCACCTAGAATGAGTGAGTGGGTGCGTGGGTGGGTGGATGGCTGGATGGACGGATGGATGGATGGATTCCCCTGTGTTTTCCCTTGTAGCCAGAGCTGCCCTTCTCTTGAGCACTTCTCCCATGAGTTGGGGTTCTTGATCACATCTAAGCTGCCCAGAGCACATTCTCAGAGATGGCTGGTTTCTCTCTATATCCTCTCAGCACCTGGCACAGGGTGAGACCCTCTCACTAGGAAGCAGGCGCTCTCTCCTGGGCCAGGTGTGTGCAGTGGTGTCACTGACGCTCTGCTTCTCAGGAAGCTGAGATGCCTCAGGGCTGGAGAGGAGGGAAATGGCAGACCCTGGAGAAGCCAGGATGCTAATGGCCTCCCTCACCTGGAGCCCTCCATAAGGACACTGGACAGCCTGTCCCTGTCCCCTAGTCAGTCCCCCACCCAAATGTAAGACTTGAATAATGACCATTAGGTCCTCAAAGCAAACCAGCAACATTGAGAATGGGTTGCCAAGGGCACCAGAGAGGAAAAGCACTTGATTTTCACCCACTATTGTTTTGCTAAGAACAGGATGTGCTGCTTCATTCACCTAGTTGCCTTAATGGGAAGCCTCAGGAAGAAGGCTGGAGGGGAATTAACAGAACCGCTGAGTAAGGAGGCTGTTCTGCGTGCAGACAGGAGGCTCTCCCAGTGGGTCGTGGTAGTTTGCATCACCTCTGGCTTGTCTTTTCTCATGTCCTTTCTCTCCTCTGTTCTCCCTGGCCTCCTGGCTCCAGGAATGTGGGGGTTTCACGACCGGGACCTGGTGTTACGGAAAGCTCTCTATACCATGATGAGGACGGGAGCTGAGAGGGAAGCCCTGAAGCGGAGGTGGAGGTGGCAGCAGACGCAGCAGAATAAGGAGGTTGGTATCCACTGGCATGGCCAGAGCCCGGGACCCAGGCCAGATGCAGCCTCGGGCCGTGGTCGAGTCCACAGCATGGCCTCCAGGCCCCAGACAGTCTTATGAGGGGAAGGCAGAAACAGCCCCTGGGATCAGGAAAGTCTCCTGCTTTTAAGCCCACAGAGGAGGAGCCTGTTAAAATAGCAGAGTCCCGGCAGACAGCAACTATGCGTCCACTTGTGCTTCCTTAAGGCATAATCATGAAAGCTGCCTACCTTCATTCCCAAAAGCATCCTGGCTTGGATGATGAATTATATATATGACTGCCTGCTGTCAGGTGCAGCCCATGGCCCCAGCCCCTGTGTGTGAGCTCAGTCCAAAGGGATTCCCGATTGTCCCCAACCATGGTAAACATGAGGACCTTGCTCTCCTAGAAGAATCTGAACGGCCAGCCCCAGTTAGGTGCAGGCACAGGTTAATGCTCGGTCATCCCCAGCCCCTGAGAATGACCCTTGTTGGTGGGCAGATTCCCAGCAGCTCTGGAATTAGAGCTTGGGGCTTCTGAAAATATATTGTGCATAGCAAAGGTGGCCAAGAGGGTGCAGTTGGTATAGTTGGTAGCTACCTACAGATGTGCCTGGCCTGGGTCCCGGTGAGGCTGGTCCAGATTGGGAGGGTGAGGAGAGGAGGGCAGCGCAGCTGTGGCCCACCCCCCTTCTGAGCCGGCTCCCCTCTGCCAGTCAGGGCTGGTGTACACAGAGGAGGAGTGGGAGCGGGAGTGGACGGAGCTGCTGAAGCTGGCCTCCAGCGAGCCGCGCACACACTTCAGCAAGAATGGCGGCACGGGCGGGGGGTAAGTGCTGCCCCTGCTCTCCCCAGAAGTCACCTCCAGCTCCAGGCCACCCAGGGCTACACACAGCATGGGGGGATGGCACGGGGGGGAATGTGGGACTCTTGTGCTGTGGAAGACAGAAAGATTCCAGCTTTCCAGCATTAGCTTCAAGACAAGGACGCACGGGAGGACCGTGGGTGATGGCTGGCCCCGCCAGGTGCTAGTGGAAGGGTATGCAGCCCCCACATGCACTATGCAGGCAGAGGTGAGCTCACATGAGCTGCCTCCAGGCCACTTTCCTTGAACTTTATTGTGCACAACAGTTGGGGTGTGCGCCTTCAGGGCACAGCAGGCCTCTGGAGGTCACACGTGATGGTGAGCATTCCCACACATTGCCATCGCACGAACCTGGCTCTGAAGTTTGGGTTTTCTCCCCCAACTAATTAATTTGTGGCTTCAAGAAGTTGCCCTGAAAGCAGAAGCTCATTAAGCTAGCCTGGTGTTTCCCAGATGGGCTCCATGGATATTATATGTGTTCCCAGCAAAAAGACTTCACATCTGTGCATGTTTAGGAATAGCTTGTTCCTACAGAAACACCTTGGATGTTCTAGTATGGAATGAAGACCGTGGCCAGACCAGTGGGGCAGCCATAGAGCCTTGGCCGCGGCTTATTCTTCAGTTCATATTCTCTGGAACCTGAAAGCAAAGGTGTTGCTCCTAGAGAAGGTCTCAGCCAAACATGAGAAAGTGTGAGCAGTAACACCAGGGAGACCCATGGAAGGAGGATTGCATGCAGCTCCAGGCTGCCCTCAGGCTCATGGGCCCTGCAGCGGGCAACTGGGTCCTCACCCACCCACCAAGGCAGGGCCTAGTGCCTCATGGGCCAGCTCTCCCTGGAGGCCCCGGCTGGAAAAGAGGCTCCCACAGAGCTGCAGCTGCAGCAGTGGCGTCCAAGACCATGTTTGAAGATGAAATCATTAGAAACCCACATACGCTGGCACACCCTTCCTCCAGGGCTGTCTTGTCACTGTGTTTTAAGGCTATGTTATGTCCATACCAACAGTCTATCTTGGCAGGACATTTGAGGACAAGCATTCTGAAGACTCAGTCGACTGTGGAAAACTGCTCTCTTCCTCTGCACGCCTCCCGAGTCCTGCCTGTGATGGGTCTTAAGTGTTCCTCGACATCGTTTTCACAGTTGCCTCTCTCCCTCCTGCCACAGGGAGGACGCCTGATAGGTGCTGGCAGACTGGATCCAGGCCAGGTGTCTCTGCCAGGGACAGGGAGGAGTGGGGAAAGACAGCAGCAATGATGACTTTGATAGTGGGTGAAAATCAATCACAGGTGACCATCACATACACATCTCCTGAGTACCCCCATCCAGGAGGAGCTTCGCCCAAGGTCTCATGGCTAGTCAGCCCATCTGACTCCTAAGGCCACAGTCTGGTACCCTGCTGCCTGCTCCCTGGGGCCCGAGGGATTCAGATGCTAATGGGGACACAGGGGCCACTTGGTGTCTGTCCCTATCTCCCACAGAGTCTGAGTGATCAACCTTAATCTAACAAAAGGATTAGGTCCCTTTAGGAATATCCAAAATGGCCCAGACATTGTCCCATTTATGTAGGATAGCCTGGTCCCCTGCCCCTGGGAGCCATAGTTCTGGCTGCCACATCACAAAAGAGAAGGAAGAACCCGGGGAATGGCCAGAGAGGGGAAACTAAACAACCAAGGGTGGATGGGAGTGACCCCATCAGGAAAGAATGGAGAGATGAGGCAGGAAGGTATGGGTGGTGTTGGGGGAACGGAAGGAGGGAGGCGAGCACAGGTGGGGTGGGGTGGGGTCGGGGAGACCATAAGAGGGCCCTGTGCTAGGCACTCTCTCCCCTCCTTTCAAACTCTGCCTCACAAGCCTCCAGTACCCCTTCCACAGATTCAAAAACTGAGCCTCAATGGGATTAGGTAACTGTTCCAAGACCCCACAAAAATGATAAATGGAAGGAGCCAAAAAGTCAAAATTTGGTCTGATCATTAAGTCTCCTCTTTTGACCAGGCTCTACAGCCTAACAAAATCCCTCAAATACAGCAGTCTGTAGAAAGGACACAGCCACCTGGTCCCCACAGATGCCACTGATGCTCAGGTCAGAATCCTGTGCCAGTGATGCAGGAGGCATTTCTAGGGTTTCAGCAACAGGTGTTTCCAGTGGAGAAAGAAAAAGGGAAAAAAAAAAACAAAAAACTCAGAAGAGGACAGAGCATATGCAATAGGAATCTACCAAACAGAGTTGCTTCTGTAGCCAGATGCCTCCTTGGGTTACCTGGAACCTTTGCATGGCCAGTCAAGGAGGGAGGCCTTTGGAACCAGGCATAAAACATTTTCCTGGGAATGGGGAGTTTTGGCTGAGTCCCATGGACTGGGGTAACGGACAGAGAGCGCCTCAGCAAGGCACCCGTGCAGCTGTGCAGGACTCGCCAACAGGGTGCTCCAGAGCTCACCTGCTCCAAGAATTCACTTGGGGTTCAGAGTCCACAAGAGAGGCCTTTGTGCACAAGCACAGTTGCTCTGCCTTTTGCCTGTGTCTTCTCTCCCCATGTTGAGCTGAGAGGTGTAGGGCATCATCTCTGGGGCTTGAGGGCTGCAGGGTTGAGTTTCTGACACCTGACTGAAGCACCTGAAGGCAGAAACTGGCGAGCTCAGGGTTCACAGGGCTGTGGTGGGCTGTACAGGCCAGGACATGGGGCCGTAGGGGATGTAAGGCCAGGATGCTGCGAGCTGCCCGAGGTCCAGGCATGGATTCAGGGAGGAGGCCCCAAGCGGGCTGGCTTCAGGACTCATCTATGGTGGGGACCACACAGAAGACCAGCCCCTGAGGCCAGGGCTGAGGGTGGACACGAGTAGTCAGTGAGAGGAGCCACCACTGCAGCCCAGGGACCTAAGGACACAGCCCCTCAACTGGCAGAGAGCTCTGAAGACCCAAAAAAAGCACTTCCTCAGACAGCAGGTCAGCACTGGGACCTCCAGCGAGCCCAGCGGGCCCTGAAGGAAGACAGCAAGAAAGACTTTGCCACCCTCCTGCCCCTCCTCCCTGCCTGTGCCGGCCCCACAGGGGACACAGACAGCAGCCAGAGAAGGGGAGGAGGCAAAAGGTGAAACAGAGAAGCCAGCTGGAAGCTAACCCAGTCTTTCAGGAGGCTCAAGCTTGGGGCTGATAGCCCCCTGCACAGGAAAGTAACCAGAAGAACCACACAAAATTTCCAGGGTGCCACCCGGGAATAGGAAAGAGCAAGTCAAGGGAGAGTTTGCAGGCATGATGGCGAGAAGAACTAAGGTGGCTTTATTCATCCCAGCCTGGGTTTCCCAGAACCTGTTCCCCACGGATGAGGGTAAAGGGTGCAGTGCGGGCCCTGCATCCTGCTCTGGGAGCCCCTGGTATGGAGACAGATGGGGCAGCCCCTGTACTATTGGTCCTTGACACAGATGATGGCCTGGAGTCATTTTAAACTTGTTACTTTCCCAGAAAGCAACTATGTCACGTATCTGAAGAGGTCAGCAGGGACCAGAGACCAGGTGTGGGTGTGAGCTAGACCTGCTTCCTCTCACTGTGCCTCCCAGGAGGACTCACAGTGGCCAGGCCCCGGCCACGTGGAAGAACCAGGCCTTCCCTAGGGCTTGGGGAGGGATTAGTGAGGTCAGATGGGAATGTGAACAGTGTCATCTACTGAGCCCATGTTATGTGTCAGGCAGGCCTATGAGCTGTCATTATCATCACCAATCACAGAGAAGGAGGCTGAGATTCAGAGAATTAGATAATGTATTAGGGTTCTCCAGAGAAACAGAACCAATAAAAGACATACATATAAAGAGATCTAATGTAGGTATTGGCTCACGTGATTATGGTGTCTGAGAATTCCCACGATCTGGCATGTGCCAGCTGGAGACCCAGGAAAGCCAGTGGTGTAACACGAAGGCCCAAGAGCTGGAGAACTGATGGTGTGGATCCAGTCTGAATCTGAAGGCCTGAGAACCAGGAGTGCTGAGGGCAGAAAGTCCATGTCCCAGCTCAAACAGGTTTGGTTATTCCGCCCTCCGCCACTGTTTTGTTCCCATCATGAATAGATCAGATGAGCCCCACCCATATTGGTGAAAGCCCTCTGCTTTCTGCTCTCCAGCAATTCAAATGCTAATCTCACCCAAAATGCCCTCACAGACACATGCAGAAATAACGTTTAACCAGCTATCTAACCATCACAGGTTAGCTTCCAATGTCCCACAGCCTGAAAGACACAAAGCCAGAACCTGAACTTAGAACTGACCAAAGAAACCTAAGCCCACACTCTTGACAAATGCAGACCAGGCATGAGGAGTAGGAATCAACAACTTATCTTGACTATGGTGAAAATAATCATTTTTGTTCTTTAAACTTTTAAAAGAACTACTTATTTGTTTTCTGTTTGATGAGAAGGGCTAAGTGGAAGCTGAGAGGCCAGTCCGACAGACAAAGAGGAGAAGAGAGCAGAGCAAGAGGGACCGTTTGGGGGACCCTCTGGCAGCCCCCGGGGGCATCTTCTGTCTAGGTCCTTACTTTTCTCACATGCTAACCTCTCTGCTTTCTCTTTGTAGTTGAGTTTCTGAAATTTCACTGACAATGTGTTTGCTGCATTTCTTTTTATTAGCTTTTTTCGGAAGTAGCTAGAATCCCAAGTGATTTCCTAGCACACAGTCTGAGAGTTGTCAATTTCAGTCAGTCTTTTGAGGAAAAGCAAGAGGCATTTTATTCCTGGGAGATGCCCACACCACAGCCTGGTGCTCCCGGGCCATGGGCTGGCCTTGTGAAGGAAAGGAGGCATTCTTATGTGTATTCCTGAAGGTGCCATGACTTCCACCAGCAGACCAAGCAGAAAGAGCATCTGCTAACGTAAGGTGTCCTCACTTTGCAGATGTGGGACCCGGCTCAAATTTTTAAAGACATTTCTAATTGAAAATAAGACCAAAGTTGACTATCTAGGGATGGTTCTCAAGTAGGAGCCTTCTCTGATCTTCCTGTCTAAAGAATCCACCTTTTATCACTCTACTGAGAGTTTTTTATTATTTTATTATTTATTTAAATATGTTTAGGGGATACAAGTGCAGGTTTCTTACATGCAAATATTGCATTGTGGTAAAGTCTGGGATTTTAGCGTACCCATTACCCAAGTAGTGAACATTGTAATTTTTCAGTCCTCACCCCCGCGAACCCTCCGGCCTGTCATAGCTTCCAGTGTCTGTTATTCCATTCTGCCTGTCCATATGTACGCGTTGTTTAGCCCCCAGCTATAAGTGAGAACATGCAGTATTTGACTTTCTGTTTCTGAGTTATATCACTGAGGATAATCGCTTCCATATCCATCCATGTTGCTGCAAAAGACAGGATTCCATTCTTTTTTATGGCTGAGTCATATTCCATGGTATATATATACATTTTCTTTATCTAATCCTACGTTGATGGACACTTAGGTGGTTTCTATCTTTTTGCCATTGTGAATAGTGTTAGAGTAAACATGCAGGTATCTTTTTGATAGAATGATTCATTTCCCTTTGGGTATATACCTAGTAGTGGGATTGCTGGATTGAGTGGTAGTTCTATTTTTAGTTCTTTGAGAAATCTCCACACTGTTTTCCATAAAGGTTGTATGAATTTACATTCCTACCAACAGCATGTGTTCCCTTTTCATTATATCCTCACCAACATCTATTTTTGTTTTTGTTACATTTGCTTTTGAAGACTTGGTCATAAATTATTTGCATAGGCCAATGTCCAAAAGAGTTTTACATAGGTTTCCTTGTAGAATGTTTATAGTTTCAGGTCTTACATTTAGGTCTTTAATCCATTTTGAGTTAATTTTTATATATGGTGAGAAGTGTGGGTCCAATCTCATTCTTCTGCATATCGCTATGCAATTTTCCCAACACTAAATAGTGAATGACGCAAAATGAATAGTGTCATTTCCCCAGTGTATATTTTTGTTGGTGTTGTTGAAGATCAGTTGGTTATAAGTATGTGGCTTCATTTATAGGTTATGTATTCTGTTCCATTGATCTATGTGTCTGTTTTTGTACCAATACCATACTGTTTTGTTTACTATAACCTTGTAGTACAATTTGAAATTAGATGATGTTATCCTTCAGCTTTGTTCTTTTTGCTTAGGATTCCGTTGGCTAGACAGGCTCCTTTTTAGTTCCATATGAAATTTATTGTTTTTTATAATCCTGTGAAAAATGACATTGGTAACTTGATAGGGATTGTATTGAATCTGTAGATTACTGTAGCAATATAGTCATTTTAATGATGTTGATTCTTGGAATCCATGAGCATGGGATGTTTTTCCATTCATTTGTGTCATTGACAATTTTTTTCTTCAGCATTTTGTAGTCCTCCTTATAGAGATCTTTCACATCCCTGGTTAAATATATTCCTCGATATTTTTGTAGCTAATTTAAATGGGATTGCCTTCTTGATTTAGTCCTCAGCTAGATTGTTACTGGTATATAGAAATGCTACTGCTTTCATTATGTTAATGTTGTATCCTGAAACTTTACTAAATTTGTGTATCAAATATAACAGGTTTTTGGTAGAGTCTTTATGGTTTTCTAATTATAAAATCATATCACTAGCAAACAGGGATGATCTGACTCCTTCTTTTCCAATTTGGATGCCTTTTGTTTTTTTCTCTTGCCTGACTGCGCTGTGGGTACTTCCAGTACTATGTTGAATAACAGTGGTAAAAGTGGGCATCCTCATCTTGTTCCAGTCCTTAGAGGAAAAGCTTTCAACTTTTCCCCATTAAGTATGCTGTTAGCTGTGGGTTTGTCATAGAAGACCTTTATTATGTTGAGGTATGTTCTTTCTATGCCTAGTTTGTTGAGGATTTTCATCATGAAGTGATGCTGAATTGTATTGAATGCAGAAATCCTTGACAAAATACTAGCAAATCAAATCTAACAGGACATCGAAAAGATAATACACCATAATCAGGTGGGATTTATCCCAGGAATGCAAGGATGATTCAACATACACAAATCAATGAATGTGATATATCACGTAAACAGAATTAAGAACAAAAACCATATGATCATCTTGATAGATGCAGAAAAATAACTGATAATTTCTTATTTGATCATGTGTTAGTATCTCTCCCTACCTAAACCTGCATTCATGGGCACACATGGGCAAGTGTGAGTGCGCGTGCGTGCACACACACACACACACACACACAGCACAGTGCTAGACCTGTAGTGGATAATCAGTAACTATTTGTCACATGACTGACCTCAGCTTATTGATCCTAAGCAATAAGTCTTGTTCCTCAAGCCACACTGGCCACTGCTAGAAGGTCTTTCAGAGCCTAAGATCCATTCAGTCCCTTCGAAGCACTGGGAGGCCCCCGTCCTTCCATCTCAGCTTCCCAGGCCATAGCTCTTAGCAGAGTCCCTGCTAGCCTGTACTGTGCCTTTGGAGAGTCTTTTGTAAAAGGTGCCTGTCTGGGCAGGCACAGTCCTTGACCAGGGGCAAAGGCCCACAGCAGGACATAGGCTGGGTTCAGCCCCTTGAGCCTCCTCAGACTGGCTCTGCTGTGCAGGGCCCTACCTGAGAGAGGGGTTGAGGCACACCTCTCAGAAATGCTGCCCATGAGATCTGTGCATGAGGAGAACCTTGCACCTGTGAAAAGGAGTAAGGACCATCCCCACCTACTGTGCTGTGGGTGTCTCAGGATGCATCAGGAGGAGGAAAAGGCAGTGGTTGGACTAGTGAGTATAAACATGCTACCTAGAGGTGGGAGGATGTGTGCATACAGTTTATGCGCATTTACTCACATTCATACGTGTGTGCACACAGATGTGCACTTACTTTTTTTTTTTAATCAGATGGAGTCTCGCTCTGTCACCCAGGCTAGAATGCAGTGGTGCGATCTCGGCTCACTGCAACCTCCACCTCCTGGGTTCAAGCGATGATCCTGCCTCAGCCTCCCGAGTAGCTGGGACTACAGGCACAAGCCACCAATGCCTGGCTAATTTTTGTATTTTTAGTAGAGACAGGGTTTCACCATGTTGGCCAGGATGGTCTCGATCTCCTGACCTCATGATCCACCCGCCTCGGCCTCCCAAAGTGCTGGGATTACAGGTGTGAACCACCACACCTGGCCTTGCACTTACTTTTTTTATGGAAGGGTACACCAAAAACCAACACCTATGTCCCCATAGGTGAGGTGACTACAATTTATCATCCAAACTGGTTCATTTGGGGGAAGGAAAGTGGGCACTAACCACTTGGGATGTGTGAACAGGACTTTCCCAAGCAAAACAGGAGGTGTGGACACCCCATCTGGAGGAGGGGATATGGGGAGGGACCTGGGAGGCTTCATCCAGGCTCTCCGTCTGGGTGGCTGGGTGACTGCCCTTTAACAAGACCTGCCGGCCCCAGACTGGCTTCCTTATCTATGACACGCGCTCTTGCCGAGGATGGTCTCCAAGGATGGTGGCTACAGCTTAAGCCAGGGTGCCCCCAAACTGTTCCCTGGGGCCTGAGATACCATCTGGACCTTGCTCCATGACCTTTGCTTCTTGGTCCTGCCAGGAGGGACTCCTCAGCCTCTGCCCACCCCCATCTTTCTCAGGGTGTTTTCATTGGGTAGACGGTATATCCCTAACCCTGGAAATTCTCCCTCCTCAAGTACCCACTGGAGAAGCAGATGTAGGTGCCCTGGAGAACTCAGTGTGTGGGGCCCAAAGCATGTTAGGAAGTTCTCAGGACATGCACATCTTGGAGGATGAAGTCATTATATTGCATGTCAGTCTTCTTTGCAGTAAGCACTGATTTTTAAGCATTTTAGGAATTGTTATGTCTTTGCCCAGTGGCCAGATTCTCCCCACAATCCCAGATCTCGCATTTGCTCAGCAAACTCACAAGAAGAAGACATGAAGTCTCAGGGCTAAAAGTGGGAGTGAATTTTCAGAATTGGTTTTTCTGAAACTGATTTCTACCAATGGGCTCTGGTCACAGAGTGCAGGTCACAGTTCCAAACTCTCGTCCCAGATAAGATCTTGTTTGCCCTTCATTTTAGAGCCCCCAGCTAAATTGGAGTTCCAGTACCAGAGCAGCTAGAAAACCTGCAATAAGGAGAAATGAAAAGGGACCTGGACATAGGCGTTTACAGTGTGCCTTTCATGGGATACTTCTCTTACCTGGCAGGTGTCCTAATGCCTGGTTGCCTAACCCATGACCCATGTCCCTCACATGGGAAGCTTGTTTGTACTGGCAGATGGCTTTGTGGCTCCTGTCTGGCCTGTGTCTAGTTTTTTCTTACCTGACCATCGCTCTGTGGCTGGGACCAGCCTTGTGTTCTCCTTGGCGTCTGGTGAAAACATGGCCTGGGGTAGCCTCTGCTTCTTCCAAAGGAAGGTGCAAATTCAATCCACCGCCACAATGGGAAGCAAGTTCAAAGGTTTTTACTTATAGATCCTGGGCATGGAGGCCATCATGAGTTGGGAGGGCAGTGCTCCATCCCAGGGTCACATTGAGGCAGGGATTAAGATTCAGGCAGAGAGATCCAACTAGAAATATATATAGGGGAATAGGATGTGGGTCACTTTAAGTTCATGGGCAAATGTCTGAATGGTCCATTTAAAGGAAGTGGTGGGAAAGTGGAAAGCCCAGTCTGCTAGGCAGAGAGTCGCCTCTAAGTTCTTATCTCTGGCCACCAGCTTGGGTCTTTGGGTGTGGTGTTCTACTTCTAATGCCCAGGCAGCAACCTCTGCTGTTTTGTTTCTGTTACACCCTCTACACCCTCAGGTGCTCTCTGGCTGCCTTCAACACTGAGGCTCCTGGTATAGAACCAGGACCCTCCCTAAGTCTTGGACAAGGAGCCAGAAGCAAGTAGGGAACATCATTATGATTTTCAGGCTGCCCCCCGCTGGAGCTGGGATCCTCTCCGCCACCCCCTGGGTCACTGAGCAGGTTTCAGTTGCTCACATGGCTCCCATGCTCAACACCAAAACTGGAATGGAGAAAGGCTGCTCTGCTCCAGCTGTCCTCCATCACCTCTCAACTGGGCCCGCCATCCTATCATTGCTGCTGAAATAAAATGGCCCTGCCTTAAGTTAGCCATGAAAAGAATGCCATGCCAGTACAATGGTGCCTAATACTTAACCTTTGCACCGTTGTTACCTTGGAGGCCCTCTTGCATAGCTACTCAAATACCAGAGTGTTCTGCCAGGAGGCTCCATGCTGGGCATGGTCCAACTCCATGCCTTTGCCCTAGCACAGAACTTGAAGGACGGGTAGATGAATGGACAGACAAGTAGGTGCTTGGGCAGATAGATGGTTGAATGGAAGAATTGAAGGATGAGTACATGGATGGATGCGTGCGTAGGTGGGTGGGTGGATGGATGGATGGATGGATGGATAGAGGTACATGTGGGTGGATGGACAGGTGGATGGGTGGGTGGGTGGACAGGTGTATGGGTGGGTGGATGGCATGGATGGATGAATGGATGGACAGATGGATGGATGGATGGATAGATGGACATGTGGGTGGATGGACAGGTGGATGGGTGGTTGGGTGGACAGTTGTGTGGGTGGGTGGGTGGATGGCATGAATGGATGGACAGATGGATGCACAGACAGCAGATGGATGGATGGATGGATGGACAAGTGGATGGGTGGATCAATAGATGGATGGATGAAGAGAGAGAGGGAGGGAAGGAAGAGAGATGGGTGGGTGGGTGGGTAGATGGATAGATGGATGAATGGATGGATAGATAGATAGGAAGAAGGATGGATAGGTTGGTAGATGTTACATGAAGGCAGAGTTCTCTGAGGGCCTCTGCAGTGCCTTTCACAGCACCAGTGTATAGTAAGTGCTCAATGAATATTTATTGGTTTTTTGGTTGGAAATATGATGGCCCTGCTTTAAGTTTTGCATGAGGAGAATGCTGTGCCAGTACAAAGGTGCCCAATACTGAGCCTTCACGCTGTTGTTACCATGGGGGTCCTCCTGTGTAGCTGCTCAGATCCCAGAGTGTTCTGCCAGGAAGTGAAGATGGGACTCAGAACCCAGGCCTGAGAGGGCTACCATTCACCTTGCTCTGCCCGCTTCTCAGTATTAGTACCTGACTCAAGAGCAGCTCCTCTCTTTCCAGCACTGCCCCCTCCATTCCTTGAATTAGGGAAGGAACAGTGCTCCACATTTCTAGCTGGGGTATTTCTCTCTCCAAGTATGCAGGTTTTAACTCCATATTCTCTCCCCCTGTGCTGTTCATTATGTTGTTCAACCATTCACTCGCCGGCACTCAACGCATACTAGGTGACAGGGACAAACAAGCAACTTCCAAAAGCACTTGACCCCCCAGGCACTGCAGCTTGGCTTTCAGGTGTGGCTGGGCAGGCTAATCACCTGCAGTGTTTCAAAATGCACACCCAGGAGCACTGCATTTAGACCTGGCATAAAATATATGTGTGTGTATGTGTGAATATGTATTCATGTCAATACATATTTAAAACATTCCTCTTCTACTTCCCTTTCCTTCCTTGCTGAAAAAGTAAGTTCTAAAGCCATTAGGTGGGGCAAAGCAAGGTGGCATCTGGAGTGGGTGGGGGATGGGAGGACACCAGGGGCCAGAGCCAGATGTCAGCCACACAGGTGAAGAGGGCCACCTCACGGATGGGGAGCAGAGGTGGGAGATGGCTGACATATGGGAAGACTGATCAAATAAGGAAATGCTTTAGAATGAATACGAACAAGTTTTCTGAAAGTAAGTGAAGAAAGTTGCAAATAGAATTAACTTTGTGGGGTTGGATTGGAATTGGAGGTATCAGTGAACTCAAGGTTTTCTATAAATATTGAGAGGGAGAGAAAGATGAAAATAAACATGGAGAGGGAGAGAAAGATGAAAATAAACATGCAAAAATATGTATCCATGTGTGAGTGTGAACTTGAACCATCTTTTTGCACCAGGAAGCAAGAAAGTGCTCTAAGAAATGATGGGAGCTGGGCACGGTGGCTCACACCTGTAATCCCAGCACTTTGGGAGGCTGAGACAGAAGGATGACTTGTGCCCAGAAGTTCGAGACCAGCCTTGGCAACATAGCGAGACCCCGTCTCTACAAAAATGAAAAAAGTTTTCTGGGCATAATGGTGGCCTGTGGTCCCAGCTACTTGGGAGGTCAGAATGGGAGGCTCACTTGACCCCAGGAGTTCGAGGCTGCAGTGAGCTATGATCTCACCACTGCACTCCAGCCTGGGCAACACAGTAAGACCCTGTCTCAAAAAAAAAAAAAAGAAAGAAAGAAAGAAAGAAAAGAAAAAAAGAAATGATGAGGATGTCAAAAGGACACAGATCCAGCTTTAGAGAAGCCACACTGACCACATCAAGGAGTATCTGAGCATCCACATAATCACACTAATGGATTATAACCCACTGAATAAAATGGAAAACCAGAAATCCATAGTGATACCAATAAACCTATAAAGATTTGGTGAGGAATGGAGTATTTGCATAGGTTCAAGTTCCTCTCCACAAAATGCTTGTTAATTTCAAACGAAAAATTAGTAGTCTGCAGGGGCAAGGCCTGGAAGATGACCTTAAGGAGTGGTCCAGGTCAACCTCACCAGTGATGGGACAACCTCACCAGTGATGGGACAATCTGCAGTTCACACAACCTGATAAGATGTCACAAGAAGGACTCAGCTTGACCCAATCCAATCTAACTGTGAGGAAACAGAGAAACCCTTATGAAGGACATTCTACAAAATACCCAACCTGTAATCTTCAAAAATGTCAAGGTCATGGAAGTCAAGGATATCCTGAGAAATGTTCCAGGTGAAGGAGACTAAGGAGACGCCACCGCTGAATGCAGCACCTGATCCTGAGCAGGAACCTTTGTTCTAAAAGGCATTATTGGGACAGCTGGCACACACACGTGGGGTCTGGTGATTGCATGTAACTGTGTGAATTCCTGATGTCGGTAGCCGTGTGGTGGTTGTGTAGGAGGATGTTCTGTTCATAGAAAATGAGCAAGAACTTTCCAGGGTGATGGGGTGCCAGGTTGGCTGTTTATTTTCAAATGGTTCAGGGAAACAAAAGCTCTTTTTACTGTATGTGCGCAACTATTTTGTGAGGTTTCGATTGCTGCCAATTTTTTGAACTGTTAAAATAAGGTTAATTGGGTTGGATGTGGTGGCTCATGCCTGTAATCCCAGCACTTTGGGAGGCCAAGGCTGGTGGATCACTTGAGGCCAGGAGTTCGAGACCAGCCTGGCCAACATGGTGAAAACCCGTCTCCACTAAAAATACAAAAAAATTAGCTGGGCATGGTGGCAAATGCCTGTAATCCCAGCTACTTGGGAGGCTGAGGCTTGTAAAAAGTAAAATAGAGGTTCTTCTTTAAAGACTTTCCTCCCCATCTAGTTAAAAATAAATAGTAACTTCTTTTAGAAGCAAAATTTATTCAAAGACCTGTGCTAACATTCTTAAATATCTGCTAGCCATAATAAAAAAATCAACATACTTTATATTCTTAGCTCCCACAATTTAACCTAAATATTTGCCTTGCATACTTATACTAGTCCAAGCAAGCACTAAGTCATAGTCTGGTCCTCTTCCTTCTTTAAAAGCATTTTTACCTTTCTCAACATTCCACAAGTTACTTCCTCCTTCCTTTATTCTCCTCTGCATTTGCCTCTTTTAAAAAATTCTAAGTTACTAACCAATCAAAACAAATACAAAATGTAAAATCCCGTTCCAGCCAATAAAAACCAGACACATCAGTAAGGTGGACACGTCAGGTTATAAATGACCCTGTCTCCTTTATTCAATATACTCTCATAACAAAACTGCTGGCAAGTACACCCTTTCTACAGAAAATAAAAAATGGCCTCGCTAAAAAAAATTAAATTTATATTCAAGTAATATTGCTTTACGACACCAGGAAACAAACATTTCAAACAATTTTGGTGACCCGTATGGGGATACATTCTCTGCCGGGGGTGGTCTCCAGTCCCTCCTCATAAGGGAGCGTGCTCCTCTGCCACATTGCAGTGGCCTCAAGGATAAGAGCTCAAAACCCACCCGGTATGTGGAATAAACTCAGAGTCTCAGCAATGCAAAAAAAAAACAATTCCTCACATATCACGTGAACCAGAAAACTGTGCACAGATTGAGGAAAAAACACCAGGAAAAAACACCGGTAAAGTATTTCCTTAGTAATCAAGACTGAGGAAAAAGCTGCGGGGCAGTAAAGCATTCCTTAGTTAAAACATACCAAGGAGAGAGAAACTGCAGGGGCAGTAAAACATTCCTTAGGACTAGACACAAAAAGCCATGGGAGGTGGTAAAATATTTCTTAGCCAGGATGTCTTAAAGGTTAAAAAAAGGTAAAAAAAATCCCCACTGAGTGGGGGTTAAACCTCAAAAAGAGGTGAGAAATCCCCATGGGCGGGGGGGTTAAGCCTCAAGGTAAAAAATCCCCATTGTCGGGGGTTAAACCTCAAAAAGAGGTGAGAAATCCCCATGGGGGAGGAGTTGAACCTCACACAAACCTCCGATAGTAAAATATATATACATATATATGTATGTTACATATAGATATACATATATATGTGTGTTACATATAGATATACATATATATGTGTGTTACATATAGATATACATATATGTGTGTGTTACATATAGATATACATATATGTGTGTGTTACATATAGATATACATATATGTGTGTGTTACATATAGATATACATATATGTGTGTGTTACATATAGATATACATATATGTGTGTGTTACATATAGATATACATATATGTGTGTGTTACATATAGATATACATATATGTGTGTGTTACATATAGATATACATATATGTGTGTGTTACATATAGATATACATATATGTGTGTGTTACATATAGATATACATATATGTGTGTGTTACATATAGATATACATATATATGTGTTACATATAGATATACATATATATGTGTGTTACATATAGATATACATATATATGTGTGTTACATATAGATATACATATATATGTGTGTTACATATAGATATACATATGTATGTGTGTTACATATAGATATACATATGTATGTGTGTTACATATAGATATACATATGTATGTGTGTTACATATAGATATACATATGTGTGTTACATATAGATATACATATGTATGTTACATATAGATATACATATGTATGTTACATATAGATATACATATGTATGTTACATATAGATATACATATGTATGTTACATATAGATATACATATATATGTATGTTACATATAGATATACATGTATGTTACATATAGATATACATGTATGTTACATATAGATATACATATGTTACATATAGATATACATATGTTACATATAGATATACATATATGTTACATATAGATATACATATATGTTACATATAGATATACATATATGTTACATATAGATATACATATATGTTACATATAGATATACATATATGTTACATATAGATATACATATGTATGTTACATATAGATATACATATGTATGTTACATATAGATATACATATGTATGTTACATATAGATATACATATGTATGTTACATATAGATATACATATGTATGTTACATATAGATATACATATGTATGTTACATATAGATATACATATGTATGTTACATATAGATATACATATGTATGTTACATATAGATATACATATGTATGTTACATATAGATATACATATGTATGTTACATATAGATATACATATGTATGTTACATATAGATATACATATGTATGTTACATATAGATATACATATGTATGTTACATATAGATATACATATATATGTATGTTACATATAGATATACATACATATATATATTCAAAACTCCCCTTTCCCCTCTTCTTGGGGGAAAAAAAAAAGACTAAGCTCCACTCCTGCCAGTCGCTCCTCTAGGGGAAGGGGAAAAAAAAAAGCAAAAACACCAAGCATGACGCCAGACAGCCAGGCACACCAAAAATTAAGTCCCTCTCCCCACCCGAGCTCTGTGTGAAAAAGAGAGCGGGGACTGTCGCAGAAAGAAAAGCCAACAAGATGAAAGGACCTAACTCTTACGACTAACGACAGGTGTCTGCCAAGCCTGTGGGCCAGTGATGGCCCTGGGCCAGGACTGCAGCCGGCCGGGGGCCAAGACTACAGCCATGCAAATCCCACCCAGCCCAGAAAACTAAGTGTAGAAAAAATAAATAAATCAGGGAAAAAAAAAAAAAACAGGGGAAACAGACGGCAGCGCATACATGCAGGCGGGGCCCGTCCCTTGCCCAGCCTGCGCCGCAAGACCGGGAAAAAAAAAGGAAACAAAAAATGACAGAGAGGGAGAGAAAAATAAATGCAAATTAAAAAAAAAGGAAAATAAAGTGCAAATAAGAAAAAAAAATAGAAAAAAGTAAAAAAATAACTAGAAAAGACAAAAATCAAAGAAAGACACGGTAAAATTAGGAAAAGAAATAATGTAAAAGGCAGAACGTTAAAACATGTTAAAAATTGTCTATAAAAGTCATAAAAAGTTATAAAAAAAATTTATGCAAAAAATATTACGTAATTTAAAAGTAATTAGGCCTCCTAAATGTAAAACTATTTAAAAAACAGTTTATACAGTTTATATACAAAATATGTAAAAATATATACTTTTAATAAAATTACAAAAAGACATAAAAATATGAATTTTTACCTACATTAAAAGGTTAAAAAAATTTTGTTTTAAAACTTTAAACAAGGCTGGGCGTGGTGGCTCATGCCTATAATTTCAGCACTTTGGGAGGCCAAGGCAGGCGGTCACGAGGTCAGGAGATCAAGACCATCCTGGCTAACATGGTGAAACCCCATCTCTACTAAAAATACAAAAAAAATAGCCGGGCATGGAGGCAGGCACCTGTAGTCCCAGCTACTCGGGAGGCTGAGGCAAAAGAATGGCGTGAACCCAGGAGGTGGAATTTGCGGTGAGCTGAGATCGCACCACTGCACTCCAGCCTGGGCAACAGAGCAAGACTCCGTCTCCAAAAAAAAAAGTTTAAACAAATTTAAAAATATTAATTATAAAGAAAATTCTGTATGTAAACATATTAGCTAAAGAGGTATCCAATTTTTCTGTAAACTAAACATTAAAATAAAAGCACAATAAATTTTTCTTAAAGCACTAACCTGCTCTTTAAGAAAAATTATAAAAAGTTTTAAAAAGTCTATAAAAACCTTACCTTATAGTCAGACATTAAAAGTAAATAATGTCTTCAAAATTTTATTAAAATAAAGTTTAACATTAATAGCACATTAATGTTAAAAAACATAAAATCATACAAAAAGCATTATCAAATATAAAATAGTGCTTAACTTTCTCAAAGCCCGAGGGCGGCCGAATAAGTCACAAGGCCCCTCATCCCCAAGGCCACAACGCGCAGGGGCGGTGAAGGCCACAAAAAAGCCAAGACCTTAAGAGGGGGCAGGGCCACAATGTCCCCTAGGCAACGCTAAGCAGAAATGGAGCAGAAGACGTCACCATGGGGCCTCAAGCCCCAGAATACGCAACAAAAATTATATACGTAATTTATCTTCCACTTTCCCTTTCCTCAAAACTAAAAATCTTTTAACACAGGTACCAACCCTAAAATTTCTAGTACATCAGCACCAGCCTACAAACCACATTCTTGCCTGGCGCAGTGCCTCACGCCTGTAATCCCAGCACTTTGAGAGGCTGAGGCAGGCGGATCATGAGGTCAGGAGATCAAGACCATCCTGGCTAACACAGTGAAACCCCGTCTCTACTAAAAATACAAAAAGAAATTAGCCGAGCGTGGTGGCGGGCGCCTGTAGTCCCAGCTACTGGGGAGGCTGAGGCGGGAGAATGGTGTGAACCCAGGAGGCGGAGCTTGCAGTGAGCGGAGATCGGCGCCACTGCACTCCAGCCTGGGTGACAGAGCAAGACTCCGTCTCAAAACAAAACAAAAACACATCCTTATCAAAAAATAAAAAACTCAAGCCAGCCTGGGAAGGACCCTATTTTATGCTGTTAACCACTAAGACCCCTGTCCACACAGCCAAGAAAAAAAGGACCCACTATACTCAAATCAAGAAAACATCTTAGGTTACTATACTAAAATCAAGCCCTACTAAGTTAAAATTTTAAAAAGCTTAATTTTCATATACTTTCTCTATTACTTCCTTTCCTTTCCTTATTCTGTTATAGCTCCCTTGTTATTAATGTAACTAAATCTAACTCACCTCAAACCATTGCCTTTAATGCTTGCTCTATCATACCTTGTAAAAATATTAAAAAATCAATGACAGCTAGCCTTTTCACACAAATATTTATGTCCTGGCCCTCTAATTAACACAATTACCCCTAACACTTATTGTTATAATCACCTGCAGCCAAAACGCCAATTTTCTGCTCCTACTGAGAGGTGAAGCCAGCTGGACTTCCTGGGTTGAGTGGGGACTTGGAGAACTTTTCTGTCTTACAAGAGGATTGTAAAATGCACCAATCAGCACTCTGTAGCTAGGACTGTAAAACACACCAATCAGTGCTCTGTAAAACGCACCAATCAGCAGAATCCTAAAAGTAGCCAGTGACAGGGAAGATTGAAAAAAGGACATTCTGATAGGACAGAAATGGAACATGGGAGGGGCCAATAAGGGAATAAAAGCTTGCCACCCCCGCCCCCCAGCCAGCAGCGGCAGCAACCTGCTCGGGTCCTGTTCCATGGTTTAGAACCTTTGTTCTTTCTCTCTCCACAATAAATCTTGCTGCTGCTCACTCTTTGGGTCCGTGCCACACTTAAGAGGTGTAACACGCGACTTCATTCTTGAAGTCAGTGAGACCACAAAGCCACTGGAAGGAACCAACTCCGGATACACTACAGCCTAACAACCTTATAATAAATGGAACGACGTCCTTTAAATTACTCAAGAGCAAAGTTAAACTTCCACACACACACAAAAAAAACATACAGATCTAAAACCCTTCATCTATTTCATTAAAAAACCTACCCAACCTTCTCAATATAACCCTGTCCTTCTGTCACCACCTCCACCTTAACTAACTCTAAACCTACCCTTAATCACTTCTATAATATAGAAATTTGACATAAATTTTTAAAAACCCTAAATATTTTTAAAATACACATTATTCCCCCATCTTCCCCTTCTTCAGTAGCCTAAGTTCTAAATCCGACACCAGTTACTCCTGCATCTAATAAAAGTAGAATGCCTATTATAAAAATAAAAAATTAAAGACAGACCTTAGCCATCAAAACAATACATCAAAATACAAATGCCTAGCTAAAATATTCCATTCACACTTTAAAAACAATTATTACACTATTACATTTGTACACATGGTACTCCAGAGGCCCAAATTATCCCCTTTCCACTTAAATGGTCACCTCATCAACCAAATATAAACTATATAGTAGCTCTTTTTCAAAATCCCACTGCTTAAAATAATCCATCATGCCAAGCTCTCTCTGCTATTTCCTAAAATTTAACACTGTGCGGGTCAGCCCCTGAGGACAATCCAGCTTGCACCTTTTCTAAATGCCAAACTTACACTGTGCCTCTCATGGCAAGAAAAAAATTTAATATTCCTTAAAAGCATTTAAAAAATGCTTTTTCCAAAAGCTCGCCCATCAATCCATGCTTAGCCATCCCCAAGCAAATATATGGTAGTACTGTAAAGGACCTTTACTAAACGCTGTGCCAAATATTTGAAACAGTACTAATCCAGTTAGCTGTCCTTCACTCTAGCATTTCATCAATCTAAAAAAATAAAAACAAAACACCGCAGGCCAAAAAAAATTCCTTGTAAGTCCTTTAATCCTCAAGTTTATATAAATGCTATTAAAATCCTGTAAAAAAAATTTCAAATAAATTTAAAATACAAAATCAAATAGCTGCAAAATTTAAGTCCACGTTATTCTGGTAAGTATGAATTTAAAAAATGTAAACTAAACTGTATCTGTTACAATCAGCAACAATTCATAAATTACACTGAAAACGCCATCAAAAAAATAGCTAAGCAATTAGGACCTACCAGACAAATTGCCTTAAAAAAAGCTTTAAATATAATATCAGCAAAAAAAAAAAGTCATAATTAAAACTCAATATTGTACCTTTATTCCTAATACTGCCCCTAACAAAACTATAACAAAAGCACTACAAAAATTAACAGCACTATCCAATAAACTTGCCAAAAATTCTAAAATAAATAACCCTTTTTCTAAAATAATAAAACATTAATTCGATAAGTAAAAAAAAAAATTGTGGCCAGGCATGGTGGCTCACGTCTGTAATCCCAGCACTTTGGGAGGCCGAGGCAGGTGGATCACGAGGTCAGGAGATCAAGACCATCCTGGCTAACACGTCTCTACTAAAAATACAAAAAATTAGCCGGGCGTGGTGGCGGGCGCCTGTAGTCCCAGCTACCAGGGAGGCTGAGGCAGGAGAATGGCGTGAACCCGGGAGGTGGAGCTTGCAGTGAGCCGAGATCATGCCACTGCACTCCAGCCTGGGCGACAGAGTGAGACTCCACCTCAAAAAAAAAAAAAAAAAAATTAACTTCAATTCTCACCTTGTTCGCTCTTATTAATATACTTATAAGCTATTATGTTATTCCCTGCCTTCAAAATTTTATACAAAAACTTATCTCTACCACTCTTACAAAGTTAACTCCTAACTCTCCTCCACCCTATTCGAAAAATTACTTCTCTTAAAGCTATTAAAACAGACAAATTAAAAAAAAATTATAAGAGGGAGAATTGTAAAAAGTAAAATAGAGTTTTCTCTTCAAAGCCTTTCCTCCCCATCTAATTAAAAATAAATAGTAACTTCTCTTAGAAGCAAAATTTATTCAAAGACCTGTGCTAAGATTCTTAAATATCTGCTAGCCATAATAAAAAAATCAGTATACTTTATATTCTTAGCTCCCACAATTTAGCCTAAATATTTGCCCTAGCATACTTATACTAGTCCAAGAAAGCAGTAAGTCACATCCTGTTCCTCTTCCTTATTTAAAAGTATTTTTACCTTTCTCAACATTCCTTCCTTTATTCTCCTCTGCGTTTGCCTCTTTTAAAAAATTCAAAGTTACTAACCAATCAAAACAAATACAAAATGTAAAATCCCATTCCACCCAATAAAAACTGGACACAGCAATAAGGTGGACATGTCAGGTTATAAATAACCTTATCTCCTTTATTCAATATACTCTCATAACAAAACTGCGAGCAAGTATACCCTTTCTACAAAAAATATAAAAATAGCCTTACTAAAAAAATTTATATTCAAGTGCTATTTCTTTACACCACCAGAAAACAAACATTTCAAGCAGGTTGCATTGAGCTGAGATAACGCCACTGCACTCCAGGCTGGGTAACAAAGCAAGACTCTGTCTCAAAAAAAAAAAGGTAAATTGAGTCATAAGAAAAAGAAAAAACATGGGTAGTATGTAACCAAAATTCCACAGGTGATGGTAATGCATTCCCTAGGATTCACACCCTGCATTCTGGAAGTCCCAGGTGGCTGGGAACTGTGCCCATGAACCCATGAAGCTCTTTCCCCAGGCCATGCCAGGGGCCACATTTGCCAGCCCTGGCCCCACCTGCTGCCGTCAGCTAATTCTGAGCATTCCTCAAACACTCAGGAACAAGTCTGAGAGCCACCTCTGGGGAGTCTTGGCTGGTGCTGTCATCTCAGCTGGCAGGCACTGCAGGTGCAGCCGAGGCTCCATAACGCTGTGAGCTCTGGCTGTCCTCTCAACGTGCACCTCCCTTTTGGGTGGCCTTGCTATGGGGGGACATCGAGGCTGCCACCTTCTGCCCGAACGTCTTAGGGTTTGAGTGGAAGCATTCTTGAGCCTGCGGTTTCCCTGATCCTCAGACGTGAGCCTGGGCATGGTCAGGGAGGGTCTGGGCCACCTGGGCTGCACATTCACATCGCATCCCCTCCAGCTCTGGATTGAAATCCAGACAGCCTTCTCACTGTTCTCCTCCATTGGGGTGAGTGTCTTCTAGAAGGCTCCTCAGATCTTGGTGGTAATGACCCCACCAGCCCATCAGATGTGCCCAGGGAACCCCTGGGTCCCTGAGAGAAATAAACAGGAGAGGAACCCCTCCATCCCTCTGGCCCCCACTGCTTCCTTGTGAAACACCCCCAGAAAGCCAATAGCCCTGCTACCACAGGCTCTGGTGGGCTGCCTCCGCCTGCAGAGAGACTCGCCTTCACAGCGGCCGGCACCCTTCACCTGCGGGCTCTTTCCAACTCATCTTCTGAGACCGCTCCCACGGTGGGGTAGGGGAGCTGGGACCTGTGCATTTGCCATCGGCGGATGGCATGAGAAGTGGCCCAGGATGGCGCAGCTGCCGGGGTCCATGAAGATAATATCCAGAGTGGGGAGGGCTCAGCCCCTGCATGAAGCAGTCCCCACTTTCTCCATCCTCCACCCTGTTTTAGTCAGTGACCAGCTGGCTCTGTTTTGTTTCACAGTGTGGACAACTCTGAGGACCCCGTGTACGAGAGCCTGGAAGAGTTCCACGTTTTTGTCCTAGCCCATATATTAAGAAGGCCCATCGTTGTTGTGGCAGATACAATGTTAAGAGACTCAGGTGGAGAAGGTAAGTTCCTCAAAGAGATGTGTTGTATTCATGACACAGAAAGCATAGCATCCCAGCTAGAAAGCAGATAGCACAGCACAAGGTCGAGCTCCCAGAGGCCACAAAGCATCACTCTGTGCAAAGATCTCCTCGACGTGTTTCTTTCTCCTCCCTGATGGCAGCAGAGATTGTTCTTGACTAGCTGCCCTGCCTATCAACGGCAGGTGGCCAGGAGAAATCTGGTCATGTGAGGACCAGGACCAAGCCCAGAGGGGCTCCTGTCTCCTGTCGTGTGCCTAGGGCATAGCAGACAGCCCACACCCCTCCAACAGCCCTGGGCCATGTCCTGGAGGCACTCAGTCACTCAGGTGTGTTCCCACCCCTCCGCAGACCACATGTGTGTTAAAGACTAAAAAGAAAGGAAGACAGAATGCATAGAGTCATTTGGCAAAAGCTATGGTAGAATCAGAACTGGCAGAGAAAGAGGCAAGGGCAGTTTATGGCCTGCCCACCAAAAGCCACACTCTGTGCACAGCCCCTTCTAGAATGTTCCTCCATTCAGCCCTTGCTACAACCTCCCAGGGTGGACACCACCCTCCCCACTTTACAGAGATGAAACTGAAGCCCAGAGAGGCTAGGCAATGTCCCCAGCGGGGATCAGCCAAGGGCAGGGAGTGATCCAAAGCCTGTCCTCCCTCCAGCGTGCAGCTGCCCAGTTTGAATTTACACCTGCACCTTAACAAAAGTCATAGGTCTTCCAGGGAGCTCTACGAATCAGGATGTGGCTCTTCACGCTAAATCACAGCTGCCATAAAAAATCTGATGTGGCCACGATGGTTATGTAGCCAGGGAACTGGTAGGACACAGGTCCTGCCTGGCCCACCCCCTTCCCTGTGTGGCTCAGGGACGCGGGCCTGCTGAGGTCTGCAGGTCTCCGTGCAACACCAGGGCTTGCATCAGGGCACTGCTGCGTAAGCCCAGGACTGAGCTCCCAGCACCATCAGATCTCTGAGTTGCGGGGCAGAGGAAGGTCCACGCTTCCTACCATGCTACTCACAGCCCTCTTGCAGGTACCCCCACCCTGTCGCCTCTCAGTCTGACTCTCCTGTGAGCACAGTGATCAATTTAGACAAAGTGAGGATGGCGGAGGAACTCATAAGAGTTCATCAAAGACATCCCTGAAATTACCGTCCCTGAATTCTGCTCAAGGAGTGCAGCAATACACTCACTCTAGGGCCAAAAGTAAAGACGTTTCATGACCTCAAAGCAGATGCTGCTTTAGGACAGATATTTCCAGAAGTTATTCTATTTTGCTGAGGGTGTTAGGCTTTTCTGCCCTCTTTTTTTACAAGTAAGAAAATGAGTGAAATTGTGTCCCTGTCACTGAAGGACTTGATCCCTCTGATTCTCAGTTCCCATCTGACTTACATCTTGGTCCTGGAGCTCTCTGACTGGTTCCTTCAAATTCAATAGAAGAGGTTCTCAAAACATAGAGCAAATATACACCCTTGAGAAGCGCACATACTCTGTTGTATACAAATGCTTTACCAAACACTAGGAAAGGAAGAAGTACATCCAGAAAAAGGTGGGCTTCCAGGCTGCAACTGCTCTGACCAATCTCGGGTGACTGTCATCCCAGCCCTGGGGCTCCTGTACACCTGTGCAGGTCTCAGGGCAGCAGGAGTCCTGGGGCAGACAGATGACTCTGGAAACCCTCAGCCCCATCCCTCAGCACCGCCTCCATCCACCCCTCCTGTCCCTCCGCTTCTCCACGGAGTCCCCCCGGGGTAGTGAGGGACAGGGATGCAGGGGCCTCCCCTCCCAGCTCGAGCTGGCTGCTCCTCACACCCTCACCCTGGTTTGTGTCCACAGCGTTCGCACCCATCCCATTCGGAGGGATCTACCTGCCCTTGGAGGTCCCTCCCAACAGATGCCACTGCTCGCCTCTGGTTCTGGCCTATGATCAAGCCCATTTCTCTGCCCTTGTGTCCATGGAACAGAGAGACCAGCAAAGAGAACAAGGTATGCCTGTCTCCCAAGAGAGTGCACGCAGGAGCCTAGGGTGGGGGCAGAGCCATCAGAAGGGACCCCATTGCACGGGGAGGTGGATTGTGGAGACCCCCCCTTAGAAGCACACCTGTGCACACTCAGCAGTGACAGTTTTTGCATAAAGCTACCTTATGCATGTGTGAACGTTTTCATTGAAAATAACAATGTTAAAGACAACATTCTCTTTAAAATACTAAACAAAGGCAACCTACCCTTAAATAGCTTTTACTGTTTTCCCTTTCACATGTATACATATTTTATAGGAATGCAATTAGTCTTAGATATAAATTAAAGGGAAAAAAACTTCAAAAGCAAGTATTAATGAACTATGGCCCACCACCCATTTTATAAATAAAGTTTTATTGGAACAGAGCCACATTCATTCACAGATGCATCATCTGTGGCCGTTTTTGCACTACAGTGGTAGAGAGAGGAGCAGCCACAGACACCAAGGCCTGCAGCGCCTAAAATATTTACTTACTAATTAGCTATTTATGGGAAGAGTTTGCTCACCCCTGCTCCAGGGTAAGCTTTTAACTCAAAAGGTCAACATTTCCTTTCAAAGCATTGCAGCTGAGTTTCCTCTAAGCAGCCATTTCAGTGCTGCTGATGTTGGGCCAGCCCACAGGCTGTGCACTGCACAATTCCAGGGCACCAGTCAATGTCTTTACTGGGGAAATAGGGGGATTTTGTTTGGAACAATTGCTGTTTTCTCATGTTAGCTACTGATGGATGTGTGACCAGCTGAGTGGAGAGGAAACCCCTTCCTGTTGTCATTCTTGTTTGTAGTATAGGCAGAGACTCACTCCCCCAGGGGACAGACGGACAGGCAAGACCAACTATTTCAGAGTCCCTGCCATTAGGTATGGTCCCAGAGAATGGGAAGTGCCCTGTCCAGGGCCAACAGGGGGAAGGAAGCTCAGGGGTGTCTGCTTCTGACCTTTTCCACTGAGTGTGCAGCTCAGGAAGTAAATATAGCAACAAGATTGCACCCCTAGGACTCCCAAATGCTACTCCTTCCTGTAGACAGCTGGGAAGGAAAGGACACAGACAAATGAACAGAACCCAGCCTCCCCCAGCCCTCCGCCAGAGGCGGCACCAGCGTGTCACTTCCTGGCCTGGCAGTTGAGTCGGGAATGAGGCTGGGGCTGTGGAGCAGAAGCTGAAGGTGAGAAATGCACAGGGCATTTGAGACCCCTTCCCAAGAGCAGATGCAGAGCTCCCAGGAGCTGACATGCGTGGTGCAGCCGCAGAACCCAAGTCACAGGAAGAGAGACGACTGGAGGCTACAGCCGGCCGTGACAAGAATGTCACATCATGGTTCTTTATTATTTGCAGATGTGGCACTGGCCACAGAAGGAAAGATTTAATCAGTAAGGCCTCGGAGGTGCTCCGGTCTTTCCATTGTCTCCCCACTTTCAATCCGGAATGCGGAATGCCTGCACCTCCTTCCCGGGGATTTAGCTCTTCGTAGGGCTGACCCCGCCTCTTGGGAGACCAGAAGGGCCTTTTCAGGACCTGGGATCGGCCAGGGGCGGGGCCCTCTGTCCAGTCCCCAGGGAGATTCTGTGGTCAGAAGGTGATGGTCCCAAGGCCAGCGTCTCCCAGTTCCGAGCATGGGGTTCAGATACCCGACCCCCTCCTCGCAAAAGGCACCGAGTACTCTTCCAGGCCTTCCAGATACTGCTGCTTGGTGTTTTCAAGGCACATATGAAAGCATCCTCCCTTCAAAGGATGCCCATGGAGGGCGCTGTGGCTTGGGACCTTTCAGGAGGGCCTTGCAGAGTTGTGGGTGGTTTCACTTCTGATGACCTGGTTTCTAAAAACTGGGATCTGGTCCCAGTGCACCTCTCAGAGCCACTGTGGTGTGGGTCTTTGGCTCCCTCACAGTCAAAGCAGCCCACTGGGATCCTCCTGGGGCGATGCAGGTCCCTGCCTCTAAGACCATCCTGTGGCCAGGCTGCACATTCACCCATAAGGTCCCCACGACCCACTGCAGGGCAGGTGCCATGGCCACGCTCTTTGTCACCTGCACCCTTGTGCCCCCTTAGACCTTCACCTCTGCAGCCTTCCCTCTGTGCCTCAAAGGACACTGTGGGGACGGGACAGAGTCCCAGCTGTGCTCTCAAGTCACACGACATCTCAGCAGAGAGGGACGTGGAAATCACAGTGAGGCTGCAGCTTCCAGGATGAGCTGC
The DNA here is from genome assembly GCF_000001405.40 of Homo sapiens. Classification (NCBI taxonomy): domain Eukaryota; kingdom Metazoa; phylum Chordata; class Mammalia; order Primates; family Hominidae; genus Homo; species Homo sapiens. The sequence continues at coordinate 31,499,464 of NC_000015.10, read as the reverse complement.
AGACTCAGGCCTGCTGGAGTGAGCTGGCCAGACCGCAAAGTCGCAGGACCTGGTGGGAGGCAGGAGATGGGAGACTCCAGAATATCGAGCCCCAGGATGCCACCGGCCCCCACTGTGAAGCACAGGTGTCACCCTCTGCCATGGTACCCTGTCCGTCCTATAAACAGCACCCTGTGACAGAGGCTAATAGATACAATAATCACAAGCCCCAGGAAGAGCAGACACCGCATCCTTGTGCCTGCGGAACGATGCTTTGAGAGCCTGGAAATGAGATAAAAAATGTATTTCAGGCTGAGACAAGGCTCCCTTCTTCCCACCACCCACTTCCTCCTCCTCTGTTTACATGCCCCATCATGTCTCATCCACATGTGTCCAGCTCCTGGAGGCTTAAAAATCCATGAAGCATTCTTTAAACTTCTCATCGAGTGCCTCTCCCTCTAAGGGAAGCCCCCTCTTATAGGTGCTACTGCCGTGGCCCGGCTACTGCTGATGCCGCCACTGACCATCTTCAAGTTCAGGAATCCTCCCATTTCCCAGGCTAGGCATGCAACATGGGGAGAGGGAAGGGCTTGAGGTGGAAGGTCAGGAGCTGGTGGGACTGGTCAGCTATGGGCAACCTCAGTGGCCCAGGCTTTGCAAATTTATCTTAGGACTTTTTAGATAAAATGTATGCATTCTTTCTTGGTAGCTTCCACACATGATGGTCACCTGCTTTCTCCTGGGGAGGACATTAGTCATTTGCTCCCTGACAACCTGAGCCTTGGGCCTTCAGCTTTTTGCAGGAAGCAGCCTCCTTGCAGCCACATCTTAAAATGGCCTGCAGGGGAGCTCTGTGAAACCCAGATCTGGGCATTCTCTCAGCACCCAGCTCAGGTCAGTTCCTACTGGCCACTGAGCAAATGTGTACATTATGAAAAATCAAATCAATTAACAGGAGAAGCAGAGGTGCCGCATAGTTCCTGGAAACATAGAACCTAGGAAAGAACTTTGGAATCATCCAGTGCAACAATCCCAACTCCCCTCCTTTTATAGCAAACATTGTCCAGTGTACTCTTCATTACCCTGAAATGAAATTCATGGATAATGTTACCTGTGTTGGAATAAAGTCCATTTAGTACCCCCACATCAGGAGAAATCAAAGGAAACCAATGTAATAAAATAATCTGCATTTCTGTAAATATTCTCACACAGCCATACTGCAAAACTCAATGAAGCAATCAGATCCTGGCACCCATATGTGGGGTGCCCAGTTACACAGAGAGGGGACACAGGTGTGCTGAGCATACCCTCAAATACCCCAGGAGGCTCTACAGTCCAAAATGGCAGCTAACTCTTGGTAAAGTCCCAAACAAGCCAAGCACAGCCTTGCCCATCTCCACAGCTCCTCTTCCCTTTGGGTGGATATAGAGCCGTGCAGAGCATACCCATGTGTACATGTTAGCTCTCGGCCTGGCCAGCAGGTTGCACTGGGAAGGGCTGGGTGCATACAGGTGCTGCCTAGGTCTGCACCCCACCTTCATGCTCATATATTTGCAGGTGCTTCCTGTGCTCAAGGGCTGTTCTAGGTCCTTTCCAGGAATACCTATTTAACCCTTCCCATTTCCTCTTCCCCACTTTACAGAGGGGGAAATTGAGAAAGGAGGAACCATCCCCAGGGAATAGTTGCAGCCAGTGAAGGGTTGGGAGGGTGGATGGCGAGGCTTCCACAAAGACTTGGCCCAAGAGAGTGGCATCTCCAAGAGAAGAGGCTCAGGAAGTGGTACCCCAAGTCAAAGCCTGCTTGGGATAAGATAGCGTCTCAGACCCAGGACTCAGGAACCTTCAGGGTCGAAGAGGGTAGGGAGGGGGTGCTTTGTTTCATGGAAGGTGTCAATGCCATCTGTGGCTATTCTTTTCTTAAAAATTAATATTTATTGGCCAGGCACAGTGGCTCACACCTGTAATCTCAGCACTTTGGGAGGCCGAGGTGGGTGGGTTGCCTGAGCTCAGGAGTTCAAGACCAGTCTGGGCAACATGGTGAAACCCCATCTCTACTAAAATATAAAAAATTATCTGGGCATGGCAGCATGTGCCTGTAATCCCAGCTACTCAGGAGGCTGTGACAGGAGAATCTCTTGAACCTGGGAGGTGGAGGTTGCAGTGAGCCAAGCTTGCGTCACTGCACTCCAACCTGGATGACAGAGTGAGACTTCATCTCAAAAAAAAAAAAATTAACATATAAGTCAATTATTTAAATAGTTTTTCCCTCATATATACAAACAGCCTGTGAGCCTCTGAGGCATATCCAGGGGCCACACAGAGGTCAGGGCACCCTCAGTGTGTCCTCAGTGCCTTCCCCCAAGGGTCCCACTTAAGGAACCTAGAGAGCAGCACACAGGAGCCCTGAGGGAGTCCACTGGTTACAGATGGAGGGGGAGATGCTGGTGTGAACAGAGAGCTCTGAAACGGCTGCAGACTGCAAGGATCGAGGCTTACAGATGATCACACCAAGGTTGGCCATCCCTTTATTGGGAACAGAGACTCAACACATTCAAAATGTGATACTTGAAAAAAAAAAAGTTTTTGCAAAGAGCAGCTTACCAATTTGTCTCTTGCTGCTTAGAAACAACACAGCAAGTTTATAAGTGTCTGCTAGGGATCTTGGGAGCCAAACAGAGTACTTCTACCCACCGGGCCATGGAAGCAGCCTTCCATCTGTATTTGATGTATGGCTCGTGGTTAAATCAAATGCTCACCTATGCTCTACTATTCCCCAAGCCACACGGAATGTAACATTCCAGTTTTCAATATGTTTGACAATGAACCATGCTTTTTCTTGCAGGATTAATTTATAATAAACAGATCCAATCTCTTTTTAAATAGAAATGTATCTTTACATGTTACAAGTATCATTACATATTCTGCTCAACTTGATTTTAAAATTGTGTTAAAGAATCATTTATCGGCGGGGCGCGGTGGCTCATGCCTGTAATCCCAGCACATTGGGAGGCTGAGGCAGGCGGATCACGAGGTCAGGAGATCAAGACCATCCTGGCTAACATGGTGAAACCCCGTCTCTACTAAAAAATACAAAAAATTAACTGGGCATGGTGGCAGGTGCCTGTAGTCCCAGCTACGCAGGAGGCTGAGGCAGGAGAATGGCATGAACCAGGGAGGCAGAGCTTGCAGTGAGCCAAGATCGTGCCACTGCACTCCAGCCTGGGCGACAGAGCGAGACTCCATCTCAAAAAAAAAAAAAATCATTTATCAAATACCAATCAAATTGGTCTATTTGTGTACCTATCTGAATAAAATAATGGAGGAAGTATGTAATGCCTATTACAAGACATTACGGTAAGAATCAGCTTAGTTCATGGTGGCAAGAAAGTTTTTTTTTTTGAAACTTTTTTTTTTTTTTTTGAGATGGGGTTTCATTCTGTCACCCAGGCTGGAGTACAGTGCCATGATCTTGGCTCATTGCAACCTCCACCTCCCAGGCTCAACAGATCCTCCCATCTCAGCCTCCCGAGTAGGTGGGACTACAGGCACATGCCACAAGCCCAGCTAACTTTCTGTACTTTTGGTACAGACGGTGTTTCTCCATGTTGCCCAGGCTGGTCTCAAACTCCTGAGCTCAAGTGATCTGTCCACCTCAGCCTCCCAAAGTACTGGGATTACAGGTGTGAGCCACTACGCCCGGCCAGCAAGAAGGTTTTGGAAACCAGAAGTGCCCCCAAACTGAATTACGTTTGTAATTAGTCTCCCTTCTCTTGGCTACTTTCTAAGTTTGTCAGTTGCCACTGAAAGATAGGGTCAGAGTGGGAGTAAAAAGCACAGCTACGCCTACCCTTGTGGTGTGTGGCCAGTCTCACTGGGCCATATTTCTTTGCCACTCCTCTCAGGAGCCCCAGAGCACAGAACCCTGAAGAACCTTTGTCTGCAAAGGCCCCTGGCTAAGGGGTGAGAGGCCGAGGAGCTGGGGTTGGGGGCATCCAGACTTTTAGCTGAGACCTTTGTTTCTCAAGTCTGTCATCTTTGACACTGTTGACCTACAGATCACAAAGCACCATGAGGTGGCCAGGAGCTATGGAAGGGACTTCATGGCTATGGAGCTCTGTCTTCAGCTTATAGAGTGGGCAGGTGCCCAGAGAGCTGAGTAACGCTGATTAAAAGCACGAGGTGTGTTTATCCACAATACATCTGCTGATTGGTTCATGCCCTACCCCAATGACCATCAACTCAGGGACCCAAAGCACTGTTCCAAAGGGATGCCAGCCACAGTTAACTCCACGGAAAGAACTGGCTGAGGGTTTTTCAGTCATGCCTGAAGGCCTGGAGAGAAGAGAAAGCAAGAGTGCACCCAGATGCCAGCCTCCCCTCAGGAGCCCTGCCTGTCCCCTCCTGAGCTACAAATTAGGCACAGACACCTGGATCCCCCACCAGACCTCCCCAAGACGTCCATGCCCACAGGAAGCGCATACCAGCCACCATCGCCCCTGATTCCCAAATGAGGGCCCCAGCCATCTCTGTGTGATGTGCAGTTTCCTCCATCTGGCCACTCCAGGCTCCTGAGGACTCCATGCTCCCATGCATGGTACTGGAGTGAGAACATGTGCTCCAACAAAACCGCTTCTGAGAGGGGCTGGGAGGCAGCAGCACCAGCCACCTGTCCTACCTGCAGGACAGGAGCAGCCAGCACTCACTGCCCTGGATGTGGGGAGTGAGTTTTTGGTGGGCCAGGGTGACATCCTGGTTCTGCTCTCTGAGGAGACCCCAGTTGTCATTGTCCCACAGGGCCACATCTGATGTGTGCACAGAGTGCACCCTCTGGGGCTGAGAGCTTCACCACCCACTTTTGGCATGAGTTCAGGAGCCCAGAAATTGTGTTAGATGCTGAACGCTCTCTCAGCCTGAGAGTTTTTTCAGCAGTACAGTTTCCTTAATTCTGGTCAGCACTTTTTCCAGTTTTGTCTTAGTCAATTCAGGCTGCTGCCACAGAATACCATAGACTGGGTGGCTTATAAACAATAGAAATTTATTTCTGATAGTTCTGGAAGCTGGGAATACAAGATCCAGGAGCCAGCAGATTTGGAGTCTGGTAAGGGTGTCCTCCTCCTGGTCTACACACAGCCACTTTTTACTGTGTCCTCACGTGGCCAAGAGAGAGAAAGAAGAGCGCTCTCGTGCCTGTTGTTATAAAGGCACTAATCCCATTCTCAAGGACTCCATCCTCATGCCTTAATCACCTCCCAAAGACCACACTTCTAATACTCTTACATGGAGACTAAGCTTTAACAGTGAATGTTGGAGGAACACAAATATTCAGTCAATAGCAAGCTTAGTCTATAGACCAATGACCAATCCAAATATCTTATCTACATATAAACTTTAGGCCAGAGAATGTATGTCTGCCACCATTGGCCCTGATGCCCCAGCCTAGGGGCCCGATCCTCAGGGGCTGGCCTTGGCCTCACGTACAGGCTATCATTACTTCCCTCCTCCCTCTCTGCTTTGAGTTTAATTTGCTACCCCTTTTCTAGTTTCTTAAGGCAGAAATTTTGATTACTAATTTGAGACTGTTTTCTCATCTAATATGAGCATTTTAATGCTATAACTTTTCCCCTAAGTACTGCTGTAACTACACCATACAAATTTTGATGTGCTATATTTGCATTTTCATTCCGTTCAAACTATTCGTTAATTTCCCATGAGACTTCCTCTGACTTATGGATTATTTAGAAACAGGCTGTTTGAGTTTCAAGTTTTGGGGGATTGTTCAAATATTCGTTACTGGTTTATAGTTTCAGTTATGACATGAGCACAAACATCATGATTTCTGTTCTTTTTAATGCACTCAGACTGGCTAAGAATATGTTCTGTGTTGGTGAATATTCCATATGTATTTGAAAATAATATATACTCTGCTCTTGTTAGGTTCTAGAAATGTCAATTACCTCAAATTCTCTGAGAGTGCAGCTCAGTTCTTCTATATCCTTACTGGTTTCTGCCTACTTGCTCTGTCAGTTACTGAGCAAAAAGTAGCAAAGTCTGCAGCTGTAATACATTTGTTTATTTCTCTCATTTTTGTTAGTATTTGCTTCATGTACTTTGAAGCTATGTTGTTAGCATGCATACACATAGGATGATTATGGCTTCTTGGAAAATTGACCCCTTTAGCATTATGTAATGTTCCTCTTTTTCTTTGGTAACAGTCCATGTTGTGGAGCCTACTTTGACATAAATATGGCTACTCTAGCTCTCTTTCCATTAGTGAATATCTTTTAACCTCCATATGTCTTTATATTTAAAATGGGATTCTTTTTCTTTTTTTTTTTTCCTACAACCTCAACCTCTCAGGTTCAAGCAATTCTCCTGCCTCAGCCTCCCGAGTAGCTAGGATTACAGGCACACACTATCATGCCCAGCTAATTTTTGTATTTTTAGTAGAGACAGGGTTTCATCATGTTGGCCAGGCTGGTCTCGAACCCCTGACCTCAAGTGATCCACCCATCTCAGCCTCCCAAAGTGCTGGGCATGAGCCACAGTGCCTGGCCCTTACAATGAGATTCTTGTAGACAGCATATATGTGGGTTTTGCTTTTTCATCCAGTCTGACAATTTTATCTTTTAAAAGATACGTTTTGACCATTTTCATTTAATAGTATTAATGATATGTTTGGATTAAAATCCACCATCTTGCTACCTGTTTTCTATGTACTGTATGAGTTCTTTTTTCCTTTTGTTTCTCTTTTGCTATCTTATCTTGGGTAAATTGAGCTTTTTAATGGTTCCGTTTTATTTCCACTATGGACCTGTTATACCCCTATTTTTAATTGTTAGTGGTTTCCCTAGGGTTTGCAATAAACATCTTTAATTAATGAGATTTGTTTTTTTTTTTTTTTTTGAGACAGAGTCTCACTCTGTCACTCAGGCTGGAGTGCAGTGGCATGATCTTGCAGGCTCTCACTGCAGCCTCCGCCTCCTGGGTTCAAGCGATTCTCCTGCCTCTGCCTCCAGAGTAGCTGGATTACAGGCACACAGCACCATGCCCAGCTAATTTTTGTATTTTTAGTAGAGATGGGGTTTCACCATGTTGGCCAGGCTGATCTTGAACTCCTGACCTCAAGTGATCCAACCACCTTGGCCTCCCAAAGTGTTGGAATTACAGGTGTGAGCCACCACACCTGGTCTAATTAATGAGATTCTATTTTAAGTAATATTACTTGACTTCACATGTTGTATAAGGATATTACAACAGTGTATTACCAATCCCTCCCTCCCATTCTTTGCTATTATCAGACATTTTATTTTTACATCTGTTATAAATTCATAATGCACTGCTGCCCTTTGCTTTAGACAGTTATCTGTTAGAGCAATTAAAAAGAAGAAAAAAATGAATTTTCACATCCATTTATTCCATTTCCATCACTCTTAATTGTGTAAATACAAGTTTCTACTGGTACCATATTTCTTGCACTTTAACATCTCCTGTAGTTCAGGTCTGCTGGCAATGATTTGCTCACTTTTATTTGAAAAACTCTTTATGTCTTCTTCATGTTTCAGAGATATTTTGGCTGGGTATAGAATTCTAGATTAACAGTTTTTTTTTTTCTTTCAGCACTTTAAAAATGTCACTCCATTATCTTCTGGCTTACCTGTTTTACCATGAAAAGTCTGTTGTAATTTGTACCTTTGTTTTTCTCTGTATAATGTATCCTCTTTTTTCTCTGGCTGCCTTCAAGACTTTCTTTTTGTCTTTGGGTTTCAGAAGTGTTAAGAGGCTATTATAGGAATATTTGTGGTGGTGTTACTTTTTCTTCTTGATGTTCTCTTAGTTTCTTAGATCTGTGTTGATGGTTGTCATTAATTTTGAAAAATTCTTAGCCATTATTTCTTTAAAATTTTATTTTGCATTGTTCTTTCCCTCTTCTGGGATTTCATTTACACAGAACTTAAGGTGCTGATATTGTCACACAGCTCTTAGATGCTGTGTTCAGTTTCCCACCTCCTTTTTTTCTGTTTCAGTTTGTGTCATTTCTAGTAACCTATCTTGAGGTTTACAGATCAGATTCTTTGCTCAGCTATATCAAGTCAACTGACCAGCCCCTCAAAATCATTCTTCACCTCTATTATGGTGTTTTTCATTTCTAGCATTTTCATTTCTTTCTCATAGATTTGTTCTGTATGCTGAAATTAACCATCAAATCTTGCATGGTATCTGGCTTTTCTATTAGTCCTTAACTTATTAATCAGTTATTTTTAATTCCTTGTCTGATAGTTTCAACACCTGTGTCATATCTGAGTCTTGTTCTATAAACTGCTTTGTCTTTTATCAATGTGTTGGGTTTTTTTTTTTATCTTTCCTTTCGCCTCATAGGTTTTTTGTTGTCGTTGCTGAAAGCCAGGCATCTTGAGTAGGACAGTAAAGACTGCAGTAAATCACTTTTATTCCTGGAAAGAAGCATGCCTTTCCTTTTGCTAGGTTTTCAGAGTCTAGGTTTGGACCAGTCTAGTTATGATAGCCCAGGAAGGTCACCCCCATCCCCAGATCCAGGGATACAGTGCCTGCCTAAGACAGATGCTTAATCAGAGTAACAGAAGATGACCCTTAGTGCACCCAGTGTTTGTTGCCCTACACTCTGCAGTTTAAGCTTTTATTCCTTGGTAGAGGTAGGATGGAAATATCTATGGAGACACTCTCTTAGAACTCCTGCCAGTCTTTTTTGGGAGAACCAGGTAGGTCCTGTGGAGAGGAGCCTGCAGGTGCATGTGAATTTCCTTTATATCTTCAGCCCCCAGGGTTCCATATTATTTCACTAGCTGATACTGTTCCTTTACCAATTTAACCATTTTAGCTGAATGATTCTTACTGGGGTCCAGCTGAATTGGCCCTTCTTAAGCTCATGTCTGTCTCTCCTTGGAGGCACCTGTCTTTCCTTAGATATTGGATAAGTCGGTTTCCCTGTGACTTCAGCTGTCTGGTGGGTTAAAGATAAGTTGTGAATTTGCAGTTTGACTGGAATGTTTTCATGGTGGAACAATGCTCTTCCAGCTTTTCACATCGGAGACAAAAACCAGAAATCTTGATTTTTTTTTAGAAAATAAGTACTCAGAATATATTCAGGCTAGCATGAGATGATGCCTATATGTTTCCAGGCTAAAAGACATACAAGAGGCCTTTCAAAAACAAAAACAAAACACCTTTCCGGCCTTTTTAGGCTCATTTTGAAAAGCAGTTGCTGTTCTAGACATTTACCACCAGAGGGCAAGCCGCTGCATGGCTGCTCCTCACTGGTAAAGCCAGGTTTCCAATAGGGAAATGTCAGGGTGTACAGTTGAGAAGCAGAGGCATCCTGAGCAGCCGCTGCTCACGAGGAGGACCTGTTTTCATGGCCTCCTGGCCGGAACTGTCCCTGGGCTCTGCAGCCCCAGCCCTCACCACAGGCCGCAGTTGACCCTCTGCAGAAAAGCCTTCCTTTGAGCCCCTCGGTGTCTTCAGTTGTGAGCAGGCATGTCCGTAGAGCCTCTCAGTACCTGGCCCTTCACCCCAGCCAGATCTAGGCCGCAAGGCTGCTGGACCCTTCTAGGTGGACAGGCACTAGCCCCTTCAGGGGTATTCCCACCGTGCACTGGAGCCCTGGGCAGCCCAAGGAGTCCATTCCAGCCCTGCTGTTGAGGGGAGGAGTCCCCAGGAACCCCATGATAGGGAAGTGAGGGTGACTGTCTGGGGTGCCGTCTTAGCTTAGGTGGTTTATCTGAAACAAACAAACCAAAATCACAGTGACTTAACACAGTGGAAATCTAAAAGGAGTGTTCTCAATTGTCAGGCAGCTCTTCAGTGGAGATCTGCTGTCTTCTGCAGGCACCATGGAAGGGGAGTGGGGAGAGACACCCCCATGCCTGAGCACATCACCCAGCACTTCCCACATTGCTTCTGCCCACAGACCATGGATGCCACTAGGTGCCTGTTCCCCCTAAATCCTGGGGCCGGGGTGGCTAAGACATGGAGTGGTGGCTGGGCTGATGTTCTCCAACAGCAATTCTACCCTGGGAAGCGGGTGGACAGCCAGACCCAAAATGTCCAAGTTGCACCCACAGGAACTGCTTCTAACAGATTATTCTTGTTCTAGAACAATATTTCCTGAATTTGCTTGATTTTAAAAGCCACAGGAGATGCTTATTTAAAATGTTGCTTTTTGAGTCCCTTTCCTGGACACTTTGGTTTGGCCCATCCATTCATGGGGGCTTGGAACTCCCAGGAGCTGCACTGCTCTATTCTGGGAAACATTGTGGATGGGGAGAGCCTGTGCCACCCCCTGCCCCATGAGTAAGAAGCGAGGCTAACCCCTTCTCTGTTTGTGTAGTGACTCATAGAACTATGGGACAGGCTGCTGGGCACCACCCAAGGGAGACCTGTCCCTGAGCCAGCCCTGCAGCCCTCCCTGGGTGTGTCTGCCCTGCAGCTCAGATCTGGAAAGGGTGGCCACGTCAAGGCAGAACCCAGCAGGCTGCAGCAAAGCCAGGCCAAGCCACCCCTGACCTCTCAAATCAGAGCACTGCACTTTCCAATCCCAAGCCAGATTAATGAAAAGCCCGGAGCTGGTCATTGGTCAGCAAAGCTGCATTTCCCTTATTGGCAGCTTGGGGAAGCTGGAGAAGAAGAGGTGCGGGGGTGGAGAGGGGAATTATTTGCACCCACTTTTCCTCTTAAGCAACACTGGAGGGCAGCATTGAGTCAGTTTTTCCAATTTCTTACCAAATCAACTATTGGTGTTCAGTCTTCGATTTGATCTATTTCCTTGCCTTTTTGTTCTTGCCATGGCACCCTTGCCATGAACCATGGGCACCAGCAAAGAGGCAAAGCAGCTGGTCCAAGGTGGCTGTGCTTCTCTGCTGTGTGTGACTCCCAGGTGTGGGGCCTGCAGGGGAGCTAAGTGGAGCCCATGGAGGAGGCTGCTGCTTGTTGCGAGGAAAGACTTGGGGAGACCATCTCCCAGTTCCTCCTGCCCTTGTCCCTGACAATGCCCTTGGGAGGAGTCAACCGTGTCACTAGGCACTCCTCTCATCAGGTCCCCCAGCAGCTCAGAAGCTCCTAGAAGATCCCAAACCTGTAGATACCCCCTCCACCCTAGCCCTTCTGGAGTGAGCCAGGATTTCCCACGGGTGGTGAGTTTCACCACAGAAGTTTTGTGATGAGTCAATCCCTCTGAGAAATGACCAGCCAGTGGCTCATCACTGCAATCTCCACCTACATGTGACCTCCTCAAAAGGACCCCCTGACCCCATCCGAAAAAGGCTTCACCATCACTGCCTTCTGCCTGGTGTTTACCCTTCCAGGGCTCATCACCACCTGACATTATGAGATGTTTGTTAACCTGCTTATCTGTCCCCAGCACAGGTGAGCTTCCCACGGGCAGGGGCGGGTGGGTCCATGGGTCCCAGGCACTGATACAGACTTGTGGCACAAAATTACAAACCAGTAGAGGTCAGCAACACCCTTGCTCACCTGACTTGCACATTCGGCCCTTCTCTGGGACGAGACAGGAGAGCTGAGCCCCAGGCCCACCTGCAAGGTGGCCTCCCAAAGTGTGCCTAACCTGCCTAGATCCTTCCTAGAAATAGCAGAGGCAGCAATAGCTTTTTTCCCATTCTGCTGCCCAATGGAGTATCTGCCATTGGACAGACCCAAAGAGAGCCAGGGTCCAGGTGACGCTTCCAACTGCTCTCCACTGTCCGCAATAAATACGAAATTTTAAAAACTAGCAATAGTGGTTTTGGTCTTCATGCTCCTGCTGGCACAGATCTGTGTAGATGTCCACTCGGTGCATTTGTCACCCAGATACCTGGCTTGGGAATTTCCTTGCCATCCTGCCTGGGGACTGCCGGGGCTCCAAGCACGGCTCTGTCTCTTCTGTTCCAGCCGTGATCCCCCTGACGGATTCTGAGCACAAGCTGCTGCCTCTGCACTTTGCAGTGGACCCTGGCAAGGACTGGGAGTGGGGGAAAGACGACAACGATAACGCCCGGCTGGCCCAGTAAGATCCTACTCTGTCCCTTTCCCCAGCGCCCACAGGGAGGGCTATGGCTGGGGCATCCTGGGGAGGGAATGTACCACCCCTGCTCCTCCTGGGACAGCTGGCATGCAAGTGGACTGGGTGCTATAAGGGCCAGCTCAGACCATTTCAATAGGATATTCTTCTCTTGCCAGCCTTATCCTGTCGCTAGAAGCCAAGCTGAACCTTCTGCACAGCTACATGAACGTGACGTGGATCCGGATCCCCTCCGAGACACGGGTGAGCCTGGCTGTGCTGGGACCAGACCTGGCAGCAGGGTCCAGGCTGCTCAGCTCCAGTCTGACCAGGGTGCATCCTCCCAAATGCTCCCACACTCTTGCCTGCCCCTGCCCGGCCGCCCACCCCAGCCATACCCACAGCCCAGTAGCTCCTCCACCTCCTTTGACCTAGCCATCCCAGCTGCATGCAGCTGGGGCCACCCTGGCTATGGCTTGAAGTGGCTCTGGCTGGACCTAGTGGCTGTGTACACACATGTAGGCATGTGTGCATGCAAGCATGCGCTCTTGTAAAGGGATTTTTTGTCCCCCTATTTTCTGCAGAAGGAATCAACACGCCCACTCAGAAAACAAGCCACAGGCAAGTCACAACACAAAACTATCTGCTAAGATCAGAACACAATGTGCTGCCGCAGAGCGGAATTAATTACAAACCGTGTGGGTCCTCAAAAAAAGCCAGGGAACTGAGAGCGCGATTCCTCGGCGCCCCCTTCCTCCCCTCCCAGAGGCAGCACACTGGTGGGTGGAGCTGGCAGGAAGGTGAGGAGAGGGGCCTACGCCCCATGAGGCTGCCTGCCTCCAGAGGGTCCGGGGCTGCCCCTGCTTGCAAACGCTGAGGGATTCATTTTAAGCATCTGACTGATTGATGTTTTTTGAAATCTCAGTAGTGAACTGCCAGGGAAAAGGATTTGTAAAAAACAGCCTGCAAGTAATTGGTCCTCTCCAGACATTTACTTAAAGTGGGGCTCACAAAGAATTAGTAAAGGAGTGGCATGAGTCAAGGAGTCGGGCGGTGGCCAGCACTGCTCAGTGCTCTCAGACTCCAGCCTCTGCCTGTACGTCATCTCCCAGGGCTCCATGAGGCAGGGACTGATACCCCATTTTACTGATGGCATAAGTGACAGCCAGTCGGTGGCAGTTTGAGTCCTGCGTCTCAAAGGCCTGGAGCACTCCCGTAGTGCTGTGGCTGTTCTTCTTCAGCACCCACATGGGGAGTGATGGCAGTGGCTCGAGATGTAGAATCAGGAGGCTCTCGGGCTGAGAATAGCTCTGCCTGCAATTGCCAGGCCTCGGTGCCTTCATGTTAGATGCAGGGCTCTCAGCAGACAACTGTGGGAAGGGTCCTTCCAGCCAGGGACTCCTGAGCCCGCTCTCAGTGCGCTCCTGCTAGCACCAGGCGCACCTCCCTTCCTGGCCCAGCCCGAGTGTCCACCCTTTAGTGTCTCACGCACCAGTCTGAGACACTTCACACCTTCCTATCCCAGGTGGGAAGGGGAAAGGAATGTCAGAGTGGGAGGTGGTGAGGGTCAGTTCTGCCCACCTTTGCTTTGGGGTGACCTGGTCACAGGAGAGTCACCGACTCTTGAACTTGCTTGAAGGGTTTGAGGGGGGGACAAAAATTAAGTGGGAGAGCAATGGGCCTTCTCCCAGGCTCATCCCCTGGAAGCCAGGGACGCCTGTTCAGGTATGAGCACCAGTTCCTGCAGCACCCAGCGGCCAGCATGATGGGCCCTGCCTCTCGTCCAATGACACTCGGTCAGAATTCTCTCCTCACCCAGGGAGGTCCCTACAGAGTAGTAGTAGGTGCTGCCTGCCTCTCTGCTCTCCCACCTCTTTTCTCAGGGTCCCCCCACCCCAGATATGGTCGTGCCCCCCTCAGACTGGTTGACCTCATCAGTGGGTCTCATCCAAGAAGTGCTCCCCAGCGTCACCCCACCCCACCCAGGGGGACTTTTCTGGGAATGGGAACATCTTTTTTGCTGAGCGCAGGCCTATTTCAGAATCCTCCTCAATTTAGCATTCCACCTTGCCAAACTGAGTGAGAAAGGAACTCCTGAAGCGATTTGGCATCCCTGAATCAAGGGGGTGTTTGATCCAAGATCCGATGAATGAGGTTGAGTGCAAGGTTTCTGTCCCATGCCTGGCGTGAGGTGAGACATCTTTTCAGAGGAGGCACTTTTGTGCAGGCCCAGTGTCCTCCCCACCTGAAGGCCTCCATCCTTACAGAGGCCAGCCTGGGACCTGTGTCTGGTCAAGCAGGCGGCCTTGCCAGTGGGGGAAGGCCAGAGTCTGAACCTGACCGTTCTAAATTGTGACAAGGCTCTGGGGACCAAGACCAAGTAGGGTATCTGCACCCTGCTGCAATACCCTACTCAGGGTTCCAGGGTACCAAGTACCTGAGGTCCCCCAGAGAGAAAGAATGAGTACACCCCAGCTTCCCTGGCCAGAAGACACACGCAGTTAAGAGGTCCCTACATCCTTTTACTACCGCAGCAGATCAGAGCCCACTCCTATCCGCTCCTTCAGCACCGCCCATCCGGATGTCACAGTCACCAGAGCGACAGTGGGGACTGGGACAGTGAAGGTCCAGGGCCCTAGCCTCGGCAACACAGGGGCAAGGTGTGTCTTCCTCGCTGGCGCGTGGACAGCTCTTCTCTAACCACCTTCGATCCGGCCCTCCCTCTCCACACAGGCGCCCCTGGCACAGCCGGAGTCTCCCACGGCCTCGGCAGGGGAGGACGTGCAGTCCCTGGCCGACTCGCTGGACTCGGACCGCGATTCGGTGTGCAGCAATTCTAACAGCAATAACGGCAAGAACGGCAAGGACAAGGAGAAGGAGAAGCAGCGCAAGGAGAAGGACAAGACGCGCGCCGACTCCGTGGCCAACAAGCTGGGCAGCTTCAGCAAGACGCTGGGCATCAAGCTGAAGAAAAACATGGGCGGCCTCGGCGGCCTGGTGCACGGCAAGATGGGCCGCGCCAACTCCGCCAATGGCAAGAACGGGGACTCGGCCGAGCGGGGCAAGGAGAAGAAGGCCAAGTCGCGCAAGGGCAGCAAGGAGGAGTCTGGTGCGTCGGCCAGCACGTCGCCGTCGGAAAAGACCACGCCGTCGCCCACAGACAAGGCAGCGGGCGCGTCGCCGGCGGAGAAGGGCGGTGGGCCGCGGGGCGACGCCTGGAAGTACAGCACGGATGTGAAGCTGAGCCTCAACATCCTGCGCGCCGCCATGCAGGGGGAGCGCAAGTTCATCTTCGCCGGCCTGCTGCTCACCAGCCACCGGCACCAGTTCCACGAGGAGATGATCGGCTACTACCTGACGAGCGCGCAGGAGCGCTTCAGCGCCGAGCAGGAGCAGCGGCGCCGCGACGCCGCTACTGCGGCCGCCGCTGCCGCCGCCGCCGCCGCCGCCACGGCCAAGCGGCCGCCGCGCAGACCGGAGACGGAGGGCGTGCCGGTCCCGGAGCGCGCCTCTCCGGGCCCACCCACGCAGCTGGTGCTCAAGCTCAAGGAGCGGCCGAGCCCCGGGCCCGCGGCAGGGCGTGCGGCGCGGGCGGCGGCGGGCGGCACGGCCTCCCCGGGGGGAGGCGCGCGGCGTGCGAGCGCCAGCGGACCAGTGCCTGGCCGCAGCCCCCCGGCGCCAGCGCGCCAGAGCGTCATCCACGTGCAGGCGTCGGGCGCGCGGGACGAGGCGTGCGCGCCGGCCGTGGGGGCGCTGCGGCCGTGCGCCACGTACCCGCAGCAGAACCGCTCGCTGTCGTCGCAGAGCTACAGCCCGGCGCGCGCCGCCGCCCTGCGCACCGTCAACACGGTCGAGTCGCTGGCGCGCGCGGTGCCCGGGGCCCTACCGGGCGCGGCGGGGACGGCGGGGGCGGCCGAGCACAAGTCGCAGACCTACACCAACGGCTTCGGCGCCCTGCGCGACGGCCTGGAGTTCGCCGACGCCGACGCGCCGACCGCGCGCTCGAACGGTGAGTGCGGCCGTGGCGGCCCGGGGCCGGTGCAGCGGCGCTGCCAGCGCGAGAACTGTGCGTTCTACGGGCGCGCCGAGACCGAGCACTACTGCTCCTACTGCTACCGCGAGGAGCTGCGGCGGCGGCGCGAGGCGCGCGGGGCCCGGCCCTGAGCGGCGCGGCGCGGCGCGGGCGGCGAGGTTCTACCTTCGAGGATTTCTTTTCCATTGTGTCGGTGTCTTTTTTACATGCCCTGGTCCACCGGAAGGCCGGCGCCTCCTCTGTCAGTGCCGTGTACGTGTTTGGTCAAACGTTCCTAATGGTGCCTGAACCTACACTGACGCCACTCAGGTAGTAGACGGATAGGAAACAAGTCATACTGTTGGAAGTGGGTGTGCTAGCCTAGCATCTGCCTCGTACCTGTGGAAACTCAATAGCCATTGCAAGAGTATTTTTGTTCCTCAGTAAGAGAAATAAAGAAATTCGCAGCCCTTTGTTTTAAGAAGGGAGTGTTTTACATGCTTTTTTTGCTTTTTTTTTTTTCTCCTACCCTAGCGATGACCTCTTCCAGGTAGCGGTCCCTTGTGCGCGGTTGGTAGTACCCAGGGCTTAGAGCGAGCGCGCACCCGGGGCTGCGGTGGAGGCTCCTCTGTGAGCTCTACCTGCCTCCCATCCCGAGGCCTAGGAGAAGGCGGGTACCTGGCCGCCAGCTGACGCCCTGGTGGTCACTGTGGCCCTTTAGAAACACACAGCTCCATTTCATAAGCAAAACCTCCTCCCCCAGCCCCGGCTCAAGCACCATTCACACTGCCATCCAAGCCGCGGGCGGCCGTGGAAAGGGCACTGGACCACCCGTCTCGCGGGCGCCGTGAGGTACAGCGATGGCTCCCAGTGCCGGGCAGTTCAGGTGACAGGAGCTTTCCAAAGACACCTAGGGTCCAAAAAGCAGGGTTCCCATCTCACAATTTGGATTTGCTCATAGAGGAGCAGATAGGACAGGCTGCTCACATTTCTCCTTTGAAGGCACTTCCACAGTGGACTGTCGCTGGCGGGCCCCTGGGCGGTGACCATCGGTGCCCCGGGAGACAGCGAGGAATTGACCCTTTGGTCACTGTGTAAGCCCCCACTAGGCTGCTGCTCTTTCCAAAGGGAAGGGGCTGGGGGAACCAGGAAGGAAGCCCACCCCCACACCTGCATCTGTCTGGGTTCAGCCAGGTAAAGGGACTCACTGTGATCGTGGCCCCTCCACGGGGCAGGACGACCCTGCCTCCGTCTCGTGACACAATGAGGGAGCAGCCCGATCCCTGAGCGGTCTCTTTTTTGGTGCCTCCTACATTTCTTGAGGAAAAAAAAAATGTGTCCTTAGCTACCCTGTTTTGAGCAGCAATATGCAGCCTCTTCCTTCCAAGATTACCTCCGGAGAACACCGTTCTTGGCCAAGGACACTGAGGAGCTAAATCTGCCTCACTAAGGAACGAGCTTGTTTCCAAGAAATGAGGATAAGATGGGTAAAATCCTCACTAACAAAGAATACTATAAAACCTGTGAGAGCCTTAGAATAGCTTCTAATAATCCTAGGACAGGAGAAAGCGCCTGGCTTTGCTGTGAGTGTATCCTCAGAAAAAGCAGGAGGTCGACCATCTCTTCACTGGAGCCAGCTTCTCCTCTAGAAACGATGCTTTTTTCCCTAACTAAAGAGCAGCAAAAACAAAAAAAAAGGGGGGGCGAGGGGATTTTTTTTACTTGTTTGAGAAATTATAATAAAATAATTGAGTATCTCCTGTGAGTAATGCCTTTTTGTTTTTAATTATTCCACAGCAGGTGGAGTTTTCAGTAATTTGTTCAAGTTTTGCATAAGTGGTTCCTTAAATCAAAAATTATTTATTAAATAGGATCTTTAAGAAATTTTTTGAAAGTTTTACTTTTCCTGCTGAACAATATTTTCAATGTGTGGTAATTACTGTACTAACATCCATGTCCCTAATATTACTGGGGTTTCTTTTATTACTCAGAAAACAAAAGTGGTTTTTTAAAAATCTCATGGAGAGGGTCTGTGGCAGCTTTCTGGACTGATTCTTCGTGTCACGCTGAGCAGCTGCTTTGGCATCCAAAGCTGTGGGATCACAGAAAGTGTTGCTTCAGGTGTGGATGCCAGCCACTCCTCATGCTCGTCACTCTTAAAAGATTGAGACACCCAACCTTAAAAATGCTCCAATAATCCATTCAGAAACCAAACTCATATGCACAAGATGTCAAGGAGGCATAAAGTCAATTCTTGCTTGTTTTTTTCATTTCTTAATGTAAAAACAGCCAACCAGAAATTTCTAAAACTGGCTATGCTAATTCAGATATTTTCTTTCTCACGCTATCTGCCAGGTTTGTCTAATTTAAAAAATAAAAAAATAAAACAGAATAAAAACCGTCCATTGTAATAGAGGAAAACCTTCCAAACCAGGCAGAGTACGTAATTATCAAAACACCAGGACCTATTCTACCCTTGCATTTCCAAGTTACCTCCACCCATCACCATCTGATGACAGATGTGCCCTAAATAAGAGCCTGAGATAAAGCCACTGGCTGCATCCTGCACCCCAGCTTCTCAATGTGGTAACGAGGCGCCAGACGCCTGTAGACACCTGCTCCAGGCTGATACATTACCACTCAGTCCACATGACTTAGGAATAGCCATTTCCTTTTGTGAGAGAGCTGGATCCATCCTTCCTCTAAACAGTATTAAAAATGCAAAAGGGAGAGAGCGGATGGTCATATTAAATGTGCTAGTCCCGTGCACCGACAGCATGCTCCTTGAGAAGAGGCGTGTAGACCTCGTCCCTGGCCAGAGACCAACTTCAGCAGGCTGGCCAGAAACTATTAAAAACTGTGTTGACTGCATGTGGGCCAAGGGCTTCCCTCGTGTTCCATGGCGTGAGGGCCCTTTGTGGAGCAGGGAGAAAGGGAAGAAGGTGAGTCCTACCGGGGTGCATGGCCCTGCTGCCCTAGCTGACCCTGCCTGAGAGCAGCCTTCCCCACCTGATCTGGCCACACTTCCCTTTCTAGGAAGGACAGGTGTCTCCAAGGGACTGCAGGTTTCCAGAGGATCCCAGATACTTCTAAACCCCTGCGAAGGTTATTTCAGAAATTTACTTTACATTTCCTGCACATTTGTTATCTGGGTAAATGATTTTTTTAAAATATTGTTAAGGGAAGGTGTTTTTCAGTGTATTCTGTTGGTAGACTTTATGCTGTGTTACGTTGAAATTTTACAAGCCAAGTTTAAACTGTACTATAAAAATTATTTTTGTATTATTTTCAGAACATGCCACAGAGCAATATTTTGCACCCGTTATTGCCACAGGGTTGTCCCTTGGAAGGGTAACTGGAGGTGGGAAGGAGCTCCACTGTGGGCTCCGGGGGGTTAAACGCTTTTTGCTGCTTGTTCAAATACCTTCTGAAAGTGGGAATGTATCAGTGTCTTTTTTTATTGAAAGCTTGATTTCCTTTTTTCTGTTCATGGATTTTGGTACTGCACCTTTCCTCTTAAATGAATACTTTGTATTCACTAAATTACTGTGGACCTTTTCATACCTATTACCACCCAGTGGCATTTGAATCTATTTACAAATCGAATGTTTTCCCAAATGATTTAATTTACTACTTCTCGTAGCTTACTGTCAAGAATTGGGGGTGCTGAAGATAAAAGGACTCTCCATGCCCCCCAGGTGCACACCTCAGGGTGTGGACATCCTCCATGCAGAGCCCGCCCTGTCTCTGGGGAGGGGTCATGGGCCCATCACCCCCCCCCCCCACTTAGTGTCCACAAACTTATTTTGCGAACTATTCTACTTTGCAAAAATAAACTTAAAATATACTTCCCATTGGTTAAGATAAAAGGGCTGTACTTATCAGTGGTGGGAAATTTGTACAAGAAAAAACAGACTTTTCCAAATCCATGTGTGTAAGTTCCATTCCATGTGAGTCTTTTATTTACGAAGAGACCTGGAGTAAAAGCTGAAGGCATCTACTGTATGTTTGGGGCTCCTTTCTTTATGGCCATGATTTTTTTTCTCCTCATCTTGGTGTGGACTTTAAAATTAAGTACCCCCAGTGTTCTGTCCTTTTTCTTTCCTCAGTGCTTCTAATAGATAAGAAGAAATGTGTTTCTGTGGCTGAGCAAGCCCTGCTGGGCCAGACAGACCTTACCAGCCCTGGCTTCATCCTCGCTGGGCTGCAGAGGCGGCCCCTGCTCTAGTTGAGTCCGGTTCTGCTGCCAGCTGAGGACAGACACACCGTATGAAGGGCCTAGAGGTGGCTGGCATGCCAGGGAGCAGGTGGCCCCTTCCAAAACGCCTTAAAGTGGTGGCTCTCTAGAGATCTGAGGCACCACCTTCCCATTTACTCCTGACTCTAAACTCTAGCTGGCCTGTTTTAGTGTGGCTGGCCGGGGCAGTGACCAGCGCTCAGCTTTGTTCTTGTTTAATTCAAGTCCACCCTGTTGCCCGTGTCCTCTCCACAGCTCTGGGTCTGTTGGCCCGGAGTGTATTTCTGCCAGTGCTGCCTCACTGACTCGGGAGTGGGTCCTGGGTAGTTCACGATAGAGAGGCCAGCACACGCCATGGGGAGAGCCCCCCACGCTCACCCCAGGAGGCCCTGCGGCACATCCAGGCTGGACCACTCTGCAAGCTTCTGTCACAAAAGACAGCTCCGGGCACTGTGCAAATTGGCCTGTTAGCAGTTATGCAGGTCCCTTCTTTGCCAAAAGATCTATTATTCCTCCCCACTGCACCCCCAGCAGAAAAGAGCGAGGGAGATGCCCTGCAGGGACCCCTTGGGAACAACAGTTATGTGCAGTCTGTGCAGTATGAAGAACTTGGCCCCACCAGGCTGAGCCGAAGACACACGTAGTTGCAGAGTAGCACTGAAGCCATCATCTCCAACCATGCTAGTAATGTTACTGTTTCTATTTATTTTGCCAAATGATTTGTTGAAAATTGCATTTTTGCTATTTTAATCTTGCCAAAAAAGGGGGCCTCACTAATCCTAATTATGTACATACAGAATGATGCACATTGCTTGCATCTTTTTATTCCTCCCAAAGAGCATATCAAGGATATATATATACATAATTTGTTAGTTTAACATAAGGCGAAGAGTACCATTTGGTTTTAAGAGTAAATATAGGCTGAATTTATTCAAGACCAAAGCAACCTATTTAATGAGGACAAATGAGTGAAACCAGCTGTTTTAGAATTTATCTGCAGACACTGGAGTGCTCCTTTAAACGAAGAAACAGCCTCCCATGGCAGAGGAAAAGCCAGGTCCTTACAAAGGCCTCTCCCATCCCAGTACTTCTTCTGCCTGCTGCTCTGCCCTGGGACGTAGGCCTTCCTGCCGTTTCTAGTCACAGGCACCCTCCTGCCTCAGGGCCTTTGCACATGCCATTCCTTCTACCTGAACATTCTTCCCCAGAGAGCCACATGGTTCACCCCTCACTACCTGCCAGTCTTTGCTCCAATGTCACCTTTCAACGAGGCCTTCCCTGACTTATTTAAAAGGACAACACACCCCACCCTCCCTCCCTACCCACCTCTCTGCATCTTCTTCTTGTGCACCTATCACCATCTGAGTGCTGCAGATGTTAATCATTCATCCATTTATTTGATTCTCGCCTCCCCATCTCCCATAGACTGTAAGCTCCATGTGGGCAGGAACTTTTATATGTCTTGCTCATTGCTGTATCCTGGTGCCTACAACAGTGCCTGACACATATTAGGCACTGGATAAGTATTTATTGAAAAAAGGAAATTAAATCAGTAAATTGAAAACTATTAAGAGGCCAGAAAATGTCAATTTCAGCTTTCATCAAATCTAGGTTCTATTATTGTGAGAACTTTAGCTGACCCAGTGACCTGGCTCCTATGGGTACAAGATGGTTAGATACACCGGGCAGCAGCGGTGGCTTCTGTTCACAGACAAGTGAATGCCTGCCCTGCCGCTAGCCCCACCTCACAAATATGAGGCTCACTGTTCGCAGGGGAGCATTTTGGAACCAGCTGGGATGAAGACAGTTTTCTGCAGGTAGCTTTTGTAGCCAGATGCACAGTAGTGGGTTCCCATCACTCCATGAGGTCACTGTAGACCTGGACCATTCCAGAGAATCCTTTGTAATCAGTCTTTAGGTGTCTCCCAGTCCTTCCCAGTTCAACACGGGTGGCAGCAGATGGCCCAGCCCAGGGAAAGTCCACCTGACCATTAGAAGGACTCATCCTCCAGCCACCAAAGCAAGGCTGCAGAGGAAGAGGAGCTTGTCACAAACATTAACCGGCTCAGGGCTGGGTAACTGCATTGACAAATTTGGAAGCAGCAGGGCCAGAGAGCCAAGGCCCCCGGGTATCCCCATTGGCCACTGGTGGAGGTGCACTGGAAGGTCAGGGCCTTGACACCACAGAGCCAAGCAACACACACCTCCTTGGGCCCAGGCCCCAGCACGGTGGCCCTCCAGTGCTGGCAGGTGGCCTCACCCACAGCAGGGGAGGCGTGGGTCCTCCAATGACCTTCCTGCCCCTGCCAGATGATTTTCACAACTACCTAACTTTGGTGTTTACTTCTAGGTCCTTTGGCCAAATGCGTTTTCTTCTAAGAGTTGTTGGCAAAATACTGTTACAAGCTTCTTATGGGACTTTTGTCCTACTGTGGCCTGGTTAAAGGCTTTGTCCTCCTGTTTAATCCACTTCCGTGGTTTTGCTGTCATTTCTCTTGATGCCATATTTTCAGGTCCCTCGTGGGAGGGGGCATAAGGTCTCCATCGTGATGCCCTCTCTGCAGCTGTCCAGCCAGCAGTGAGTGGGCCCACACATGTGCATTCCTGTGCTTGAATTGCCAAATAAACAGTGTCCCTTTCATTGCTGCCCAAACAGACTGGAAGCCTGCTCCTGCCAGCACTCAGGGAGGGAGTGTGTGCTTCCCAAGAGCCTGCCCCCTTGGCCCATGCAAACTTTCTCCATGGCAGGTGTCCGTGAAGGTCTCCCAGGCCCTATGGGCTGTCCAGCTCTTTGCACACATTCTTCCCGCTTGCAGGAATGGAATCCAAACACCTGATACGGAATGATGACTTGGCAGTGGGGAGTGGGGCAGCTTGTCTCCGCTAACTTAGGACCAAAACTAGGAAACTCACCATGAGCATGTGTTGGAGATCAGCTGTGGCCTCCAGCCCCTGTACACACAGAGGCAAGCCCCACCTCTGACAGAGCCAGTCACCGTTCAGTAGGAGCTTGTCTTCCCTGGGCCCCCAGGTGGGAAAGGCTGGGCTCTTAGTCCTACAAGTAAAGGCGCTGTTAGGAGCAAGGAGCAGGCTTAGCTGGGTCCACAGAGGGACTAAGCTCCTTAGTGACCTGTTACTGCCTCATCTACGGAGTTTGAACTCCATTCACCATCACCTTTGAGAATTTGGCCTTGTTTTAACTAAGGATTGTTGAAGTTAATTATAACAAGGGACCATCCTCACCCTGTGTTTGCTTTGTTCCATTAAACGTGCGTTTGGCCTAATGAAGTCAGTGAATGTTCCTCTTTTTTCTTTTTTGGTTTCTTTGACTGATTTTTGGATGATATATGTTGCTTTATTTCTCCCATTTTCTTTGATTACTGTGGACAAAGGAAAACACTGAGGCAAAAGTAGGTCGTCAATCACATTACTTTGACCCAGTTGTGCAGAACCCCTTTCTACCTGCAGGTGTTAATTCCAATTCAATGCAAATATCCTTTTCAATCCGGTCCATTCTTGGAGAAGAAACCCATTGTAAGAGCTGTCTTCTGTGGTTGGGATATTACTTTGTAAAGTATTAAAGCACTAAACCAGTTTTTGCAATATGTAGTAAATCTTGCTTTCATTTTGGAAAACTTCCAGTAATGACTACTGCACTTTTTATAGAAGAATTGTATTTAATTTCTTTCTTTTATGAAAGATTATTTCAAGTAAAAATAGCTCTGTAATCTGTGTGACATGGCTTCTCCATTACCTGACACAGAGAGAAGCTTTGATGCCTACTCAATAAAATTAACATGTTTGTAAAGTATTGGTTGGTCCAATTATTTGCCCACTGACTCCTGTGTTCTTGGTAAAATGCCATCTAAGAAAAGCTTTATTGCCAAGAGGAAGAGGACTATATCAGACATCCATCCATACCAGTTTTGTTTTGTTTAAGTGTTTTCCCAGCCAGATGAGATGTAAACCCAGTTGTCACCATTTCATTCTCTTTTTTTTTTTTTTTTTTTTTTTTTTTGTTTGAGACGGAGTCTAGCTCTCTGTCACCCAGGCAGTGGCGTGATCTTGGCTCAGTGCAACCTCTGCCTCCCAGGTTCAAGTGATATTCTCCTGCCTCAGCCTCCTGAGTAGCTGGGATTACAAGTGCGCACCATCATGCCCAGCTAATCTTTTTTTTTTTTTTTTGTATTTTTAGTAGAGACAGGTTTTCACTACTCTGTTGTTGGCCAGGCTGGTCTCAAACTCCTGACCTCAAGTGATCCACCTGCCTCAGCCTCCCAAAATGCTGGGATTACAGGCGCGAGCCAGCACGCCTGGCCAAGTTTCATTCATATAAGAGGAAAATAGTTTCTCTCCTTTCTAAAATGACCATGACACATTCTATCTGGATGAAAGCTGTATTTAGTCTGTTTTCACACTCCGGATAAGGACATACCTGAGACTGGGTAATTTCTAAAAAAAAAAGAGGTTTAATGGACTCACAGTTCCACGTGTTTGGGGAGGCCTCCCAATCATGGCAGAATGCAAAAGGCAAGTCTTACGTGGCAACAAGCAAGAGAGAATGACAGCCAAGTGAAAGGGGAAACCCCTTATAAAACCATCAGATCTCATGAGACTTACTACCACGAGAACAGTATGGGGGAAACCGCCTCCATGATTCAATTATCTCCCACCAGGTCCCTCCCACAACACATGGGAATTATGGGAGCTACAATTCAAGATGAGATTTGGGTGGGGGCGCAGCCAAACCATATCAAAAGCTGAATAGGGTTGTCCTTAACATGTCTTCACCAGAGGTTGCAACCATAAGCAAGAGAATGGCAGCTGGGAGCATAGAGGAGGAGGAGGAGGATTTTGCCGTGAATTTTTATCTGTGAGTGCTCTTCTATGGAGGAGAGGCGCTGCCTCTGTAAAAGAAAGAAGCCCCCTCAGGAAGCTGTGGGTGGGGTCCAGGCCACAGGCCTATCTAAAGAAGGTGTGATGCACCCAGGACTCAGTCCCAACCCACTGTGTGCCATGCACTGGGACAGTGATGGAGGAGGTAATGACAGGGTCTCACGCACTGAATAGGCATCATTGGGGGGTGGCACATTCTGTGCCTAGTGGAATTCAATCCATGCAGCAACCGTGTGAGATAGCAAAATCTCTGTGTTGTAGAGAAGAAAAGTAAGGTTTGGCGAGGTAAGTCGTAAAGCCAGGATTCCAGCTCAGGTGTGTCTGACATGAGGGTCTGTGCTCCCAGCATCAGAGTACATTGTCATCCTGAGGAATGGGCAAGGCCCCTGCCCAGGAGGAGCTCAGAGTCTGGGGGATGGTGACACCCAAGTCCATCTGGCTCCAGGTGGGGGGTGAGTTAGCACAGATGGGAGAAGGACAGGAAAGATACCTGGCAGGGCTGTGGGATTTGCTGGAGCCATGGCCACTACATACCCATGGAATCCTGTTAAGGCCAATGGGACCATCCGTTTCTGGCTCTAATGTTTTTCTACACGAGGAAACAGGAAACTGTTCTTAGTTTGTTCAGGACAAGCAGAGAATCCCGTATGAAAGACAAAATACTGCATTTGAAGCTTTGAAATGTGCTTAGAAGACTATATAGGATGGTGGTAGGAACCCTGGATTGGGCTGGCCCCAGAATTGACCTTGAGGAAGGCATCTCACCCCTCCAGCCCCAGGTTTCTGTTCTGTAAAAAGCGACTCAAGGCTCTTGAAGTTTCCCCACCAAATCAAAAAATCTGTGTATTATTTAGAAAAACAGAAGTCACCTCAGTTATTTTGACAGAGAATTTAGTATAGGAAACTAGTCAAGCAGGTATTGGAAGCCTAAAAAACACAAAAAGGAGACATACACGTCCCACGGAGAGAACATACAGGAAGCAGCTTCCTCACAGGGTCAGGGGCAAAGCAAAGAGAGCATGTTGTTAAAATCCACAGGCAGATAGGGCAGGGCTCCACCGCGTTGAGGTCAGACCTTTGAAAAGGGAGCTCTTCCCAGCTGGTGCCTGTGCCTCAGGAAGCCAGAGGGGGAGGCTCGCAGTGCTAGGCTCAGATCACCAGGGAGGGGTTGCCGGTGTCTCAGTAGAGGCTGTGATTTGGCCACTTCTTTCCTGTGGGGGGAAGAATGAAATTGAAACAAACTGCAGCTAGCAAGTGAAGAGCTGTTGCTAAGACAACATTGAGAGAAACTGGAAGCAAAAGGAATGAGCAAGTCCTTATGTGTCTTGACCCACCTACACACATGCATATATATGCATGTATGCATGTATGAACGTACATGTATGTGTGTATACACGCACACTGAGCAAGAAGAAAGATAGGCAAATATGCCTCCCTACTGCAGGCCCCCCTGGAACTGAAGCTGGCCACAGAGCACTGTTGGTGTTTGAAACTACCTTCTTCCATAACCATTCCATGTTGGCTTTGCTCTCAGGCAGACCTCAGGTTGTTGGGATTCTTTACCTGAAGGACAATCCAAACTTTCATTCCTGTAGATGCTGAGTCCTCACAAGCCCTTTTTTTCAATGCCATCATTTACCATTAACTTATTTTTGGATGTGGACAAAATTAAAGGCACCCCAAAGAGTCCCCTAGATTTCAGACATCATTTATTGGCCCCCATTATGTAGCAACAACTCATTCAGTCACCCAGCCAATAGAGTAACGACTTTCTTTGCATTGATTCACCTAGCTCAGAAGCCCAAAATGGCCAAGTCTCAGCTCCAGGTTCAGCGAAATCACTGTGCTGCCTTTTGGGAAGCTCCCTGGGGAAGTAAGAACTACAAAACAGAAAAGCGCTAAGGTGTGGAGCAGGGGAGGTATAGATTCTTGGTTACGAGGTATGGGGCAGGGGCAGGTACAGATTCTTGGTTACAAGGCTTCATAGTGACAAGAGCTCCTCATATGCCCACCTCTTGTTTCCCAGACCATGTGTTCCGGCCATGGGATCATCATATGGCAGACCATATGGCAGTTGCTGATTCAAATCCCAAACTCCATCTGTAAGGTAGAACTCCGACCTTTCAGGGAGCTGTCTCCCTGCTGGCATACTAACTGAGTCTTCACTAGGCAGGACCACAGCACTATCAAGCCAGCTGCTTCTGGGTCAGTGGGATGTGGAGTAAGTGAAATCCTTGTGCATGATCTCATTGCTTTAAAATTGAAATTCTTCATCAGAAGTAACACTGTGTAGAATACCACAGCGATGAATAAGGCACTCTTTAAGTCCACGATAGTGGCTTTTGGCAGCAGCATTGCAGACAGGGAAAGCAAATCTGAATCCAGGGCACACCTATTCCAGTGAGGGAAAATTATTTTCCTTTATGAAGGGGTCCAGCTGGCCAACAGGAATCTGGCTGGCCCTCCCCAGGAATGCACCACAGGGGAGGCTGTCAGAAGATCACTCCAACAAAGCAGTGGTGGCCTCCAGGCTGGCCTTGGCAAGAGGAAATTCATGTCGTGTTCATTCACAGCCTCCATCCCTGTAATCATGGTCCTGGGCGCATTGAATAAACATCAGGATGGCTGGTGGGAGGGTCAGCTAGCATCACAGAGCATGCTTTCTTGTCCACCTGAGTCTCAAGAGCCTCCTCTGCACAGGGAGCTCCTGGTGAGCATAAACATGCCACCCAAATATTTCCAGTCTCTCTACACCTTCTGAGCGATCCATCCACATACATCCTACTCCACCTTCCCGTACATACATCTGTTACCATGCTTCCTTGTCACCAACCTTGGAATCCTGTTCTTTCCAAGTTCCTGAGCATCTAGTCAAATTGTTTTCACCTGCCCATGAATCAGTGTAAATCATGGTTTTTCAATAGTGGCACTATTGAAATTTGGGGACAGATCATTCTTTTCTGTAGGGAACAGTCCTGTGTGCATTGTAAGATGTTCAGCAGCATCACTAGCTGACTGTGGTGGTTAGTTTTACGTGTCAACTTGACTGGGTTAAGGGATGCCCAGCTAGCTGGTAAGCCATTATCTCTGGGTGTGTGTGAGGGTGTTTACAGAAGAAGTTAGCATTTGAATCCATAGACTGAGTAAAGATGGCTCTCAGCAATGTGGGTGGGCCTCATCCAAATCGTTAAGGGCCCACATAGAACAAAAAGGCCCCTAGAGGAAGGTTGAGTTTACACTCTCTGCTTGAACTGAAACATCAATCTTCTCCTGCCCTTCTGCTGGCTCTCCAGCCCTCAGACTGAGACCAGACTTACACCATTGGCCTCCTTGGTTCTCAGAGCTTTGGGTTCAGACTGATGCTACATCAGGGGCTTTCCTGGGCCTCCAGCTTGCAGGTGCAGCTCATGGGACTTCTTGGCCTCCACAATCACGTAACCAAACCCCTCATAATAAATCTGTTGTTTTTGTGTATCTCTCTATATTCCATTGGTTATGCTTCTCTGGAGAACCATGACTAATATACTGACCTCCACTCACTGGATGCCAGTAGCACCCCCACCTAGTTATGGCAATCGAAAATGTCTCCAGACATTGCCAAATGTCCCTGGGGACTGGAACTGGAGAGCACCCACTGCTGAGAATCACTAGTGTAGGTTAATTCTTCTGGCTGTCTTTCGGTCCAGAAAAGCGAGAGCCATTTGTTCTGTTCAAGCGCCATCCACTGGGACAATTTCCCTTCCCTGCCATCTTCCAAGGACACTCCAGAATTCCCAGGGCCCACTCTCAGCTGGTACCCACTATCCCAGATAACCATCTGAAGGCTGGTCTCAGCCATTTGGTCACGGGAGTTTCTGTGAGCCACAGACAGATTGAGAGAGGAGTCAACACAAGCAGGAGTGCATGTCACAGGGGTCTCAGCCACCTGTTCACACACTGACACGTGCCTTCTGGATTTTCTCCAACCCATCCTCTCATACCCGATCTTCACTTGATGACAGCTTACAGCTGCATGTGCCCAACCTTATGGATGGGCGGGTCAAGTAACACCCAGTATTTGATGGCCAGCTTAGTATTGCAGAGTCAGCTGATGTCCCCGGTCATCTGTTCAGTCCTTACCAGGACCCAGGGGTACGCCAGGAGCTGCTTTTTAGAAAGCAGAATGTATATATAGAAGAAGGCATGGGTTTGCTCCAGAATATGGAGTTCAATACTACAGTTCACCTCCTGGAGCTCTCTGCTATGTTGCTGTTGGCCACAAACACTTGAGCACCACTGAATCTGTTGGGTGATGAGGCCCAGGGGACCCCACCTGCAACTGGTAGTCTCAAAGTCACCCTGGTCAATGCATTGGGATAGCACCCCCAAATCATGTATAGGATGCCTTCAAAATGCAAAAAGTCTCAGCAAGCATCATGCCTCATTTTGGGGTATGACCTCTTATCTTTCACTTTCTTGGGGTGTCCTGAAATGCTCCACAGGATCCTCAGCCACTTCACCAAGTGGGTGAGCCCCTGAGCATTTATGGGGTTCATCTCCTACTTTTGTGTCTTACCAAGGTGATGGCAGTGGCTGCTGCCATCACACTGGCTGCAGAAGGGAGGTGGCTGGGGCTGCACACTCCATGGAGCTGGTGGGAGCCCTGCGTTTCTGAGTTGGGGCAGAAGCTCCCTGAAAGTCGCTGTGGCCGCCCAACCCACAGCTGCAGACCCAGGCCTCCTGTGCTTCGAAGAAGGCAGGAGCCCCGCCCTCCTGGACAAGGCTACAGCCGTCCAAACTGTAGCTGTGCTTCCAAGCCTCCCTGTGCTCTTGGAGGGGGGCAGGAGCAGGTAGGAGCTGCCCTCCTGGGTGCAGCTGCCTGAGCGGCGGCTGCAGACCTGGCCCTCCTGCTCCACAGAGCAGGAAGGCGCTAGGGACAAGCAGGACCCCCGCCCCTTCCAAGTTGGTGGGGCGGGAGCTCTCCAGGTGCAGCTGCAGCCCTCCCAGGTGCTGGACGGGGGCATCTCTGCAGCCTGTAGCCTCGGCCCCCATCCTCCATCCCTGCAGGCTCAGGGGTGTCTGCTTCCACTGCCTGGCCCCTCTCCTCTCTGGCACCTGCTCCAATCTCGAAGCCGGGTTGGGGCCAAGCCCTGGGGCCACGAATGGCAACGGAAGGCCTGGGCAGAAGTCGGGGGCGGGGGGTCCCTGTAAGACCCCACCTTCAGGTCAAGGAGGGCCTGAAGGCTGGGGCCGGGCTACCAGTCCCACGGACCAGAGTGGGGACTCGTGGTGCCTCCTCTGGCCCACCCATGGCCACCAGTGGACCAGTCAGCATGCACTTCCTCCCCTCTGAGGTCCATAACAGCCCTGCTCTCAGCCAGAGCAGGACAGAGGACGGTCAGCCAGAGGCCGGAGAGATGATGGGATGACCAACTGCAGAGAGGAGCTACTCACTGTGGGTCTTCTCTGAGCTGTTCTAATACTAAATAAAGTTCTTCGTCTTCTTCACCCTTCACTTGTCTGCGTACCTCATTCTTCCCAGATGCAGGATGAGAACTCGGACAAAGACGCCATGGAGGTTTCCAGGAAGAAAATCAACACCAATCAACTCCCCAAAGATCCCGAAACAAAGGATCCTAATGTACTTGCTACTCCCGTCCCATCAGGACCAATCAGCATAGTGTCAATGGTGTGGCCCACTATGGTTTTCTGTGGCATCTCTGTGGATGCTATCATGGCAGAGAGAGCAGGAAAACTGGCATAACCCTGAGGCAAACTGGGAAGGGGTGCTGTGGGTGCCCTAGACACGAGCAGACTGTTTCTGGTGTTCCTGGAAATTGACATAGAGATTAAGAGCCAACTCTCAGTGCTGCGGGGCTGCAACTGTGGCTCCCAATGAAGAAGCTTCAGGCAAGGTGCCGTGGCTAACACCTGTATTCCCAGCACTTTGGGAGGCCAAGGTGGGTGGGTTACCTGAGGTCAGGAGTTTGAGACCAGCCTGGCCAACATGATGAAACCCCATCTCTACTAAAAATACAAAAATTAGCTGGGCATAGTGGCATGTGCCTGTGATCTCAGCTACTCGGGAGGCTGAGGCAGGAGAATTGCTTGAACCCAGGAGGCGGAGGTTGCAGTGAGCCTAGGTTGCACCACTGCACTCCAGCCTGGGCAACAGAGTGAGACCCAGTCTCAAAAAAAAAAAAAAAAGAGGAAGCTTCATCCAGAACAGCAGCTGCAATTGGAGTCACCAGCTGGTTACCTTCACTCTGAAGCACTGTATTTCCCCAAGACGCGTCTGTCTTCATTAGAGGTTAAGCAGGCCAGGGAAGCAGAGACATAATAGGAACTTGCACCCTGAAATCTCTCCAGTAGTTGATAGCGGCACTAATCTCTGCAACTCCCCTAGGATGTGGGGTTAATTACTTTTGATTTACTATTGAAGTAGGGAGGGAAAATTCCCTTTCTTTCCACTTTCCCTTTCTTTCCACTTTCTACCAAAATGGCATTCACTCCGTGGCAGAAGAGCCAATGTGGGGGCTCTGTGGGGGCTCTGCTGGTTGCCGAGTGGAACTATTTCAATTGTACATTCAGAAATGGGAGACATGACCCCTGGAGAGCCCGCAGACACCGTCCCATGGAAATTCACACCTGGGACCAAACACTTTTTATCATCTGACCTCCATAAGCCCCCACTTTGACTGCTGGGCCATGGTAGTGTCTTGAAGTCCCCCAGATCGGTGACATCTCAGAGCCAGTGCCAGGTAATCACCAGATTATCAAGGCGTTCCTTTCCCCTGCCGTAATTCAGGAGGAGACATTTGTTAGAACAACTCTTTTTGCCCCAGGGCACAGTCACCCTAGAGAAAAGCCACAGGCTCATGGGCAGTAGGCATCTGGGGTAACATGGCCGGGTCCCTTCTCCAGGGACTTTTCTCCAGGGGGCCTGGCTCACGTTTAGTCAAGGAGCTCCATACCTGTCAGGTGGCTCTGGAATTCTGGAAAACCTGATGCACTGCTGTGAGTCTACAATATGGCTACCTAAGTAAGAAATTTCACCTTCAAATCTGCAGTGTTTTCCAATAAAATTAATTTTATTGAGGTGTATTTTATATACAGTAAAATACACAAATATCAAAGTATACTCTGATTAATTTTGGCAAAGACACCCCCCAGGTCATCATCACAGCCAAGATACAGAACATTCCCACCACCCCTGAGACCCTCCTGCCCTTCCCACTGCCCCCTGCCCTCAGAAGCAGCGATTGCACAGGTGTGCTCACTTTAGATTTATTCTGTATAAACCTCATGCAGCATGTGCCATTTCTAGTCAGTTTTCATTTGCTCAACCTGAGGTTTCTGAGATTCATTGCGATTGTTGTGGGTTTCAGCAGTTTGTAATGTTTTTTGATGAATAGTCTCCTATTGCATTGGCCACACCACCATTTGTGTTTGTTTTCTTATTAATGGACATTTGGGTTATTTCCAGTTTGGGAATAAAGCTGCTATGAACATTTGTGAGCATTTGGTAGACACAGGCTTTCAGTTCTTCTGGATAAATACATAGAGTGGGCCGGACGCGGAGGCTCTCTCACCTGTAATCCCTACACTTTTGGGAGGCTGAGGCGGGTGGATCACCTGAGCTCAGGAGTTCCAGACCACCCTGAGCAGCATGGTGAAACCCCATCTCTACTAAAATACAAAAAAATTAGCCGGGGCCAGGCGCGGTGGCTCACGCCTGTAATCCCAGCACTTTGGGAGGCCAAGGCAGGTGGATCACGAGATCAGGAGTTTAAGACCAGCCTGGCCAAGATGGTGAAACCCCCGTCTCTACTAAAAATACGAAAATTAGCTGGGCGTAGCAGTGGGCCCCTGTAATCCCAGCTACTCAGGAGGCTGAGGCAGAGAACTGCTTGACCTGGGAGGCGGAGGTTGCGGTGAGCCCAGATTGTGCCACTGCACTCCAGCCTGGGCGACAGAGCAAGACTCCGTCTCAAAGAAAAAAAAATTAGCCGGGCATGGTGGCCCACGCCTGTAATCCCAGCGACGGGGGAAGCTGAGGCACGAGAATGGCTTGAGACCCAGAGGCAAAGGTCCAGCTTGGGCTACAGAGCAAGACTCCGTCTCAAAAAAAAAAAAAGAAAAAAAAAATACATAGAGTAAAATTGCTGGGTCACAGGATGAGAAGTGTGTACTTAACTTTATTAGAAATTGCCAAACAGTGATCTAAACAGGTTGCATGGTTTTCCATTCCACCAGCAAATGGATTCAGTTACCTGAGACAGGACCATACCACGTCCATTTTTCTGGTGCCCATGCAGTAGCCCCCACAAACGTACCTGGAGCAGCCCAAGTAGCTGTCTGTTCCTTGCACATGGGGTTTTCCACATCTGAGTTAGGCACATGCATGGAAGCACAGAATCCCGCCATGCCCCATGGCATGTTTGCACAGGCCTGCGCCATGTGTTCCTCCTCCCAGGAGCCTCCCCTGTCTCATGCCTCCTCCTACTCCCTTCCTCTTGGAGGTGGAGCTCACATTCTGCCCTCTGTCCTGGTCAGCCTCACCTGTGCCTCCTCTCCTCCCTCAGGTGTTTGGTGTCTGGGTGCCAGGATCTTGATTTGCCCCTGTGCCTTTGAAGGCTCAGTCGATGGTGTGATTAGCACCCTTTCCTTTGGTGCAGAAGAGAAGACTTCCTCTGCGCCCAGGTGAGCTGGGTAAGCAGCCTGAGCCTGGGCATGCCCCTTGCCCGGGGAACAGAGGTGACTCCCTGCCATGCAATTCCCAGGGAGTGTCTGGGAGTGCCCTGGGAGGAGCTCCACAAAGCACCAGGGCTCAGCTCTGCCCCAGGCAGGGACTGCCCAGGAAGGAAGACTTCTCAGTGGAGGTGAGGGCTGCACAGGGCCCTGATCTACTCAGACAGAGAAGGGGACAAAGGGGCACCCCAGCAGATAGGACGTGCACTCCTTCCACAAACTGCCTGAGGACTGCTTTGTGCTGGGCTCACTAAGTGTTGTGGATTTGTCCAGGAATAACACAGCCCAGTGTCCTCCCTTAGTGGTACAGAAGGCAGGAAAGTTAGCATAGGCGCTGCTGTGACAAGAAGGAACAGGGACAATAAGAGCCAGGGCGGTGGCCACTTTCCCCTGGGTCTGGGGGCTCCTACAGTGAGCCCAGGGCTGTCGTGACACAGCCTGGCCACTCTCACATCCTTGACGGGGAGGATCACCAATGCAGCTTTGTGGATGAGGCTCAGAAGGGATAAGATCATCTGCCCAGGGTCACACAGGGAGGAAGGAGCCAAGCCAGGCTGCAGGGTAACTTGGCCGAGTCCCTAAATCTGCACTTGTCCTGGACAAGCCAGCAGAGGGACAGGAAGCCAGAAGTGACCAGGGGCCATTCATCAGTAGCTGGTGGTGCTGGCCAGCCCTCAGGTCATCAGAGCTAGGCGGGCACCATCCTCCATGGCCCCTTCGTGTCCACCCTATTGTCACAAACAGTGCAGGGGCCATGAAGGGAAGGAAATGTGACCAGAGCAGTCCTCGTCCCCACCAGGCTTTACTGCAGGAGACAGCATGGCCCTCCTGCACTCAAGTCTGTCCCTGCCTCCCAGCCCTTAGAGCTGGGCAGCATGAGGCCACTGATGGCTCCCACTGTGCTAGCTCGCCTTCCTCCACGGACTGTCTCAACAAAGTCCCAACACTCATCAGTTCCAGATTTGTGCTCTGTGTTTTTGACTTTCCAGGTTTCCATAACTCATCCCAGCCACTGGAACTGGAGTTCTCTGTGGGGTGGATGAGGGTGTTTGAGCCACGTGTCCCCTGCTCTGATGAGCTCAGCAGCCCTCACCTGAGCACTTCGGCAGCAGAACGGAAGGAGGAGTTCTGGAGGAGGAGAGGCGGGAGCCCCAGCCTGTCTGCTGTTGACCTCCCAGGACCAGCAGGAGCACCTCAGAGACTGGTTCAGGGGTGGGAACCAGTGAAGCGTAGAATATTTCCTGCCAGTCCAAGGAACAGCTGCTATCAGAGTTCCCACGTTTGCAGAAAATGCTTTGCCCTAAGCAGTGAGGTGAGAGCTGGACACCTGCATGGTGAGCACCGTGGAAGAAGAGACCCCTGGTTGGCCACGTGCTGTGTCCACATCAGGGTTTTTCATGTTTTATTCTTCTCACCCAGGAGAAAAAAAGTAAGTTGCCTGTAGCCAACCAATTATTTATTTCTCCTTTCAAATCTAGTATCTTAACCAGTGAGTTAATTCTGTAGTTCTAGATTTTACTGCAGTTTTTGATCAGTAATTCATAATCTGGAATCCATAACCTACTTGTGCTACACCCAACAGTAATAAAATTGGAAGGTTGGGCTTGATGCTTTGTTTATTATCAAATAAAGCCCAGCAGTTTATTCTCCTTTGTCACGAGCAAGCAGTTGGAGGAACACGCCTGACCCATACATTTCCTACCGGAAAATAGGAATGAGCAACGATACTGTTTTGGAAAAACTCTCTCAGTTGTGTTTTTCCTCTGCTCTCACACCACCACAACCATCATCACAGAAGAAGACTTCTGTGACCAAAGGCGTGGAGGTTTCTCCTACACACCAGGCAGCAGACACCAGCTGGGTGTCCTCCACTTCAACTCCCACACTGTCTACCTGGAAAGTGGGGCAGATCCTCTCTTAGGACTGCCCGGCTCCCGGACACCAGGTGCAAGTCCAGGCCTCTGGAACTTCTGACCAACCAGCTTCAAGTTAGAGTTCCCACAACCCTCTCTGGGTTCTATTAGTTTATTGGAGCAGCTCACAGAACTCAGTAAGAAACACGTTTACTATTATATATAATATTTATTATTATAAAGGATATTACAAAGACTACAGATGAAGAGATGCGTAGGATGAAATCGAGGGAAGGGGCACGGAGTTTCCATGCCCTCCCTGGGCACCACCCTCCAGGAACCTCCGCGTGTTCAGCTCTCGGGAAGCTCCCGAACCCAGTCCTCTTGGGTTTTGTTTTTTTTTTGGTTTTTTTTTTTGAGATGGAGTCTCGGTCTGTCGCCCAGGCTGGAGTGCAGTGGCATGATCTCGGCTCACTGCAAGCTCCACCTCCCGGGTTCACGCCATTCTCCTGCCTCAGCCTCCCAAGTAGCTGGGACTACAGGCGCCCGCCACCACGCCCGGCTAATTTTTTGTATTTTTAGTAGAAATGGGGTTTCACTGTGTTAGCCAGGATGGTCTCAATCTCCTGACCTCGTGATCCGCCCGCCTCGGCCTCCCAAAGTGCTGGGATTACAAGCGTGAGCCACTGTGCCCAGCCTCCTTTTGGGTTTTGATGGCAGCTCCATGACATCAGCATTCCATCTCCCAAGGTATAGGGCAGGACTCCCTCTGGGGAGGGTCTGGTGACCCACAATCAGAAAGGTGCAGGAGGAATAGAGTCCTGTCTTGGGGCAGGTAAAAGGAGGTCAGGAGAAGACCAGAGAGATTCTGTTTCCTGAGCCCTAAAGCACCCAACGTTATAACAAAAGACCCTAACACAGGCTATGGGAGTTACAAGCCAGGAACCGTGGACAGAAACACATATATATATAATAACACCACAGATACTAAACACATCATATTCAAAAACAACTTCTTTAAGAATAATCAACTTCATAGGCCGGGCGCAGTGGCTCATGTCTGTAATCCCAGCACTTTGAGAGACCAAGGTGGGTGGATCACCTGAGGTCAGGAGATCAAGACCAGCCTGACCAACATGGAGGAACCCCATCTCTACTAAAAATACAAAATTAGCCGGGCGTGGTGGCACATGCCTGTAATCGCAGCTACTCAGGAGGCTGAGGCAGGAGAATCGCTTGAACCTGGGAGGCAGAGGTTGCGGTGAGCCGAGATTGCTCCATTGCACTCCCTCCTGGGCAAAAAAATCATCATCATCATCATCAACTTCATTAGTTAGATTCCTTTTTGTACCAGGTTTTTAAAAATCCTTTTGTAAGAGCCTCAGCACTGCCACCATGAGGAGAATTTCTACCCAGGGGAGATGGAATAAGAGTAACCAACCCTGTCCCCTGGAGGAAAATGCTTTAAAAGTGGTTTTGATGGTCTGGGGGTGAGGGCTCATTTGAGTCTGTTTTATGGCTCCTCCCCCAAGCTCCTGAAATAAACCCCGGGCCCTTTTCTGCTTTGTCCGTGCTCACAGTTATTCCTGGCACGCATGTTGCTATTCTGGTCCGCCGTGTAGCAGGTGCTTTGTGGCCAAGGCACCCACTGCTTTAGGGGTGCCAAGCCCCATCAGGCTGAAGGGCAAACAGGAAAGGTCAGTGATGGAGGAGGGGGCAGAGGGCCCTGGGCAGAACCTGGCTGTGAACTGGAATGCTGCGCTCATGTCGCTATCCAAAGGCTTTAAGGTAAGACTTTGAATTCTCTTCTGTGCTTCCCTCCCAAGCCTTTAGGAAATGACTCCGTCATTGCCACCTTGACTTTGAACTCCTGAGATGGCATTCTATAACAGCATTCTATAATGTCATTCCAAAATGTACGTGACAAAATGGTGGAAATATTTATTTTTTTCAATTTGGACATTATGTATTAATTAATTAACCTTCTGGAAAAAGAGAAACAAGCCCTGAGTGGGGCCACATGCAGGTCAGGAAGGAGGTGAGTTAGCAGGTATGCCAGGACCCACCTCGGAGCTCCTCTGGGGTGCTGGTCACAAACACCAGCGGCACAGTCACAGAACACCAGGGTATGTGAGTCACCTCTATGTATGACGGAGGCATCTGACAGCCATCACTGGCGCTTACCCTGGGAATGGTCCTATGGTCTAAGAAGAGTGTTGGCAGAGTTCTGAGTTAAGGAATCCAGGAGTGGCCAATTTGGAGATTCACTCCTTATCCATGAAGGACATCCGAACCCCTGGCCCATCCCTTGGAATGCAGACTGTACAGGGGATAGGAGCCCTTTGTTCTGGGTTAAATAGAGGTTGCTAGGTGGAGGGTGCTAAGTGAAAATGCTACATAAACTGTCTGCTTTTTACAAATGGTAGCAATCTTCCTGTCTAGTTTGCCACCACTGGAAGTGCCCCAATAAACCCTAGGTCTCATTCGCTGGCTCCAGCTCTTAGACATGTTGCCATCGCTACTGGAGTCAGTAGGGATCTGGCACAACACCTCAAGAACGTTCCTCAGATTCAGTTCAAGGATCTCGCTCAGAAATGGGTCTCAGTGCCCCAGAGTGAAGAACAAGTCCACATCCCAAGCCTGCAGTGGAGAATGAGCTCAGGGGCCAATGATCTGGTGGAAGGGCTTGCCCGAGAGAGAAACAGGGATCTCCACTGCCAGGAGGGATGAATAAACTCATCTGAATCAACCCAGCTAATCTGTCCACCCATCAATCCAGCCAACAACTTAAAAAAAATGCTCAAAATATGAGAAACATCTGCTAAAGATATGAGATTAATGAGGTTATAAAGAATGACCTTGTTTAGGACTATTTAAAGTCTAGAGGTGACTGCTGATGCTGGAAGAGTGACAAAGAAACATGAAGATCTTTTGTAGGGTTAAGGGGACAAAAAGCAGAATTCAGGGCCCACCAAGAATAGAAACACTAGTTGGGGCCAGGCTCAGTGACTCACGCCTGTAATTCCAGCACTTTGGGAGGCCAACACAGGCAGATAACTTGAGGTCAAGAGTTCGAGACCAGCCCGGCCAATATGGTGAAACCCCATCCCTACTAAAAATATAAAAATTAGCCAGGCATGGTGGTGGGTGCCTGTAGTCCCAGCTGTTCAGGAGACAGGAGAATCACTTGAACCCGGGAGGCGGAGGTTGCACTGAGCCAAGATCGCACCACTGCACTCCAGCCTGGGCGACAGAGCATGACTCCATCTTTAAGAAAAAAAAAAAAAAAAAGAGGCTGGGTGTGGTGGCTCATGCCTGTAATCCCAGCACTTTGGGAGCCTGAGGCGGGTGGATCACAAGGTCAGGAGATGGAGACCATCCTGGCTAACACGGTGAAACCCCGTCTCTATTAAAATACAAAAAAAAATTAGCTGAGCGTGGTGGCGGGCGCCTGTAGTCCCAGCTGGTGGCGGGCGCCTGTAGTCCCAGCTACTCAGGAGACTGAGGCAGGAGAATGGCGTGAATACGGGAGGCGGAGCTTGCAGTGAGCCAAGATCGCGCCACTGCACTCCAGTCTGGGCGACAGAGCAAGACTCCGTCTCAACAAAAAAAAAAAAAAGAAAGACTAGTTGGGGTGGGTGTCACCCTTTGCATGGGGATACCAAAAGATTGCCTTCTCTGAGAAAACAAGAAAATTAACCCTCATGAGGGCTACAGCCTGGCTTCAGTCATCAGTGTGGCTCAGGAGACCTCAATTTCTGAGCTGGATTAAAGAGAATGTTTATGCTATGAACCTGCCAGAAGCAAGTCTCTGTAAAAATAACAATAATAATAATAACAATAATATCATTATCCTATGCTTCAAAGTATTTTTATAAAGTTTTGCATACTTAATATCCAACTCAAAATGAAAGAGAACCAAGAATTCAAGAAGACAAATCAACACAAACGAAAACTAGTAGAAACAATAGGCAATAGAAATTGACCCATACAAGCCCCAAGTAGTGAGGATATCACATGGAGATTTTTAACTAGCTATGCTTACTACTTTCAAAAAGATAAAACACATAATTAAAAATTCTGCTGAAACTGAAACTGTTTTTTTTAAATGAAATAGCATAAATGAAAGAAGCCAGACCCAAAACGCTATATATCATATGATTCCATTCATATGACATTCTGCAAAAGATGAAACTATAAGGATGGAAAACACATCAGGGGTTATGAGATTCAGAGGATCAGGAGATGGCTATTATAAAGGGGATGCACAGGACAATTTTTAGGGTAATGGAGCTACTCTGTCTGCTACTGGAGTGCTAGCTACAAGTATCTCTGTGTTTGTCAAAACCCATAGAACTGTACACATTACAAAGAGTTCATTTTTAGTGCATGCAAATTACAAAACCTCAACCAGTAGGTTGGGGAATCCCAGGATGGAACACAGACTGTGACAAGACACTCACTGAATTACAAACATGACCTCCGTGAGGGGGTGGGAGGAGGAGCTGGCCTAAGTAAGTTGGGAAAGCGGTGTTCTTACTGGAAACACCTGCAGACAAAGGGAGCGATGCTCTACTCAGCACATGCATGTCAAGTGAGAGCAGGCTAATGATTCCGAAGCTTCCACACAGGTACACTGGGCTTGAACAAACAAGTGAAGGCATGCTGGGTGGTTAGAGCCAGTGTCTCAGTGTGGCGAGTGTGGAAGGGGGGTTATGGATCAACAGTGGGGGCGGGAATGAGTCCTGTAGGGCTGGCCTTGAGTCTGAGATATCAGTGTGAATCCAGGCTTAGTTCAGTGGACAAAGAGGGACAGAGAGAAATCACTAAAGGCACAGGATATGATATGGTTTGGATGTGATCCCAATGTGATCCCCAATGTTGGCAGATCTCCCATGAATGGCTTGGTGACTCCTCACAGTAATAAGTGACTTCGTGCTGTCAGTCCACACGAGAGGTGGTTGTTGAAAAGAGCCTGACACCCCTCCCCTCTCTCTTGCTCCCTCTGTGGCATGTGACGCACCAGCTCCCACTTTT